>NC_000006.12:21878181-22181212 GCF_000001405.40 Homo sapiens
CTGTAATCCCAGCACTTTGGGAGGCTGAGGTGAGCAGATCACCAGGTCAGGAGTTCGAGACCAGTCTGGCCAACATAGTGAAACCCCACCTCTACTAAAAAGACAAAAAATTAGCCAGGTGTGATGGCGTGTGCCTGTAATCCCAGCTACTCAGGAGGCTGAGGCAGGGGAATCGCGTGAACTCGGGAGGCAGAGGTTGCAGTGAACCAAGATTGCACCACTGCACTCCAGCCTGGGCAACAGTGCGAGATTCTGTCTCAAACAAACAAACAAACAACTCTCAGCAAAATCGCTCATACAAAGGACATACCGTAATGTAATAGAAGCCATCATGACAAACCAATAGCCAGTATAATACTGAATGGGGAAGAGTTGAAAGCATTCACTCTGAGAACTGGAACAAGACAAAAATGCCCACTCTCACCACTCCTCTTCAACATAGGAAGTCCTAGCCAGAGCAATCAGACAAGAGAAAGAAATAAAGGGTATCCAAATTGGTGAAGAGGAAGTCAAACTGTCACTGTTTGCTGACGATATGATCATTTACCTTGAAAACCCTAAGGACTCCTCTGGAAAGCTCCTGAAACTGATAAAAGAATTCAGCAAGGCCTGGCGTGGTGGTTCACGCCTATAATCCCAGCACTTTGGGAGGCCGAGGTGGGTGGATCACGAGGTCAAGAGGTTGAGAACATCCTTGCCAACATGGTGGAACCCAAAATGCAAAAATTAGCTGGGTGTGGTGGCGTGCACCTGTAGTCTCAGCTACTCAGGAGGCTGAGGCAGGAGAATCACTTGAACCCTGGAGGCAAAGGTTGCATGAGCCTAAATTGAGCCACTGCACTTCAGCCTGGCGACAGAGTAAGGCTCTGTCTAAAAAAAAAAAAAAAAAAAAATTCAGCAAAGTTTCTGGATATAAGATTAATGTACACAGATCAGTAGCAACCAAGCAGAGAATCAAATCAAGAACTCAACCCCTTTTACAATAGCTGCAAAAAAAACAAAAAAACAAAACCTTAGGAATGTACCTGACCAAGGAGTTGAAAGACCTCTACAAGGAAAACTACAAAACACTGCTGAAAGAAATCATACACAATACAAACAAATGGAAACACATCCCATGCTCATGGATGGGTAGAATCAATATTGTGAAATGACCGTATTGCCAAAAGCAGTCTACAAATTCACCGCAATCTCCATCAAAATACCACCATCACAGAATTCTTCACAGAATTAGAAAAAACAATTGTAAAATTCATATGGAACCAAGTAAGAGCACGCATAGCCAAAGCAACACTAAGCAAAAAGAACAAATCTGGGCTGGGCACTCACGCCTATAATCCTAGCACTTTGGGAGGCTGAGGCAGGTGGAACACTAGAGGTGAGGAGTTCAAGACCAGCCTGGCCACCATGGCGAAACCCCCGTCACTACTAAAAATACAAAAATTAACCGGGCATGATGGTGGGCGCCTGTAATCCCAGCTACTTAGGAAGCTGAGGCAGGAGAATCGCTTGAACCCAGGAGGTGGAGGTTGCAGTGATCAGAGATCGCACCACTGTACTCCAGCCTGGGTGGCAGAGTGAAACTCCATCTCAAAAACAAAAAACAAATAACAAAACAAAAAACAAGAACAAATTTGGAGGCATCACGCTACCTGATTTCAAACTATACTATAAGGCCATAGTCACTAAAACAACAACATGGTACTGGTATAAAAATAGGCACATAGACCAATGGAAGAAAATAGAGAACCCAGAAATAAACACAAATACTTACAGCCAACTGATCTTTGACAAAGCAAACAAAAACATAAAGTGGGGAAAGGACACCCTTTTCAACAAATGGTGCTGGCATAATTGACTAGCCACATGCAGGAGAAGGAACTGGATTCTCATCTCTCACCCTACACAAAAATCAGCTCAAGATGGATCAAGAACTTAAACCTAAGATCTGAAACTACAGAAATTCTAGAAGATAACACTGGAAAAACCCTTCTAGATGTTGGCTTAGGCAAGGATTTCATGACCAAGAACCCAAAAGCAAATGCAATAAAGACAAAGATAAATAGCTGGGACCTAATTAAACTAAAGAGCTTTTGCATGGCAAAAGGAACAGTCAGCAGAGTAAACAGACAACCCACAAAGTGGGAGAAAATCTTCACAATCTGTACATCTGACAAAAAACCTAATATCTAGAATCTACAATGAACTCAAATCGGTAAGAAGAAAACAAACAATACCATAAAAAAGTGGGCTAAGGACATGAATAGACAAGTCTCAAAAGAAGATGTACAAATGGCCAACAAACATATGAAAAAATGCTAAAAGTCCCTAATGATCAGGGAAATGCAAATCAAAATCACAATGTGATACCATCTTACTCCTGCAAGAATGGACATAATCAAAAAAATAAAAAAAACAGTATAGATGTTGGTGTGGATGCGGTGAACAGGGAACATTTCTACATTGCTGGTGAGAATGTAAACAAATACAGCCACTATGGAAAACAGTGTGAAGATTCCTTAAATAACTAAAAGTAGAGCTACCATTAGATCCAGCAATCCCACTACTGGGTATCTACCAAGAGGAAAAGAAGTCACTATTCGAAAAAGATACTTGCACACGAATGTTTCTAATGGCAGAATTCATAATAGCAAAATCATGGAACCAACCCAAATGCCCATCAATCAATGAGTGGATAAAGAAACTGTGGTATATATATACAATGGAATGCTATGTAGCATTTGCAGTGACCTGGATGAGATTGGAGACTATTATTCCAAGGGAAGTAACTCAGGAATGGAAAACCAAACATCGTCTGTTCTCACTGATACGTGGGCGTTAAACTATGAGGACGTAAAGGCATAAAAATGATACAAAGGACTTTGGGGAATTGGGGGGAAGAGTGGGAGGAGGGTGAGAGATAAAAGACTAAAAATATGGTGCAATGTATACTGCTTGGGTGATATGTGCACCAAAATCTCACAAATCACCACTAAAGAACTTACTCATGTAACCAAATACTACCTGTACCCCATTAACTTATGGAAAAAAAAATAGAGTAATTATTTCACTCCTGTAAGTTGACATTTTGCATGTAACTCCCCAGGAGGGAGAGAGAGTACTTTTCCTTTTCATTTTTGTTTCTTTTATGTCTTTTCATGATCGTCTTTGTTCTCTTTCTCTATGATCCATTCTATCTTTTTTTTGTTGTTTTTCAAGATGGAGTCTTGCTCTGTTGTCCAGGCTGAAGTGCAATGGTGCAATCTCGGCTCACTGCAACCTCTGCCTCCTAGGTTCAAGCAATTCTTCTGCCTCAGCCTCCCAAGTAGCTGGGATTATAGGTGTCCACCACCATGTCCAGCTAATTTTTTGTATTATTATTATTTTTTAAAATTTCTTCAAGAGATGGAGTTTTGCTCTTGTTGCCCAGGCTGGAGTGCAATGGCATGATCTTGGCTCACTGCAACCTCCACTTCCTGGGTTCAAGCGATTCTCCTGCCTCAGCCTCCCCAGTAGCTGGGATAATAGGTATGCGCCACCACACCTGGCTAATTTTCTATTTTTAGAAAAGATGGAGTTTCTCCATGTGGGTCAGGCTGCTTTTGAACTCTTGACCTCAGGTGATCCACCCACCTCGGCCTCCCAAAATGCTGGGATTACAATAGGTGGAGCCACCACGCCTGACCATTTTCATATTTTTAGTAGAGACAGGGTTTCACCATGTTGGCCAGGCTGGTCTCGAACTCCTGGCCTGAAGTTATCTGCTCGAAATCCCAAAGTGCTGGGATTACAGGTGTAAGCCACTATGCCCGACCAATCCATTGTATTTTGTGATCCATTTCCCCACAGCAAAGAGTTTTTTGGGGGTGATTAGTTGTCCTAGGTTACTTCCATTGAGGGTTCTTAACTGGTTTCCTTGAGTAAGAATTAGAGATTAGGTGGTGATCTCATGAAACCACTGTAGAGGGGGTGGTTATACAGAGAACAAATATATTAAATGTTAAAGAAACTTGGCACTTGAACTTAAGTGTTCTCAAAATCAGACCTTGACTGTTATTTAAGTCTGGTTCCTGCAAGCAGAGCCTGGGGCAAGCCATTTGGACTTGTCACAGAGGTAGCCTTTGGGCAGATGCTAATGGCACATGAAGAAAGAGTGACCACAGTGTTTTATGTAGGTTCCTTTGATCATTCTTAACTGGTTTTTAATATTATACCAACATTTAATCAGAAACCAACATAGTTCTCAGTACTCTAACTCTGGGAATCATCTCTATATCCCAGCCCCAAAACCTACAGTGGAAGATTGGCTGTTTTGTCAATATCTCATGTAAGAAACTCTTCCTTTGAGAAAAACTATAGCAGTGAGGACTTAGGATTTCTTCGTGTTTATCCCAGAATGCTGAGGGAATTCAGGAATCATATCTTTCAGTATCTCAGAACCCTACACAGTGCCCGTCTTTTTAGTGTGGTTTTTCAGTTGGATTGCGTTTCTGAGGCCCCTGTAGGAATCTTCCTTTGGAATCTTTATAAACCAGATAGAATCTAATTGGTGAGAGAAGCCAGAGAATCCAATAAACCTTGTCCCTTCTCTCTTACTGTACTATATCCATCTATACCTATTTTTTAGGTTTAAGTTGTTTTAAACTCTAAAGGTAGAGTAAACATTAAATTGTATGTTTTACTGTTCACATTTAGCAATGGTAAATTGCTAAGAGAATTAAAAAAATAAGAAACCCTACCTTTCAGTAATAGGCTGGTGAAGTATCATTAAATCCTTAGAAATCAAAAAGAAATGGGCAAAATTCAAGATATTGTGAGTACCTTGTTAGGATAATCGTGGTAGAGACTTCTGTCTGCCTATATCTATCCCGATTTTCTTTCTTTTTTCTTTTTTCTTTTTTTTTTTTTGAGACAGAGTCTCGCTCTGTCTCCCAGTCTATAGTGCGGTAGCACCGTCTTGGCTCACTGCAGCCTCTGCCTCCAAGGTTCAAGTGATTCTCCTGCCTCAGCCTCCCTAGTAGCTGGGATCACAGGCACGCGCCACGAAGACTGGCTAATTTTTTTGTATTTTTAGTAGAGACAGGGTTTCACTGTGTTGGCCAGGCTGGTCTCGAACTCTTGGCCTCAAGTGATCCACCCGCCTTGGCCTCCCAAAGTTTTGGGATTACAGGTGTGAGCCACATACCCAGCCCTGATTGTTTCTTTGTGGATGGTTGGGCTGTTTAAGAAACATGGATTTTTTTTTTTACTGTCTCCACTTAGAATTTTGTTGTTCAGGTCTTTTTCTATGAGTTCCATAGCAATATTTTGGCCATGATTCTTGCTTGGACTTGATATTTTTAGGCTTCGTGAGGATTTATCATTCTATCGTCTAGGCATCCTGCCTTCTGATCATTCTCCTTGTTGCTTCCATGCTGGAAGTGATGCTAGAGGCACAGGTCTGTGCAATTACTTCTACACCGTAGGTACCTGGGGTGCTTAATGGCAGAGACTGTATTTGTCAGTTGGTGGTTTAGACAAGTTACAGGTAAAACACTATGAAAGCCTCTGTCTAGATTCTTATCTCTCTTTCTCTAGCAGAATCAAACAGACAGAAATGAAGTTGAATGCTGGGAAGTCTTTGTTTAAAAAAGTGGTTGCTGTTGTCTAGAATCACAGAGACACTCAGAAGGAATTGGGACTGGATGTGGAGGAAAGACATCATAAAACTTTACATTGAAAGCCAAAGATGTGAAGTTAGGCCTAGTCAAGTGTTAATTCTGAAAGATCAAAACACATCATCCTGGACTGTGAAGGTGTGCCTTCTGTAAGTTAAATGGAATGAGATCTTCTTCAGTGCACCTGATGTCTTGGGAAGGGTGAGTTGAGGCGTGGTGGATGTGAAACATGATCTCATTATAAATGTTCCCATTTGTTTTATGTGTTCAGTTTGTTTTGTGCTATCTAGATAGGAAATCTAAAGGCTGAGAAAATGTCTGCTGTAGACATGGCAGTGATTCTTTGATACTAAATAGTTGGAGGGGAGCCGAGTGATTGCGTGACTTATTTTTAGACAATATAGGGACTCCCTTGCAAAGGGAGGAGTTGGGAAGAATAGACGTGTTAGGAACCAGGTTAGCCTGGAGATTTCTCTGGTTACCTGAAGCTGGAAAAATATTGGAAGAAGAAATTATTCAATGAGAACTCATGCAGACCTGAGTCTCCAGTTATGCCTAAGTGGCCATGTCAGATCTGTGAACCTCTCTGCTGGCTTCTTAACAAACCCATATTTTTACAAGGAAGATGATCTGGGTTAGAGGAATTATTAATTATATTTCAGCTCACAAATTCCTCTTTACTATCACCCCTTTAGCCCCATGTAAACTCTGTTAGGGTTTGGTTAAGTGTAGAAACTGATATGTAAGCAAGAGTAAGAAGATGAAGTCACTTATCTGGAAATTTCTTTAAACCTTTAATTATTGTAAACAAAAGATCTGGTCTCTTTGGAGCTGGTAGTAATGTCTTAGTTTTGTGGCTGTTAGTTTTTTGACTCTATCAGACTGAGTCATTGTTTTATTTGAAGATCTAGAATAACATCATCTACAAAGAAATGATTACAGTAATTGATCTTGATACTGCCTCCTCCTAGTTGTATTTATATAATTATCTAAAAGGGTTTTTAATAGAATTACTGCAACAAGCCTGAAAAAGTCTGTGCTAAGTGGTA
The DNA here is from genome assembly GCF_000001405.40 of Homo sapiens. Taxonomy (NCBI): domain Eukaryota; kingdom Metazoa; phylum Chordata; class Mammalia; order Primates; family Hominidae; genus Homo; species Homo sapiens. The sequence continues at coordinate 21,884,888 of NC_000006.12, forward strand.
ACACCTTGAAACAGGATCAATATGATCCCGCCTTCAAGGGGCTTTTGGATTTGTCTAGCCTACTATATGGCTGAGTACTAGACTCAGTTATCCCATTCCTCAGCAAAAGAAACTACAGAAGTTTGAGGGAATATCAGACTCTTGGCACACAATTGACATTTAGTAAACACTTGATAGGCAGTTGGTAGTGGGTGGCAGCATTCACAGATGAATTCTGAAGTAGATGGTGAATGATGCTGAGATTTTCTTTACCAGTCCTGGTGACACTGCCTGAGCTCACATGATAAGATCCTGGTAGAGTAGCATTTATTCTTCTTTTGCAGACTCAGCTAAGAGGACTTTGCAGTTGAGGCTGAATCTTGATCCATGTAGTCCATTCCCGATGGTGCTATTTAGAAGGCCTTTTGTTGTCTGAGCAAAGTTGTCTTCCTGGCCTTACTACTGAATCTTGGCAAAGGATCAATGGGTAAGCCCCATCCTCCAAAGATCTCATATAACATAACTGGTATCAGGACACTGATTACATGCAAGCAGTTCCCACATGAAGAGCTTTAAAATTGAGATTTTTCTTTGAAATTTAAAAGAAGGTGGAATAAAAATGTGCTTGCTTTCCAACATAGATCGATTAGCTGGCACGGAGAGAACACCGGCCTTTGAAATCTATAGGCATCCTGTTGCAGGCCTGACCCAGCTGACCCTGGGAGATTAGTAATGGTCTGTGCAGCCTGCTCTGTCAGCAAGTCTGGCAGGGTGTGCACAGATGGTGCCAGTTGGAGAAAATCACTGCCGAACAGTGCACTAAAGCCTCTGCCTTGGCCATTCTGCCTTGGAGGAGGAGCCGAGAGTGAGACTGGGTGGTTTACAGACGTGTTCCTGCCAAATGCCTTGGAAGAGACCTCAGAGGATACCAGTCCGGGTTTAGGATGCATTTGCTGATTATTACTTAAGTAATGTTTTCTTGTCATAGCTTAGGCCTTCCTGAGTTGTTGGGCATCTGGGATTTTTACAGGGTCTGTGGCCTTGGGGTTGTTCTGAAAGGGAATTTGAAATGAGAACTGATCTCATTCCAAGGAGTCAAGCATAATGCAATACTTGTTTTCCTAGAGTCAATCAGCCTAGGGAAAATGCGAGTAGGCTGGAAGCGGGGAGGAGGAGGAGTCTGAGAGTTTGAGTAATCAACTTAACCCAGGGGTAAAAAGAATTTTATTATAGAAAGCAGCACACATGACCTCTGTCCTTCCAGCTGCCACCAGTTTCTGGGTTGTCGAGTGATACCCTGAAAGTTTACAGTCAACACTCCTTGTGTGGGGTCAGTCCTAGAAATGGCGACGCTGCTCTCCGAAGATAGGAAAGAAAAGGACCTCATTCCATTGAGCCATTGACCGAAATATTTTCTCAACAAAGTTGAACTGAGCTGAAACTGTAAGCCTGTTCTTCCTAATTAGACATTTTATTCTTTGAAAATTCTACTTGGAGTTGCGTTGAAAAGTCAAAGTTGAGGAAATGCATCTTTCTAAAATACTTCCCTCTGAGCTGTATTTCAACAGGTTGAGGACAGGCTGAAAAAATATTAATGTTGAATGAAAGATGTGAGGGTGTCTGGGTGTCTGTAATTACAGAGGGTAACTGAATCAGTGAGTGGACTTTTCCCATTCCCAACTTTTTTGGTATTCTTCCTGCCACAACTTTGTCTTTTAAGTCTCCATCCAGGTTAGTTCTGGCTTTGTAGTTCGTTACTGTTTAACAGACTTGTTTGATTCCTTTTGTGTTGTTTTATGAACTGTGGTGTTGTTTCACTCTGGAAGAATTTTCCTTGGAGATGCTGCTGCTGTGAAATGAGAACTTCTCTTTTGGGTTTTTGAATGACCACCCCCACCCAAAGATACAAAGAAACCTATCGTGTTCAGTGCACTCTAGTGCTTTTGAAATTGGTGTATGGGAGCATGCTCTGGAGGGAGAGCTGAGAGAATGAACAGGGCATTTGCCAACCTCACACAGTGAGTGCAGACTGACACATACAGCAATACTTGCTGGAATCTGGAAGAGAGAGATAGAAAGCACACTTAAATCAGACAGAAGTGTAACTTTTCTTGTTTAATAGAGCATAGCTCAGGCATGATAGCTTTATTGACAAGATGGGAGGCCGAAGAAAGGAGAGAAGTCAAGGATGACTCAAAGTATGAGTTAGGAGAAAGCAGTGGGTACTGAAATACTTTGGCAAGAGGAAGATGAGGAGTTCAGTTTTAAGTAGTTTGTTTTTGAAATGTCCATTAGGTCTTTGGATATCTGGGTCTGGGTTTGATCAGAGAGGTCTGGGATGGAGATAGTAATTTCAGAGTTGCTGACACACAGCTGGTGATGAAGCCACAAGAGTGAATAAGGTAGCACAGAGAACGAAGAGAAATGGGAGTGGATGAAATTTGGTATAGAACTAAAAGCACACTGTGATTTCTCTCCCGCGCTGGTATTTGAACAATGACATGTATTTGCCTAGAGAAGACAAATAACAAAAATGACTGGGTGATTGTGTGTGGATCACGCTTGTTATATCTTTGATAGGGAAATTCAAAACGGTCTGTGGAAGTGTAGAAATAAATTCTTGAAAATGACCCTGAAGTAGATTTTTGGAGTGCTTTGGTCCGTTTCACAGATGCTTTACCATTTGAAGTAGATGCCAAAACAAACGAGAAGATAGATAGCTCAGGGTTTGTAGTACATGAAGCCAGCATCTGCTAGTTTATTTAGTAGCAGGAGCAGGAAGAGCAGAGGGAGAAGAGTGCAGCAGCCGCCAAGAATAAAACCTGGTCAAGAGGCCACATCAGCCCAGCTTGGCAGACGGGCCTGGTGGCTTTGGTAATTATACTGGTGCCTGCTGTATGTGGGCCTTTTCCACTGAGTTTAAAAAAGGCTTTCCTCTAACTACCAGGTCTCCCAGCAGTTGGGCCACTTTTGCCCTCGGTGGTTTTTCCCTGTGGAATATTTGCCGTGTCTGTGCTCCGTGGCTGTGTTTGCTGACTCCAGGGTAATACCCTTGGCCCTGCTGTTTCATGTGGCTCCTGCCCGTCTCCCCCTCCTGACTTAGCTCATAGAAGGTTTGTGAGGACATGCCCTTCGGGAAGAGCCCAGGAGAAACCACATGACTGCATGGCTAGACCAGCACACGTGGACTTGACCAAAGCCTTGTCTTTTTCCTTCTCTCCACCTCCCTCCCTTTTTAATCTATTAGTACTTTTGACATAAATAATATGTAACTGACTCAGATCTACAGAAATATCATGGCAAGGCACATACCTAGTGATGAGGGCCCATTAGCACTGAGACTTCCTTTGGGTTAATAATTTCATTATGGATAGAACTCCCTTTTGATACTCACCTTTTTTTTTAATTTTTATTTTTTGAGATGGAGTTTTGCTCTTGTTGTTCAGGCTGGAGTGCAATGGCGCAATCTTGGCTCACTGCAACTTCCGCCTCCTGGGTTCAAGCGATTCTTCTGCCTCAGCCTCCCAAGTAGCTAGGATTGCAGGCATGCACCACCACGCCCAGCTAATTTTTTGTATTTACTAGAGACAGGATTTCCCATGTTGGTCATGCTGGTCTCGAACTCCTGACCTCAGGTAATCCACCCGACTTGGCCTCCCAAAGTATTGGGATTATAGGCGTGAGTCATTGCGCCCGGCCTTGACACCCACATTTGCCACCAATTCTATTTTAAGTATGCTAACTCTGATAATGACATAGGAAGAAAACATACTTTAAAACTGTAGGGAAATCAATCCCAAAAAGAATTCCATGCTTTTTCCTTTGTGTACTTCCACTATCTATAGTCCCAGAGTACATCTCCAAGAGGCATTTTTGTTTCTATCCACATTGGGGGTATTGCTCGTATCACTTTATGGGAGAAGAAATCCATAGGTACCAGTTAATAATGCATTTTGGGCCTCTTGTTATTTGTATTATTCTTCAGAAGGTGTCATAGAGTACATTGAGACCAGGGTATCCTGAATATGTGCAGTTGGAAACACTTCTGGCATTTGTTGAAGTTTTTGTTGTTGTTTTAAGACTCCATTCTGCTATTCTTAAGTTTGTTTTCTCTTTTTGCTCCCATCAGTGTTTTCTTTTCTTTTTAAAAATATTCATCCACAGTCTCCTTTATATAAATATCAGACAGTAATAAATAGTTAGGTTTAGTCTTTCTTTTCTTCCCCCTGCCTATCACGTACTAAGTACTGTACTGCCTTCTGGAAATGGTCTCTGTCTTCAAGGAACTTAAGTGTCCAGCGGTGGTGGTTGCAGGGGGTTGGTGGGGGTGGGTGGACATAAATAGGTGCTTTTAGTACAGTATGATATGGGCTATGGGGGTATAACTAAGCCATTTTTGTCAGGGACTGAAATCAGGGGCCACTTTTGAGAAAATGCTCTGGCCGGATCTTAAGGAATGACCTGGAGTTAATCTTTTTTTTTTTTTTTTTTTTTTTTGAGATGGAGTCTCATTCTGTTGCCCAGGCTGGAGTGCAGTGGTGCGATCTCGGCTCACTGCAAGCTCCACCTCCTGGGTTCACGCCATTCTTCTGCCTCAGCCTCCCAAGTAGCTGGAACTACAGGTGCCTGCCGCCCACCTGCCCAGCTAATTTTTTGTATTTTTAGTAGAAACAGGGTTTCACCGTGTTAGCCAGGATGGAGTTAATCTTATCTAGGAAGTAGGGCTTGTTTCCTAGCCAGAGGGGTGATCTGGGACTTGACCATCATGGGGTAGGGCGATAGCTACAATAGTTTGGTATTGGTGGGTTAAAGGGGGTAGGGGTCAAGTGCTGGAAGACAAGGCTGCAGAGCAAAGCCAAGATCAGGTCTTAGACTAAGGGTCATGTATGTAGCTGGCGATGTGTATTCTATAGTAGACTACTTTTCCAGCTATGTGGAGGCTGGATGGAATTGGGTAATGGGAAGAGATGTGCAGTAGGGAATCCAGTTGAGTGGTTATTGCCAAATGGATGAAAGATGAGGGTCTGCTGGGCGTGGTGGCTCACACCTGTCATCCCAGCACTTTGGGAAGCCGAGGCAAGTGGATCACCTGAGGTCAGGAGTTCGAGACCAGCCTGACCAACATGGCAAAACCCCATCTCTGCTAAATTAGCCGGGCGTGGTGGCACATGCCTGTAATCCCAGCTACTTGGGAGGCTGAGGCAGGAGAATTGCTTGAACTCAGGAGGCAGAGGTTGCAGTGAGCCAAGGTCACGCCATTGCACTCCAGCCTGGGCAACAGAGTGAGATCCCGTTTAAAAAAAAAAGAATCTGGGCGCCTGTAATCCCAGCACTTTGGGAGGCCAAGGCGGGTGGATCACCTGAGGTCGGGAGTTCGAGACCAGCCTGACCAACATGGAGAAACCCTGTCTCTACTGAAAACACATTAGCTGGGCATGGTGGCGGTCGCCTGTAATCCCAGCTACTTGGGAAGCTGAGGCAGGAGAATCGCTTGAACCCAAGAGGCGGAGGTTGCGGTGAGCCAAGATTGTGCCATTGCACTCCAGCCTGGGCAACAAGAGCGAAAACTCCATCTTTAAAAAAAAAAAAAAAAAAAAGATGAGGGTCTGAATGGAGGCAGGTGTAGGCACTGGGGATAGTCAGGAGGAGACAGATATGAGGAATATTTGGAGATTAATTCACAGGACTTCGTAACGGTTGTGATGTGGTAGTTATGGTGTGATGTGCGTAGGGGGTGGTAGCAGGTGAGGGATGGGGCTCTTAATTTTCTAGCTGAAATGATTGGATAGACGTTACCAGCTAGGATTGGAAACAAGGGAGGAAGAGGGGTTAGGAGGTAGGGATACCAATTGCAAGTTTGTTCTATTAACACATTTCTTAAACATTTCTTCAACTTTTAAACTGCACCTACGGTCATGTTTTACTTCTTCCTCATAAAAGTTAAGGTGGCCGGGCGTGGTGGTGCTCACACCTGTAATCCCAGCACTTTGGGAGGCCAAGGTGGGTGGATCACTTGATGTCAGGAGTTCGAGACCAGCACGGCCAACATGGAGAAACCCCATCTCTACTAAAAATGCAAAAAATCAGCTGGACATGGTGGGGTGAGCCTGTAGTTCCAGCTACTCAGGAGGCTGAGGCAGGAGAATCGCATGAACCTGGGAGGCAGCGGTTGCAGTGAGCCAAGATCACACCATTGCACTCCAGCCTGGGTGACAGAGCAAGACTCTGTCTCAAACAAACAAACAAACAAACAAACAAACAAAAAAACCAGTTAAGTATATGTTCAGGCTAGGCAGTAGCTATTTTGAAAACTCAGGACTAAAGGAATTCCTGGGAGTATGTATAGGATGATTAGAGTTGCAGTTTCCATTGTCATGCAGTAGAACATCTTGCGGGGGTAGGTACACAATGGTGAGCCATCAGCAGGCAACATTGCCAGCAGCTGGAGGAATAAGGGTCTTGGTCCTGAATGGTTATCCGGATGGTGGACAACCGCTGCCTCTACACATGGCCTGCAAGACCTTATATAGCCTGCCTTCTTATGCTACCACCTCTGGGATCTCATTCCTACTGTTTTTCCCTTCCCTTTGCTTACTTTGCTGTACCCACATTGTCTTTTTTTGCAAATGTTGTTTGAACATGTCCAAGCAAACATGCTTTAGTTTCAGGCTTCTGTACTTGCTATCTGATTGACTGGCCATTTCCTTCCTTTCTGTTCAAATGCCACCTTTAATAAAGGCCTCACTGAGTGATTTAATATAGCACACCCTGCCTTCAAACTCTCTCTATCCCTTTATCCTGCTTTTCTTCATGAAACGCATCCCTCTGACGTTGCATAAACATTTAGTTGGGTTTTTGCCTATGTTGCTGGTGGGAATGTGAACTCTGGGAGGGTAGGGACTGCACGCCATTAGTGTATTATTTGATTGTGTATCTTCAGGGGTTTTGAAAGTTGTTCTTGGAGAAGATATCCTGTAAAGTTGTGCTTTGCTTTAGAAAAAGTTAACATAGAAAGATTTTATTTTATTTTTATTTTGAGACAGAGTCTCGCTTTGTTGCCCAGGCCGGAATGCAGTGGTGTGATCTCAGCTCACTGCAACCTCCACCTCCTGGGTTCAAGTGATTCTCATGCTTCAGCCTCTCCAGTAGCTGGGATTACAGGCATGTGCCACCATGCCTGGCTAATTTTTGTATTTTTAGTAGAGATGCAGTTTTGCCATGTTGGCCAAGCTGGTCTTGAACTCCTGGCTTCAAGTGTGCCGCCTGCAATGGCCTCCCAAAGTGCTGGGATTACAGGCATGAGCCACTGCACCCGGCCCAAAGATTTAAGATTGCTAGTGAATGGCCGGGCATAGTGGCTCACACCTGTAATCCCAGCACTTTGGGAGGCCGAGGCGGGTGGATCACGAGGTCAGGAGATCAAGACCATCCTGGCTAACACGGTGAAACCCCATCTTTACTAAAAATACAAAAAATTAACTGGGCGTGGTGGCGGGCGCTTATAGTCTCAGCTACACGGGAGGCTGAGGCAGGAAAATGGCGTGAACCCGGGAGGTGGAGGTTGCAGTGAGCCTAGAGAGCCTAGATCGTGCCACTGCACTCCAGCCTGGGTGACAGAGTGAAGCTGCAACTCTTAAAAAAAAAAAAAAAAGATTGCCAGTAAAATATAAACAAAGGTAGTAGTTGATATTATGTATTGCTTATTGTGGGACTCTTAGACTGGTGACTTCACCCAGAGCATTTTACATGTAACGAGATTTACAACAAAGACCTTCTATGTACCCCTGTTTTCAGCACTGCATCTATTGTGGAAAATAATGTAAATGAATTGCACCTTCTAAGGGTGTGCTGGTTTGTCATTACAATATACTCTTATCATTGGACAAACTTCAATTGAAATAAATATGTATTTATCTGAAGGCAGAAATTATGCTATTATCATTAATAATTCAGAAGAGTTTTCAGTTAAGCATTAACAACATCATTGCCTTTGGCTGTGATCTGACTGCTTGAACTCATAGTAGTATCAAATTATTTTTCTCAATGAAGACAAAATTAAACTCCAGATAACCAGAACTCAGAAATCTCAACTCTTTAATCAGCATATGCTCCTTTGAGCATGTATCTTATAAGAAAGAGATATATAATTGTAAAACATATTAAGGATTTAACATTTTTGAAGTGTCTTTTCCTGGAGATATCCTGGGATCTGTATCCATTTGGCCCAGTGTCCTATGACAACCTCATCTATAGAACATTAAAGATTCTGGTTCCAAACATGACCCTGCACAATTTGAAAATCCCTTGTCATCAAAGAAAGATTAAATTATGTTCATTACGTGAAAACATGGACTAATTAATGTATATCCTAAAGACGTCAGCGATAACTATAGAAAGGCTTCCTTTCATTGGGTGGGAGATTTAATTGGCTGATCTATGCTGTCCCTGCTAATGCTGAGATTCTCTGATTCCCTCACCTCTTACCGCACTCAGAAGGCTCAAAGTATAAATGGGTTTCTGGTTAACCTTTAGTGAATCAGTAATTTGATTTATCAAAACACCTCATTCAGTCTAGGAGTCTAATAATATGTTTAGCGCATGTGCTTTTGTCAGAAGAATCTTCATAAAACATAGTGATCGTAGACAAGAGAATGCGTCTTTTTGATTTCCTAGACCAATAGTGGATGCTTCTCTACATTGCAAGTCAGCATAGTGTGATTCTTTAGGCTCCCAGTGGTGTTGAAGTTACTTTTGTTACTTGTCATGCTTCCTTTATTGCGTATGTGTGTGTGTTTGTGTGTGTGTGTGCGTGTGTGTGTGTAAAAAGCAATAACAGTGGTGTTACTTTTGGAGATTTTTATCTACATGTATTTTTTACTCTATTAATTTTGCAGTGGAAGTAATGTGTTTCCATCTAATATACATCTTGTAGGCCAGTATCACTCTCAGCACTTCACATTCACCCCTAATTTTTTTTGTTAAAGGCATGTTTCCACCTCAGACACTAATTATTAAAATCGCATGATTTGCCAGATAAACACAACCAAGTAGTGTCATTTGAGCAACAAATCAATGAGCAAATATTGATTCAACACACATTCCACATGAGTATGACACCATCTGCGGTTCTGTACATGATTTATACAGGAAGACACAGAGTGTCTCTGCCTTTAAATGGCTCAAAGTCAAATTAGTGGTAGACTATGGAGAAAACGCAGAAAATCTTAATGAAAACTCTTAAACCAATTTTCAACAGCTGCTAACACAGCAGTGTGGTCATTCATTGAGTATCTGCTGAGTGCCCTGCTACAAGTTGGAAGGCGTGCTGAGGGCTGGGGTTGCACAGGGATGTGACACAGTCCTGGTCCTCTGGGAGTTTACCGAATGGAGTTTACCATCTTTGACCGTACAGTTAGTAAGATGAAATGATCACCTTCAGTAATCCATAAGTGTGAATACAGTAATTATGTTGATTACTCCTAGGTAAATTGTCTGGAAGGTCTAATATCTGTTATAGAAAGAGTAGTCTTCATTGCTAGTTACTGGTGAATTTGCTTGTGGATCTCTAAATTGTGGGGTGTGTGTATGAGAGAGAGAGAGTGAGAGAGAGAGAGAGAAGAGAGAATGTCTGTAGTAAATCATGTTGGATTTGGGAGTTCTATATATTTCCAATTCTATTTTCAGCCTGTATCTTTTCTTGTAGATGGTATAATGCAGTTAGAAAGAGCATGACTGCTGACTTTGGAGTTCATAGTTCTAGTTTTAAGTTTGACTTTGCAACTTACCAACTGCATGCAATTAGGCAAATAACATAAGCTCCATGAGCCTCCACTTATGCATCTATAAAGAAAACACAATAAGAAACCCTAACCTATCTATGTCATCTGTTATGTGAGGGCTCAAATGAGACAATAAAAATAAAATGAGGGGCCGGGTGCGGTGGCTGACACGCCTGTAATCCCAGCACTTTGGGAGGCTGAGGCGGGCGGATCCTGAGGTCAGGAGATCAAGACCATCCTGGCTAACATGGTAAAACACCATCTCTACTGAAAATACAAAAACAAAATTAGCCGGGCGTGGTGGCGGGCGCCTGTAGTCCCAGCTACTCAGGAGGCTGAGGCAGGAGAATGGCGTGGACCCAGGAGTCAGAGCTTGCAGTGAGCCGAGATTGTGCTGCTGCACTGCACCCTGGGTGACGGAGTGAGACTGTGTCTCAAAAAATAAAAATAAAATAAAATAAAATGAGGGCCGGGTGCAATGGCTCATGCCTATAATCCCAGCACTTTTGGAGGCCAAGGCAGGGCAGATCACTTCAGGCCAGGAGTTCGAGACCAGCCTGGGCAACATAGTGAAACCCCGTCTCTACTAAAAATACAAAAATTAGGTGGGTGTGGTTGTGGGTGCCTGTAATCCCAGGTACTCAGGAGGCTGAGGCATGAGAATTGCTTGAACCCGGGAAGTGGAGGTTGCAGTGAGCCGAGAACGCACCACTGCACTTCAGCCTGGGCAACAGAGCGAGATTTTGTCTCAAAATAAATAAGTAAATAAATAAATAAATAAATAAATAAGTGAAATGAAAGGATTTAGAAAATTAGAAATACTCTATGGAAATAGTAATGGGTGGTGGTGAAAGACTGGTTCTCATTAAATACCTCTTCTATGAAAGAGGTGTTTTCATGAAACATGGTTTTCAGTTTTTGAAGATAATTTTGGTTGCATCCAAGGGCAAGTTATAGTTTGTGGGCCTAATAGTAGTATGATGGAAATTTAAGGACTCTGGCTCATGTCCTTGAACATTTATCATTGATAAAGGGAAATCCATGTGTCAAGTGATAATTCTAGGATTCTAAATTTCACTTGCAAACCAGGCTTAGACTTAACTTTCGCAATGTGAAAGAATTATGTAAAAGCTGGCCATGTGCGTGTTTTGTTTTTGTTTCACTGAGTAAAGTTTCCGATCTATCAAGAAGATGTTGGCGCTCTAATGTTCATTCATTTATGTAAACACTGCTTCAATGTAAGCTTATGTTTATGCTGCCGTATGTTTTGTTCACGGGTGTAACCCCAGTGCCTAGAGCAGGGCCTGGTCACGAACAGATGCTCAATGGATTTTTCTTAAATTAATGACCGTGTTGAGGGACTGTTGTGTTTTAGGCACTCTGCAAGGCATTTGGAAATATTGGGAAAGTAGAGTAAAGATGTGTGACCTGAAGAACCTCAAAATCGAGCAGGGAGAAAGAAAAATAAACAGCAAATGACAACTGTTTAACAAGTGAGGAGTTATGGGGACCTGGATGTGGGGAAGGTTTGCAGTCAGGAAGATTTCATGGAGGCGATGGTGACAATTATGTTCCATGTAATCTGTTCTTCTTCGAAGGGCATTGGGGGCGGTGGGAGTGCTTAGCTCTCTTTACAGGCAATGAGAGAGTTCACTGTCTGTAGGAAATTTAGGAACAATAGACCCCGCATGGTGGCTCATGCCTGTAATCCCAGCACTTTCGGAAGCCGAGGTGGGTGGATGACGAAGTCAGCCTGACCAACATAGTGAAACCCTGTCTCTACTAAAAATACAAAAATTAGCCGGGAATGATGGTCCATGCCTGTAGTCCCAGCTACTGAGGAGGCTGAGGCAGGAGAATCACTTGAACCCTGGAGGCAGAGTTTGCAGTGAGCCTGAGATTGGGCTCCAGCCTGGGTGACAGAGCGAAACTCAGTCTCAAAAAAAAAAAACAATAATAAAATTGACTATTAAAGTCAGTCTGTGCTTTTATTATCCCTATGCAGGGGATAATTCTGAAGTAAGACTGTGATAAAACACTCGTGGCTGGGTGTGGTGGCTCACGCCTGTAATTCCAGCACTTTGGGAGGCCGAGGTGGGCGGATCACCTGAGGTAAGGCAAGACCAGCCTGGCCAACATGGTGAAACCCCATCTCTACTAAAAATACAAAAATTAGCCGGGTGTGGGGGCAGGTGCCTGTCATCCCAGCTACTCGGGAGGCTGAGGCAGGAGAATCACTTGAACCCGGGATGCAGAGGTTGCAGTGAGCTGAGATCGCGCGATTGCACTCTGGCGACAAGAGCGAGACTTGTCTCAAAAAACAAAACAAAACAAACAAAACAAAAAAAAACCACACTCCTTTCTCCAGTCCCTTTCAGATACTTGAACTCCAGAGACAATCGTCTCTTTGAAGGTAGAGCCTTCCTAGGCACAGTGGCTCATGCCTGTAATCTCAGCACTTTGGGAGGCTGAGGTGGGTGAATCAGAAGGTCAGGAGTTTGAGACCAGCCTGGCCAATATAGTGAAACTTTATCTCTACTAAAAGTACAGAAAATTAGGCTGGGCGTGGTGGCGGGTGCCTGTAATCCCAGCACTTTGGGAGGCTGAGGCAGGCAGATCACTTGAGGTCAGGAGTTCACGACCAGCCTGGCCAACATGGTGAAACTCTGTCTTTAAAAATAAATAAAAAATAAAAAATTAGCCAGGTGTAGTGGCAGGTGGCTGTAATCCCAGCTACTCAGGAGGCTGAGGCAGGAGAATTGCTTGAACCCAGGAGGCGGAGGCAGGAGTGAGCTGAGATGGCGCCACTGCACTCCAGCCTGGGCAACAGAGTGAGACTCTGTCTCAAAAAAAAAAAAAAAAAAGGCCGAGTGCAGTGGCTCATACCTGTAATCCCAGCACTTTGGGAGGCCGAGGTGGGTGGATCATCTGAGGTCAGGAGTTCAAGACTAGCCTGACCAACATGGAGAAACCCCATCTCTACTAAAATACAAAATTAGCCGGGCGTGGTGGCGCATGCCTGTAATCCTAAGTACTCGGGAGACTGAGGCAGGAGAATTGCTTGAACCCCGGAGGTGGAGGTTGCGGTGAGCTGAGATCATGCCACTGCACTCTAGCCTGGGCAACAAGAGCAAAACTCCGTCTCAAAAAAAAAAAAAAAAGAAAGTAGAGCCTTCTGGCTTGGTAATAATTTTACAGATGTGTTGTATTAAACAAAACAAAACACTGAAAAAAACCTTAACTGTGAATACACATACGATCCAAGATAACCCCAGGAAAAAAGAAAATATGTTTTCTCTAACTCTTAGAAGTTTAGAAAAGCTTTTCTTTTCTCATTCTTTCAAAGCAAGATGATCTTTTTAAAAATCTGCTGCATCTTAAAATTGATACCTTCTTGGGTCAGCCTCATGTACTATCACACTTCTATTATCAAAGAATGACCTTTCATTTGTTGAAAGATAATTTTTATGAAAAATTGATGTTGAATTCCACCATGTGCCTTTTCAAAGTCCTAGCTTGATCTACCAGGGGATTATTGTTATATAGTACTTTTATTCCTAGACTTAAACAAAACAAAAACCTTTCTTGTACCAGCCAACTGTGTCCCAAAATTCATAACTCAGTACTCATCATTCTCTGTTGAAATTTTATCTTTTCAGTGTTGTGCAATATTTTGGATGTTGTCCATATTATAGGCTAGTCAGGATCTGCCACCTTGCTATTTTTCAGGTATGTAGAAGGAGGTGGAAAATTAGTCTCAATATCTAAATCAAACAAAAAATCCGTTTATGAAAGTTCTGAATTCCTTAGGATAAATTTTTGTTCTTTGAAGGCTATGACTTATCAAATGGTACCTAATGCTGTGTGGATAGCCGTGCCCGCCAAAGTAGCTTATTTACCCGGCAGGATTGAGACCACTGATTTTTGTAGAGTAAGTCATAACAGCCTATTAACATTCCGTTATGCTGAGCATAGAACTAATAGGAGAACATCTGTGAGGTCAGAGATCAGAAGTAGACTTCAGAATGTACTATTCAAAAAAGGATGCAATGGAGAACATTTACAGAGGACTGTGGGTAAAGCAAAGTCTTCAAGGGAAGATAACAAAGGATGAAACAATGGTGTTGTGTGACTTCCTAGTGAGTGAGATACTGTGAATTTAATCTATAGCTAACTTAATTTACTCTTCATCAAAATTTAGCTGACTCCAACATGCATACACCTTTTGAGCTTCCTCTAATTTTCTGTTATTAGGGTTTTACATATTTAGCTCAACTAATTGAATTAGAAGATGCAGGAACATTGTCGGAATGTTTGAATCTCATTTAATGCTTCATATTGGGACAGACGAGGCACTCCGAAGGCAGAAAGGCCAGTTGGGACACAACTGCTGGGGAGGGGCAGGAGGCTGTGGCCATTCCTATAAGACAGTTCAGGGGGCCGTTCCAAGCCAGGGAGACCTGGCAGGGATCTGAGAAATACACAATAAGTGAAATGGAACAATTTTTCTACTGTTTTAGCTATTATCTAGAACCCATGTTAGACCCTTAACTGGCCTTGGCGTGAACTTGACATTTGAATCATTTGGGAGCTTTAGGCAGTAAAAACTGGAAGAATATACCTGGAAAAGCAGGTTTGAATGCGAGGATTAAGTTATATTAAGATTAAATTGGGGCCGATTGCAGTGGCTCACACCTGTAATCTCAGCACTTTGGGAGGTGGAGGTGGGTGGATCCCTTGAGGTCAGGAGTTCGAGACCAACCTAAACAACGTGGCGAAACCCCGTCTCTACTAAAAATACAAAAATTAGCCAGGCATGTTGGTGTATGCCTGTAAGCCCAGCTACTTGGGAGGCTGAGGCAGGAGAATCACTCGAACCCGGGAGGCGGAGGTTGCAGTGGGCCAAGATGAGGCCATTGCGCTCCAGCCTAGGCAACAAGAGTGAGGTTTACATTGTGGTAGGCATTGAGAGGTGTAAAGTAAATAAAATAGAACCCTCACTTTCAAGTGACAGCTCTAGAGAGCCTATATCCCGAAGGCTCTAGAACCTGCAAACTTCAAAAGAACCCCGGCAATGTGTGAAATAAGTTTAAAGTAAATATTACTTAATTGCTCATTCAGTCATCGAATAGCCATTGTTTGGGTGGAAATTGGGGAAGAAAATGTGTTGCTTAAGAACACGATAAGGAAGGAGTGGTCAGACAAGTAGAAGGATTGCTGGGAAGAATCGTGTCCAGAAAACAGAGGGAAGAGATAATTTCCAGAAGGAAAGGGTGGGTCAACTGTATCACATGCCACAGAGAAGCCAAGTGAAGATAAGCTTACAAAAGTGAGTAGTGGTGATACGGAGGTAATTGGTGACCTTTAGGAGAACTGATTAGTGGGAGTGGTATGGGGGAAAGCCTGTTTGCAGGAAGTTAAGGAGTGAAGCCGACTCTTATAAGACTCTTTAGAAAGAGAAGGGGCGTGTATGAGATAAAGGAGGGTGAAATATGGGACAAATTCCCTCAGTTTGTAATTGTGTGATTTTGCAAAACTTATTTACTTACTCTGTGCCTCAGTTTCCTTGTCTGTAAAACAATAGATGATACTAGTAGCTCTTATTTGAGAGAAGCAAATGAGTCAACACCATTATACGCAGTAGATTCTTATTAGATTGATATCTTAAAAGAAGTCCAGTAAAAATGCAATTGTAATGTAAAGAGCAATTCCAGTTTATGGGTTTGAAAGTATTTCTCTTTTTTATGTATTTTTAATTATGATTAAAAAACAATGTGAAACTTACTGTCTTTACTATTTCTAAGTACACTATTCAGCAGTGTTAAGTATATCACATCATCGTGCAGCCAATCTCCATAACCTTTCATCTTGCAAAACTGAAATTCTATATCCACTAACCAACAGCTCACCATTTCCCGCTCCCCGCAGCTCCTGGCAACCACCATGCTCCTGGCAACCACCATGCTCCTTTCTGTCTCTGAGTTTCAGTACTCTGGATACTCCATGTGATGGAATCACACCCTATTTGTTTTTGTGTAACTGGCTTATTTCACTTAACATGATGTCTTCCAAGTTCATCCATGTTGTAGCCTGCATCAGACTTCTTTTCTTTTTAAAGGCTGAATAATATTCCATTGTATGTATATGTCACATTGTGTTTTTCCATTTATCCAATGATGGACATTTAGGCAGCTTCCACCTTTTGGCTATTGTGACTAACGCTCTGTGAGGAAGGGTGTATAAATAACTATTTCTCTTTTTTAAACTAGTGATGTTTACTCTTCTGCATGTGTGTGAGTCATGGCTGGTTTAAGGCCAGCACAAGAATGGATCATGCAGGGGAGGTGGAAGCTCTCAGGAGAAATCTACAAGACCACAGGTTGGAGACAGAGCTCAGAGACAGAAAAGCATTTTTCCTTTAGAACATAGAAGTACCATTCACAAGAGTACTGTGCTCCTGGCGGTATTTTCCAACAGAGAAGGGAAAGTCCTGTCTTCAGTTCGTTTTTAAACTTAAGCTGCTAGAGGACCTCAGGTGTGTCTCTCATTGTGTTGGGATGTCAAAACATTTTGCTTTACTGTGCAATTTATTTTTCCTTGTATTGTATAGAGCAGTGATAATGAGGGGCAGGAAGCCTCTAGATAGCTGAAGAGCCCATTACAGAAGTCCTACTGTGAGTTAACTGCAAAGGTTAGATGAATCTAGGAGCTGAGAGTGGGCCCCATCCCCTGCTGTGGGTGGTTAATTCCTGGTGGTTTTCGGCATTTGTCCTATTTAATTATTGTTCCTTTTCCGAGTAAGAAATGACATCAGGCTGGGTGTCATGGCTCACACCTGTAATCCCAGCACTTTGGGAGGCCGAGGTGGACGGATCACCTGAGGTCGGGAGTTCGAGACCAGCCTGGCCAGCATGGTGAAAGCCCATCTCTACTAAAAATAGAAAAATTAGCTGGGCGTGGTGGCAGGTGCCTGTAATCCCAGCTACTTGGGAAGCTGAGGCAGGAGAATCGCTTGAACCAGGGAGGCAGAGGTTGCAGTGAGCCGAGATTGCGCCACTGCACTCTAGCCTGGTGATAGAGTGAGACTCTGTCTCCCAAAAAAAAAAAAAAAAAAAAAAGAAAAAAAAGTAGAACAGTATTACCCAGTAGAGTTGATGTTCCAGAAGTTTCTTCAGACCAGAGCAGAGTTCATAACTTACCTGTAAGGGAGCATGGTAATGTCACAGTTTACTCTTCAACTCTCTTAAGGTTTATTTTTATTCTTTTTCTTGAGACAAAGTCTCGCCCTGTTGCCAGGCTGGAGTGCAGTGGCACGATCTCGGCTCACTGCAACCTCCGCCTCCCAGGTTCCAGCGATTCTCCTGCCTCAGCCTCCTGAGTAGCTGGGATTACAGGCTCGTGCCACCACACCCAGCTAATTTTTGTATTTTTAGTAGAGACGGGATTTCACCATGTTGGCCAGGATGGTCTCGATCTCTTGACCTCGTGATCCGCCTGCCTTGGCCTCCCAAAGTGCTGGGATTACAGGCGTGAGCACCGCGCCCAGCCTCAAGGTTTATTTTTATGTTTCTAAAGACAGAGTCTCTCTGTTGCCCAGGCTGGAGTGCTGTGGCACAATCGTAGCTCACTGCAGCCCCAAATTCCTGGGTCCAAGGGGTCATCCCGCCTCAGCTTCCTCAGTAGCTGGGACCACAGTTGCATGCCACTGAGCCCAGCTAATTTATTTTTATTTTTAGTAGAGATGAGGTCTCACTATGTAGCCCAGGCTGGTCTTGAACTCCTGGCCTCAAGTGATCCTCCTGCTTCAGCCCCCCAAAGTGCTGGGATTATAGGCATGAGCCATTGTGCCCAGCTTCTCTTAAGGTTTTATGAACAAATTAGCTTTGATTTCTCCTAGGTGGCTTGATGTTGAATAAGCTAATGCAGAACTGTGTGCAAAGTAGACTGGGACTGCCATTTCTAGATGAAAAGAAAGGAGGGGGAAAGGAGAATACATTTTTACAGCCACCTTTTTCTATGGCCTACTTAATGATCATAATGGCTTCCACCCCCCGGAACTAGATGCTAGTCTTATGGCCCCCTCTCTCATTCAAATGTTTTGGGAACACCTCCGATGTTCTGCTGCTTCCACCCTGGAGTCTCAGGGTCACCTCCCACTCTTTCAGATCCCCTTCCCTGGTTGTCTTCGGCCCTATGCCTCATCCCAACTCCTTTGAACTTTTGTTTTACCCAGTTGCTGGTTCCTTTAGATGCACGAACAGTGACAGTCTGCTGAGTTATGTGAATGATGTTGGGTATTACTGCCACCAGCAGTTCTAAAGCTCCCCCTCTTCACATTCTTTGTCCCAGAAGGGGCTCTCAATGCTGAAGGTAAATCGCTTCGTGTGAGAATGCGGGCCTCTTGTTTGGGAGAGTCTGCTTGGCCTCTGAATACAGAAGCATAAACTTCAGGACATTACTTAGGCCATTACTTGAGGACATTACTTAGGGAAGTATTTTTTTGTCTTGGTAGGTTTTTAAATGTTGGTTTAAAAACCTAAATAGAAGTGACTTTTTCAGAATAATAACTTGTGAGGAACAACTGGTCCTGGTGGATAAAGCCTAGACTCAGAATCAATAGACCAGGATTGTTTTTCTCCTTGTTCAAATATCTGTGTGGTCTCTGAAGTAAACAGAGCAACACTTTCCCTAAATGTAAATATTTTCGGCAGATGGGGATTTTTAAAAGCTTGTGGCTCGCCTGGACAAAGGATTTTTAATTATTCTTTCTGAAATTTTATGAAAGAATGGGAGAAAAGAATAAGAAAAAAAAAAAATCCGGAGCAATTAGAAAGAAGAAGATCCCAGTGATTATAGGCAGGGGAAGGGGACGTTGAGGGCTGGCAGGTACCCAGGGCATGGAGGGAGAGAAGACAGAATTCCAGACAAGACCAGGAAGCAAGACTTTGCTTCTCCAGCCAGTGTATGTTGGTTTTACTTGACTGGCAGTGCAGATTATGAAAAAACAAACCTAGATATACTGGAAACTAGATCCCAGCCTTTTCTTGTTTTTTTCTTTCTTTTTTTATTTTTATTTTTATTTTGAGACAGAGTTTCCCTCTTGTTGCCCAGGCTGGAGTACAGTAGCGCAGTCTCGGCTCACCTCAACCCCTGCCTCCTGGGTTCAAGTGATTCTCCTGCCTCAGCCTTCCTAGTAGCTGAGATTACAGGGATGCACCACCATGCCTGGCTAATTGTGTATTTTTAGTAGAGATGGGGTTTCTCCATGTTGGTCAGGCTGGTCTCGAACTCTTGGCCTCCCAAAGTGCTGGGATGACAGGCGTGAGCCACCGCACCTGGCAATCCCAACATTTTCTACTTCAAAATGGTCTAAAGTTCTGTCTGGTCTGGTAGGTTTTCCCTGGACTTTTATCTCTTGTTTCCTCCATCTTCCCACTGCCTTTGGTGGCCCAGTTCACACTCATTACAAACTTTTCTCCCTAAATAGAACTTTTCCTCTGCTTCCCTCTCCTACCATGGTTTACCTGTTCAATTGATTATGTACTTTGAGCATTGACCAATAGATTCCTGTATGAAGTAAATTTATTCTAAAGGTTTAATAGCTAGGTATTTTATCAAGGGGCTTTGGTGCCTAAGAGACCAAGCTATGGTGGGGATTTGAGTCTTTAGACAAGCAGCCCAGGAAGAGATTGTTTTGAGAGCAGTTCGGCTTCTTGGTGCTCCTGAACGTCTTGTAGGTATATATGCTTCATGAGGCAAAATTGTGACTCTGGACTTACTAAAATACGTTCCGTAGTAAGAATTTTTTAAAAAATGCAGTTTTCTATGACTCAACTTTAGAGGTTTTCATTAAATATTAGAGCTGGAAAGGACCAATACTGGTCACACTCTAAAGAAGTTTTTTCATGAATTGATACATATCTAATTTGTTGATACCTCTTAAAGTGAGAGAAGGCAAAGAAAGCTCCTGAGATTGTGCTTGTCTTGATCAATACAAGCACAATGAGTTGCTGAGATGAATGAGTTTGGCAATTGGCTATAATCTGAGAATGTTCCGAACTTAGTAGATTGGGGATGTGTTTGTGTTCCCAGGTTAATTGCTTATTTAGCTGGCATTCATTTGGGGCTGCTAGTCCATTTGTTAATTCTGAAAGTTGTTGGACATTTGTTTAATAAAAACAAATATATTTGGAGAAATCCAGCATCCCAAGTAGCCACATTAGTAGGAATTAAGTAGGTACAAAGTAATGGTTTAAGAAATGATAGTCTTTTGTATGGCAAGGTAAAAGCAAAATGTCTTTTAGAAGGAAAATTTCAAATTGATTAATTTTTAAAGTCTGTTATCCTGTTTAATACTTGTGTATCTCTGAGAATATAAATGAGGTAAAGAGGTAATTAAGACATTTAATATTTGTATCACAACTGTGGAAGATATGAAATTGTTATTTTCCAATTGATCATTACGTAAGAGAGATTTGAGAACATTTTGATTAGAATCACTTAGACTTTTCTGTCCCTATATGAAGCGTACCAGATTGAGGCATTTTCCTAGTAATTACAGGAAGTCTTATTTAATTAAATAAAACTGTTTCTCATGGTGTTTCTGGCCTTCAGTAACTGAAGGTTTTTATTTTGATTATGTGTTTTTTGTTTTCAGAGACTGTATTTACCATCTAGAAGCATATCAAGCCCATCACAAAAGTGTGTACAAAACAACAGCTTAATTTAACTTGAGATTCAATATTGGCCCTTTTACCTAAAGCACCTGATTTTTGAATACCAGTTGTGACCATCTATTGACACATGCTAGGAATACATGCTAGTTTTTGTAACGAGAAGATAAATGAAAAGGCTCTTAGAATTATTAGAAAACAATATTTTCTTTTTGACTTTTTCCAGAGAAAAATCAAGACAAGACTTTGTTCTATTTCATCAAGTCCTTGACGCCTCCTCCCAGCTGGTCAGGTTCTTTTTATGTGGCATTTAAGCCTTGAGTTGTTGTGAGTCAACAAATGGACAACAGCAAATGTTCAGCCATCTTATTGGTGTTAAGCCTAGCAAATAGGCAAATTATATGAATACACCAAATGCATAAACAAGTTTTCATGAGCCAACGATTCCAAATGAGCCCAGCAGCTGCCAGTTATGTCCTTAAGAATAGAAGTGGCCCTACTCATCCTCTAATCTGTTATTGCCCCAAGTTGGGAAATGTCAGCTGTAAGATTTATAGATTTAGGGCTCTGGAATAACAAGTTGCCTCTTAGAACTTTTCAGCTCTAAAAGCTTCTTGTTAGCCAGCTAGACAGAGATATAGAAACATATTTATGCTTTCCATATATAATTCTTGAATCATTTACAACATCAGTGGTGGGCTTTAAAAATATATATATATATATATATATACACACACACTATAACATATAAATTACACACACACACATTATAACATAAATTACACACACACACACACACACACACACACGTCTCTCTCTATCTGTATCTCCCTAAGACATTGATACAAGTACTCATCAGTAAACCATGATAATTTTCAGAAGAGGCTTGCTTTGACTGGTAAACTCATATTGGTACCTGGAACACAAAACTCCTACAGCTACGCTTGTTTTGTAGTCTGAGCTTAATAAGCAATATCCTTAAGGTAATGAAAATCAGTTCCTCTTCTGCTCCCTAATAACATCAGTCCTTTTTGAATCTGTACGATTTTTCTCGTACTCTTCTCCCCCAAATTTCCCCCTTAAAATTGTGGCATTGGATATAATGGTTTTATGATTTGGAGGACTGTTAATTTCTAATTGAAATTGAATATCTATGGTTCACTATTCAGTGCTGAACTTGATATGAGAAACATTTCCTGGTAAATCAGTAAAACCAGCTTTATGTCTTCCCGCAAATAATCAAGTGGCAGGTAGAACGGACATCTGACCTAGTTGCTCCTTGGACTGCTTTTGGTCAAAAGAAATTGGTAAACCACTCAGTCTATAAATTTTTCTTTCTGTGATTCTGTAGTGTCAGGACAACATTGCCATGGGTACTTTACTTATACGGAGAAACAAAACCTAAATCTCAAACCACCATTTATAAAACCCACAAACTCTTGGGCTGTCATTTGGGTTACAGACTTGAAGCTCCCTTTCTGGTTGCGTTCTCTGGAGTGGGTGAATGCCTGTCTGATGGGGATGCATTTTTAAAGGCAAGACAGATTTAAGGGTATAATTTAGTGACATTTTGCTGACTGCATTTCTCTCTATATACATGTCTCTTCATATATTTCACAATTTTACCAATATTCAGTTACCTCTTAGCCTACTTGAAGCAGGCCCCACAATTTTGGGACTGTTTCTTATATACATAATGACTCAATAAAGGTGTCTCATTATGACATTAGTCATTCTGTTAACTTAAGTGCTATTTTTTGACTGTATGTATAAATCAGTGTATATTTAACAAGTGAGCTGACCAAATGCCATTAAATGAGTTGTCCTTATTTTGGTTTTTTTCCTGCTCCAATTTTAAGTTTTCAAAGAAATCCAGCATGTAACTACCACTTTTAAGTCTCCACTTTTTAATTTTGAATACCAAATATGGCAGAGTTATTCAGGTGGCCAAGTAGACTTTTTCTGACCTCGAATGTGGTTTACTGGTATTACACTTAAAAAAAAAAAGACAAAAAGTAGATGTCAGTATTTGCTGTTTTAGGATAGCATAAGCCTTTGAGATTTCCCAAAGATCATTTTAACAGTCTGATATGCAGCTGTTTGACATCTACGTTTTTAGCTAAAAGGCGTCATCCCCATATTCGTATTTAAGTGGCCCTGGAACATAATGCGGAGATAGGTCACTGTGGGTTAATCTTTGGACACTTCATATCTGACAGGCACCAGCATCTGTGGTTTATTTTGTGGTGTTCCTTAGGTCTAGAAATAAAATTCTTTTAAACCTGATGATAGTCAGGGGAATGTTTACTAAGATAGTTTTCCTTCCATTTGCACAGTTTTAAAGCTGGAGCTAAAATATAACACATGGGATTAAAAAAAATAAAATCTGTCATCCATAAAGTAATTCATGGCACTGGTAAGGTTGAAGTAACCTCAGGGACTCATGTTCTGTGGTGGAGTGTACATCAAGGTGTATTCCTTTTATTAGGAACGTATTATATCCATATACTTTAATATGGATGGCAGATATTAGCAGAGGCTTACTGGGGAAAAAGAATAATTTTTGTGTGTGCATGTACATTTAGGCTAAGGCATTATAAGTTGTAGATTTCCACAGCACAACCCAAAATTCAAAGGAGATGCCTTTTAAAGAATATAGTGGTGATGGAGTCTGGGTAAGAAAATCCTGTGTTGAAAGTTGAGCAGACCACAATCATTTATATGCAGTCAAAGAGCTTTTGGTCCTGCAATGTAGGGCATATAATCTTATTACAAAGCCCTTTAAAATCAATAAAAACATCCCTAAAAGTGTGGTAGCATTGAGTTCATTCTTTTTTTAAAAAAAATCTATTTTCAATTACATTATTCCATTTAAATGTATCACAATGGCTTTTATTTCAAAGATACTTCTAGCCTATGTATATATTCACAGCTGTCAGAAATACGTGTCATTCTTTGTCTTACAAATCCCTGTTCTCAGCCATTTCAGAGCCTAATCCTTGAGGCGGCCATTTTGCTGAAAGGCAGTTAAAGAAACAGTCTGTCAGCCTGGTCTGATTCTTGCTGAAAAAGCGTCATTTCTGTACCCAATGTGAGCTTTAGTTCCAGATTTTTGAATGATGTAAAAATTAAGGTCAGGGAATCAAATATAAAAAATACATCTTGCAGGCAGAGCCCTCATTAGCATCCAGTCATCAATCTCCCAAATCTAGGAGCTGGGAGACCATTGTACTGTTATCCTGCTGATATTGAGTTGATAGCAAGTTTAATGGAACAGGCTGGCAGTTGTGAAGGGCAGCTGATAATGATGGTGCAAGCTCAACGAAAAAGTTGGGTAAAATCTGCAGGAGGTGTTTTCTCTCATTTGGCCTTGTTCTGTTGGCTGTTGGCATTTGCTTGGCAAGAGGGAGGTGTTCTTATCTCCCCAGCTAGAGAAATTTTAAATGTGCTTAAAAATACCGAGTGTGCACTTCTGTTACTGCCTCTTCCTAACAAGACCAGTGGAAGCAGGGCAGTTGTGTATTGAGTAGGAAAATCCACTCAAACTGATAACATTCAGGTAAACCTGAAAACAGTTTGCATTTTCTGGTAATTAAATTAAAAGAAGGCGGTTGACTATCAAAAGCCCTTTTTCCTCATGTAGTAAATGAGCACATAATCTTAAAAAATAAGGTAACCTCAAATATTTTTGTCTTCAGGATTAATGGTATGTTTTGATTTTTAAACACTTCTGGGTAAAGTTTGATGAGTGCTTTTATATAATTAGGTAGCATCTTAAAACATATGATTGGTTATGTTTCTGCCTTGCAGAGTTTATGAGACGAAAGTTGGCCAAACAACAGGGCTAATTTTACTAATTAAAGTCGTGCTGCCCAAGTGGGTTAACATGATATAGATGTTTGGTTTTAATAGAGCTTGGAAAGGGTACGGAGTCCTAAAATGTTCTGTTTGGAAAGCTTTGGTCTATAAAATTTGCCTTTAATACGGCTGACGACCCTTAATTAGAATGATAAACTGTACTTGCTGGTGTGATGTCTATTTGAGAAGAAGCAATACCGGTGTGCCTAAGTGTCATTGTTTTTAGTGTATTAAGATGCCTTTTTTTCTGGGCATGGCATTTCTGAGTACCTGTCTTCTCTGCTCTGTTTCAGGTGTGAATCATGGCAATACAGTGAAAGACAGTGATTTACTGCTTTTGAGGGCGTGCATGTATATGATTAACGGATGGAAGTGCAGGACTCCAAGATTTACTTCCTTCCCTTTCCAGCAGAATTACCTGAGACGAGTGAGTAATGGGATAATTTGTAATACCACAGGCCCCTTTTCAAGGGACCAGTAATCAAAACAGGAAGATGAAACTGAGAAGATTTCAACTGGAAGAATACAACTTTTGATAATTTCTGGATATACCTCTTAATTGCAAGCAGGAGAGTCTTCAGAGTTTTCCTGTGGTGGTGGTTGTTGTTGTTGTTGTTGTTGTTGTTTGAGATGGAATTTTGCTCTTATTACCTGGGCTGGAGTGCAGTGGCATGATCTTGGCTCACTGCAACCTCCGCCGCCCCACCCCCCGGGTTCAACCAATTCTCCTGCCTCAGCCTCCTGAGTAGCTGGGATTATAGGCGCCCGCCACCATACCCGGCTAATTTTTGTATTTTTACTAGAGATGGGGTTTTACCATGTTGGCCTGGCTGGTCTCGGACTCCTGACTTCAGATGATCCACCCGCCTCAGCCTCCCGAAGTGCTGGGATTACAGGCATGAGACGCCACGCCTGGCAAACATGAGCCACCACACCCGGTGGAGATTTTCATTAAAAACGTTAGTATGTCAATCCTGGTTTCATCATGCAGACACCCTGCTAAATTTTATACATCTTTCTTCCATGCTTTCTGCTCTTGATATTCTTATATCAAGACATCAGAGAAACTTCGTGGCTTATTTGTAGAACTCAGTTTCTTTTTACAAGGTTAAAGAATTATCAAGAATTGGGAGTTGGCTGGGGGCAGTGGCTCATGCCTGTAATCCCAGCGTTTTGGATGGCCAAGGCGGGTGGATCAGGAGGTCAAGAGATCGAGACCATCCTGGCCAACATGGTGAAACCCTGTCTTTGCCAAAAAGGCAAAAATTAGCTGGGCGTGGTGGCGCACACTTGTAGTACCAGCTACTCGGAAGGCTGAAGCAGGAGAATCACTTGAACCCAGGAGGCAGAGGTTGCAGTGAGCTGAGATCGCACCACCGCACTCCAGCCTGGGTGACAGAGCAAGACTCTGTCTCAAAAAAAAAAAAAAAAAAAAGAATTAGGAGTGTTGGCTGGGTGCGGTGGTGACTCACACCTGTAATCCCAGCACTCTGGGATGCTGAGGCAGGTGGATCACTTGAGCCCAGGAGTTTGAGACCAGCCTGCGCAGCATAGCGAGACCTTGTCTCTGCAAATAATACAAAAATTAGTTGGATGTGGTGACGCATGCCTGTGATTCCAGCTTCTCTGTAGGGTGAGGTGGGAGGTGGGAGGATCACTTGAGCTTGGGAGGTTGAGGCTGCAGTGAGCCGAGATTGCACTCCAGTCTGGGTGACAAAGTGGGACACTCTCAAAAAAAAAAAGAAGTGTAATGATAAATACAGCAATATTTTTAGGGTGGGGTGGAGTGTACACAAAACGACTAGCCTGTGTTCATACTTAAAAAAAGTAACAAAGAACAAGAATTTCATACTTCATAAAAGTAAAAAAAGAACAAGAATCTGAAGGCTGTATCTGACATTTAGTGTATCATCATCACTTTGGAATTGCATGCTGTTCAGAGCTTTCCTGTTGCGCCTAATGTGATGGGGTCTTCTGACTTGTCATTGTTGATAACATTAGATTCATGAAAACTGAGTAGCACCCATGATATTTTTATGTTACAAATATTAATTTCAGCTTTGACTTTGGTGGTGGCAGTAGACTTCTCATATTAGAGATTACAATAAAATGTTAATAGTTCCAAGCTCTTCCTCCTCTCCCATCATGTCAGGTGACTAAAACATTCCCACAAATAACTGATACCTTTTTAATGGGACCTTTGGGTTCATAAGAGGTAAATATTGATGACCTTGACATTTTTTCATATGTGTACAGTTCAGGAGGCACAATGTCTCCAGATAACTAAAAGCAGGTGAACAAGTAGGTAGACAGCCATGGGCTCCCACTGATCCCCGTAATTCACAGGGGCCCTGGCCTTGCTTCTGGAGCAAAAGCATAGGCAAAGGAATCTATAAGTTTAGGTCCTGTAGGTATTTCTGTAGGCAAATCTCACTGGACTGGGTGTGTTTTAGTCTGGCATTTTAATAAGATGTTTTCTAAGGCAAATATATGAGTC
Source organism: Homo sapiens (assembly GCF_000001405.40). NCBI lineage: Eukaryota > Metazoa > Chordata > Mammalia > Primates > Hominidae > Homo > Homo sapiens. Next base: position 21,911,674 of record NC_000006.12, read on the forward strand.
TCCTCCCTTACCCCTGTGAAACTAAGGACTCTAGTACTAACTACCAGGGTAATATTGTATAGTAGCTAAGTGCTTGGGAGCCGAATTCCCAGGTTTAAATCCCAGTTCTGTCACCACTAGCAATGTGACCTTAGGTAAATTATTTAACCTCTTTCAGCTTTAATTTCCTCAGCTAGAAGATGAGGATAATAATAATACTTAGGTTTTCTTTTCTTTTTTAAATAATTAAATGAGAGCTATCCAATTGTGATTAGCATGTTAGTAAAGATTTCTGAAATATTATTCATTAACCAGCTTTCAGGTATCCTGTGCTCACAGAGACTAACCTACAAAGCTGATGAGGTCTACAGCTTAAGAAAATTTTCTATTTGGAGTATACACTCAGTTACATGAAAATTGCGTATGGAAAAAGATGAGAATGTAGCACTGATTTTGCAAAACGTTTTAGAAAGTTTTATTTCGCTGCTTGTCTTAAAAGTAATTTTTCTGGTTTTATGTAATGTGTGTATTAGAAATGGGAATATTGGAATACTTACTTCATTGTATTGTCAAGCATTATTGGTAGCCCTAATTTATATATCCATTGTGCTGCAGTTTCAGTTGCAGAACTGCCATCTGCAGGGATTATTATAGCACTTGAGGGGATGGAATTACTGCACTCTGTTTTGGATACTTTTTTCACTAAGAAGTATGGGCACCATGAGATGGTACTTACCCATCTGTCTGTTGAAGCATTTGTATGTATATTACCTGAGCACTTAGGCACACCACCGAGGGGGGATTTCAAATGGAAGGGAAAAAGGAAAAATTGAAAATAAAATAACACGATGGAAATAACAGAAGCCTCTTTGCAAAGAATACCTAAACTATTCTTAAAAGCAGACTTAACAGCCAGTACAAAACCATTCACTATTGTCTTTAAGAGACGAAGCTCAATCCACAAAGTTGAAAGTGAAGTGTGAATCTGGAAGTTTTCCAGGAAAGTCAAGCATTACAGACTTCTAGGGCTCAAATTCAAGGGAGAAAAAAAAGTCCATTTTACAAAGTAACTTCTTACATTGATTGTGAGCTGTCAATGTTTGATGGGTAGATCCTGAAACATTAACTGATTAAATTCTTCAATGCTATGCGGTCATATTGGTGGCCTCCGCTGTTCTGAGCTTCTAAATTTGTGTATCGACACATGGGAATTCACTAAATGTGCAGCAGAGAGCAGAGTGGAACATTGTGGCATCAGCTTGAAATTTCCTAAAGAGAACCAGTGGAATGATGTTGAAATCAATTGAAATATTATTTATTGATTGCCTATGTTTTATAGCACCTAATAAATTGTCCAATCCCTTAAAAACACTCCATCTGCCTAATTCTCCATTTCCAGTTGCAGCAGATACAAGGATACAAAGATACTCTGTACTGGTAGAGAGGGATGATTTCAGGTTTTCTTCACAGCACCGGGCTCCCTGACAGCTATTCTTCGTGCTTGTGCACACTCACAGTTTTCAATTTCAGTTGGGACAAGAGAAGTGTTTTTCTCCCATATTCAGTTGTCTTGGTATTTTTTACCCTGACGGCCTCCCCTACCCTCCAACACATGTGCTTCCTCAGAGCTTCTTCATCCATATGCTAAGAGTGGGGTGTGGCTTCTCAGCATTTTGTGTTTCACTGCACACCTGGAAACCTATGGGCTAATGACCCTGTGAGAATTTGGGTGGTAAGGAGGCTGCAGAGATCAGCTTCCTTTTATAGATGTAGAAACTGAGGCCTGGAGAGGTGAAGAAATTCATCTGAGATCATTCAGCCAACAAATATCAGGACAGCACCTCTAACGTCAGTGCAATTTCAGCTTTTCCACTAAGGTATACTGGGAGGAGTGCAGTGGTATGTACCGGGCTGAGTCCTGGTTAAGGGGTTATAGTGGACTGACCAAGGAGTGAAAGAAAAAGAATATAGTGGCCGGGTGCAATGGTTCATGCCTGTAATCCTTGCATTTTGGGAGGCTGAGGTGGACGGATCACCTGAGGTCAAGAGTTTGAGACCAGCCTGGCTGACATGGCAAAACCCTGTCTCTACTAAGAATACAAAAATTAGTCGAGTGTGGTGGCACATGCCTGTAACCCCAGCTACGTGGGAGGCTGAGGCAGGAGAATCGCTTGAACCTGGGAGGCAGAGACTGGTGAGCCGAGATCGAGCCACTGCACTCCAGCCTGGGCAACAGAGTGACTCTGTCTCAATTAAAAAAAAAAAAAAAAAAAAAAAAAGAACACTGAATCAGGGTTTGGGTCAGGGTTTGTTTGAGGTTGTATTAGAAGCATATCTTTCGGTCAGGAAGCATGAATATTCTCTCTCTGATATAAGCGAAAAGGAAGAGATTAAAGGCATGACGAAGATCAGGTCTTTTTAAATAGGTGTTTACTTTCTATTGAAACCACGGAACAATGAATATTTATTCATCATCAGGTAATTTGGGGTAATGGAGTATAGACAATTTCTGGTTTTACCTTCTTGCCTCTTTGGGTCCGTGCTGCCTTTTGTTTTGCTTAAAATGGGCTAAAAGAGAAAGCAACTGAAACACTTTCCAGATCTGATAACTTCCGAGATCTCAAGTGAAACCTCTGGCTCGCGTCCAAGGGTGAGGTCACACAGTCTGATATTAGTTGGATTTATGTTGGTGTGTCCACCAAAATACAGAGCAGCACACTGCCATAATTCTTGACAGCCATTTATTAGGTAGGTAGGAATGGCACTTGGGTCAGTTGTATGCTGTGTATTGCCACCCAGAAGCATAGCCGATCCATGGCCATAGGCATTTCTTTTCTTTTTCAGTTGATAGTTTTAAGTTCATGTGGAAAACGTGCCTTTGGTTTTACCTGGTTTTATGCCTTTGGCCTTATCTTTGCTCACTCATACTCTTGAATTCAGATCTGTCTGGACACGTCTGGAGGTCTGGTGTTTTGGTCTCCAACAGTTTGTTTTCATGATTGTCTGAAGTACCTCTGGGAAAGTCCTCATTCTATAGGAAGACAGTTGAATTGGATAAGAAATATCTAAAGCACAAATAGACATTGCTTATGTCTGTCAACAGATGAGAACCTGAAAAAGCCAATTTTTCAAGATGGATCCCAAGTGGCTAAGTGGGCTTAGATTTAACATAGAGTCAAGCAGCCATTTGCTGACTTGAGGCCCCACACATACTCTGAGTTCCCCCAAACCCTGGAAACCCCCACATCTTTTTAACTTTGGGACGTTGAGAACTCACCTGAACCAACCAATCAAAGCTCAGCTGTATTGACCAATCAGGGCTCAGCTGTATCAACCAATCAACAGAACTCACTTGTGTCAATCAATAGGAACTAAACAAGTTTCAGATCTTTGAATTAACAGACTCGATTGGAAACTTGGGTGGGAACATTTGCTGTAAAATCCAAACCCTCTTGTTGTTCTCTGGAATGCACCTTCCTTTTACACCAAAGCGTATTTCTCCAGTTTGCAGACTGTTCACTGAAATAAAGTCTCTTTTCTCCAAATTCCTTTTCAGAGAACTTTTGTTCACATCTTATACAAAACAGTAAGTAGCTGTTAAGTATATAGATATGGATAGTGACATTTATTAGATGCTTATTGTATGCTGTGTACCAGACATTTATTAGATGCTTATTGTATGCTATGTACCATTTTAACTGCTTTACAGATCTTCGCAGCAACGCTTTGAAGCTCGTGCTCTTATGATTTCATTTTACAAACAAGAAACTGAGAAACAGAAAAGTGAATAGGAGCTTGTACAGTCTCAAAGAGCTTACAGTGGAGTTAGAAAGTTAATACTCAACTCATTCATTCAACAAGCTGAATGCCTACTAGCAATTTGAGTTTATGAAAGTTTATGTACCTCTTTAAGGCTTGCCCAAAGGAGCTCACAATCGAATAGAGGGATGTTTATGTAAACCAAAGTTGAAAAATGTGTTAATAGACAGAAAGAGGATTCCAAGGGAAGCATGCTGCCAATCACTTGGATTACTTTCCAGTCGAACAGAATCATGTTGGAAACCTAGGGAGAATGGGCTGTGTTAAAAGTGAAAGCAAAATCTCAAGATGACTGATTTACCAAAATCTGTGTGCCACATTGAGTATGTTAAGTGGCATCAGTAACTACATCAGGGACAGGGTTGGCAGTAGAAGAGAAAGTGGCTTGTGCAGCCTTGGGAAGTGACATCACTGGGAGCTCAGCAGCTAAATCAGTATCTTGGCCATTAGCACTTTTGACACTGGTTCTCACTGGCAGATACCACTGGATGGGACCGAGCAGGAGAGGAGGAAAGTGGCAGATACTATGTGATGGCTGAGAAGCAGTGTTGATGAGCTTATTAGTCATCTCCTGGCAAGTCCATGACATTTGCTTATGTTGATGGGGGGTGTGTGGGATGGGAGGAAGAGAACTGACAATTAAGGAGGCAGAAAATTCCTAGTAACATAATCTTGCACTTCAGTTTTGTATGTGTTTTGGGACATAAATTCCAGACAGTGTGAGTTAGCAGATGAGTGTTCTAGGCATATTCCTGTGCCTCAGCTCCTCTGTAGAATGGTGCTGGCAATACAGTTTGCCTCATTGGGCTCTTGTAAGCTTTAAATAGGTTATTATACATAAAGAGCTAATAGTGATGCCTGTAGCCGTTGTCTAAGTGCTAGCTCTGATGATGGTGACAAAGAAGTAATAGCAATCAGTGGTTTAGATTAAACCATTTTAGGCATAAACTGTTCTGCTAGAATCCAAGGGGAGATTTTTTCCCATCAAGGAGACATAGCTTGTTGGGAAGATAAGACATACCCAATTGCAGAAGTAATTAATTAATTCTTTTTTTTTTTTTTTTTTTTTTTTTTGCGATGGAGTTTCGCTCTTGTTGCCCAGGCTGGAGTGCAATAGCATGATCTCGGCTCACCACAACCTCTGCCTCCTGAGTTCAAGTGATTCTCCTGCCTCAGCCTCCCGAGTAGCTGAGATTACAAGCATGTGCCACTACACCTGGCTAATTTTGTATTTTTAGTAGAGACGGGTTTTCTCCATTTTGGTCAGGGTTGTCTTGAACTCCCAACCTCAGGTGATCCACCTGCCTCAGCCTCCCAAAGTGCTGGGATTACAGGTGTGAGCCACTGCGCTGGCCGAATAATTAATTCTTAACATCTAATTTCCTACCTGTGCACACTTATCCAGCCCAGGATTACCTTTTAGTACCTCTTCTTATGCATCCTCATTCTCTCTAGCCATGCCAGATGACCCCAGAGACCTAGATTAGGTTCTCTTATGTGTTCATGCATTCACATAAGCCATTGTAATCAGTCTAGAGTTCCTTTCTCCTTTGATCTGCCTGTTGAAATGGACATCCTTTCTGCAAAATCCTTCATATTACCCGCCCTAGACCCTCAGTTAATTCAGCTGTCACTGCATTGCCATGGTGCCCTGAACATGCCTTTTGGAAAATTGTTTTACCTGCGTATTTCTCTACTAGATTATGAACTCCCTGGGAGAAATTTATATATATTTTCATATTTCAGATTCGATGTAGTTGCCTTATGGAATAAATGAGTGAATATTTTTCTAACTCCATGGTAAACTGTTTTGAGACTGGATCTGTTAATTTTTCTGAGGCTGTTTTTTTTTTTTTTTGGCCTATAAAATGGGTTATTTATAAGCAGGAAGTACAGTGGTTAGAACAAAATGATAACTCACTGAATGTTGGTTATTTCTATGAACATAACTTTCAAATATTTGTATTCAGTCCAAACATTGTTTGGATTACATTAAGGTAACAAAAATGGCTACTTTTTATGTTCTGTTCTTCCTGAACTCTTAACTTCCCTGATTTATGAAAGGACTCTTCCTCCACTCCTCTCAGACATGCTTCCCTGGGGCCATTTACCTCCCACTAAAAATCAAATGAAGCTAATCTCCCTGGCTTGATATTGATTCCATCTAGTCCAGAGAGAATATGCTAATCACCTTTGCTAAGTGCTTTCTGGCTAAAGGTGTAAAAGCCTGATTCCATTTGAGGGGAAAAAATTGAAATTTCTGTCTTAAAATTTGTGATTATGGAATTTGCATTTTGAAAGGCGATAGTAGCTCAAATTTAACGAGCCATTTGTAGTGGATTGAGCATAAATTTTCATGGCTCGTTTGGATAAAAACTACACCAAGGCATAGATTTCTATGACTATAGTATTTAATTTTGTTAAATTCAATTTAATGCCTACAAAAATAGTGGAAATCCCTTTTTTCTCCTCTATCAGTGGCATGTTTTTTGTACATGTTTAAAGCTACTCATTTTCAAAAAGCAAAGACCATTTTAAAGACTGCTACTTAAGGCTGTCAGGCTGCCTCAGTTTCTTCGTCAATGAGTCTAACCTAGGCCACCTGCATACTTCCCTGGAGTGTTTAGATGAATGGCTCTGAGCTTGTAAAGTACTTTGAATTTCCTGGATGAAAGGGTCCCTGTAAGTACAGGTCTTATGAAGGTATTATAGCTGGGCTTTTAAAACTGCCGCACAGCCTGTTTTGCAAGAACACTAATGCACTTCTGGGTTTAGAGTTGTAAAAAGATGTGTGTTCAGAAGCCTCAGGCTTCGTCTTGTGCGGTTCCTGAGGCATGTGCCGCTGCTTGTTTACTTCTAGCATAGATTGTCTCCACACTACAGGGATGTACAGGTGTGCACTTGCACAGCGACCATCTGGGCTTAGGATCACCTAGGATCACATTTGGCTGCCGTGGTATTGAGGAGAAAACACAGGTTGCAAGGAGAGAGGACGGGCTGTTCCTGGCCCCATGGCCTCAACTCTTGGGATCCTCCAGGATTTCTGTAATCACGGTGGGGAAGCACGCACAAAAGTGCTCTGAAGTGGTTGAAGTGAGGGAGGGGTTCGCCCTAGGTACCGATGCTTGGATTATGAAGAACTGGGTTTGGGTTCTAGCTCTTCCAGCTCCTAGCCCTGTGCCCTCAGGCAGGTCAGCTGCCCTGAGCCTCAGTTTCTCTGATGGGCAGTCTTGCCCCTAACATTTGTGGTGCCCGGGGCTAGAATGTGAATGCAGGACCACATACTCTGTATGTAAATATTTAAAAGTTACAAATCAAACAAAAAAGTGTCAAAACATGTTTGGAAATTTTTCTGTTCTGACAAATACACCTTTATAACCATCTTGAAGGGCAGGTTTGAATTTTGAGTTTTCAGATTCTTAGCCAACTTCCATGCCTGACCAGGTAGTGTGGGTGGGAGCAGGAATCTAGTCGTCATGCTTGTGGACAGCGTGGTCTGTATGTCTGCTGGACCCACCCTTCACCCTGTGGGCCTCGGGATTCTATATTGAGGATTGTCTATCTTGGGGGAGTGTGTGGAGGGAACATCTGCACAGGCCTTATAAATGAGCATGGGCTGTTGGGATAAGGAACTCTGGGGCCCGAGCACCTGGCACATGATCCAGAACAGGATTTTTGGGTTCCGATGGGCAGGTGACTTTAGTCCTCACTCTGTGGGCAGGGGCATTACAGCATAGGGGTCCCTTTTGTCAGGGATTTATGATGGCATCACACGCAGGATTCAGAGAGCATTAATTGAAAAATACATATGATTGGCTGGGCGTGGAGGCTTATGCCTGTAATCCCAGCACTTTGGGAGGCTGAGGTGGGTGGATCACCTGAGGTCGGGAGTTCGAGACCAGTCTGACCAACATGGAGAAACCCTTTCTCTACTAAAAATACAAAATTAGCCGGGCGTGGTGGCACATGCCTGTAATCCCAGCTACTAGGGAGGCTGAGGCAGGAGAATTGCTTGAACCTGGGAGGCGGAGGTTGCAGCGAGCCGAGATTGTGCCACTGCACTCCAGCCTGGACAATAAGAGCGAAACTCCATCTCAAAAAAAAAAAAATAAAAAAATACATATGATTGTGCTTTTTTTTTTTTTTTTTTTTCCTGAGACTGAATCTTGCTCTGTCACCCAGGCTGGAGTGCAGTGGCACGGTCTCGGCTCACTGCAACCTCTGCCTCTTGGGTTGAAGTGATTCTCCTGTCTCAGCCTCCCAAGTAGCTGGGATTACAGATGTGTGCCACCACACCCGGCTAATTTTTGTATTTTTTGGTAGAGATGGGGTTTTACCATGTTGGTCAGGCTGTTCTCAAACTCCTGACCTCGTGATCCGCCTGCCTCGGCCTCCCAAAGTGCTGGTATTACAGGCGTGAGCCACCACGCTGGGCCTGATTGTGCTTTTGTAGTGTTACTGTCACATATATGAAAATAAGTTCTTTCTATCAGAAAGGCTTTATCCTTAACATCAGCCTTAATCACATCAACATTTAGCAGTGCTTGGATTGAGTTATTTTCTGCTGTATAGGATGATCCATCTCTAGGACCGAGCACAGAACTCTGTTTTCACTTAGCTTTTTTGTTTGTTTGTTTGAGATGGAATCTCACTCTGTCACCCAGGCTGGAGTGCAGTGGCACAATCTCAGCTAACTGCAACCTCTGCCTTCCAGGTTCAAACAATTCTCATGCCTCAGCCTCCCAAGTAGCTGAGATTACAGGCATGTGCGACCAGGCCTGGTTAATTTTTTGTATTTTTAGTAGAGACGGGGTTTTGCTATGTTGGCCAGGCTGGTCTCGAACTCCTGGCCTCAAGTGATTCGGCTGCCTCGGCCTCCAAAGTGCTGGGATTACAGTGTTCTCACTTAGCATTTTATTCATTCATTCAATAAGATAAATGCAATAAGTATTTATTGACTATTCCTTTTTTTCCTAAGCATTATTGTAGGTAATAGCAGTAAACAAATAGATACAACTTCCTGTCTTCGTGGAACTAACACTTTAGTAGGAGGAAACAGAAATAAAAAGGATAAATATAAAAATGTGTAGTTTCCTTGAAGATGGCGTCCTCTCTGTTCACTCATTTGCTCCACAAATATATATTATATATCCCTGCCAAGGACTAGGCACTCTGCCTTACTCAGAGGTAAAGATATGGAAAGAGAAATGATCACAAAACTAGAGTGTGGCATTACTCAGGGTTTGTGTGAAGTACTGTTAACTGCAGGAAATCCTTATGCTCTTTGGAATTAATGTTCTAGAATTTTGTCTTTTCCACTTCAATCAAATGATTATTCAGGCCAGGCACGGTGGCTCACGCCTGTAATCCCAGCACTTTGGGAGGCCGAGGCGGGCGGATCATGAGGTCAGGAGATCAAGACCATCCTGGCCAACACGGTGAAACCCCGTCTCTACTAAAAATACAAAAATTATATTTTTGTATTACAGGCGTGGTGGTACATGCCTGTAATCCCAGCTACTCAGTAGGCTAAGACAGGAGAATTGCTTGAACCAGGGAGTCGGAGGTTGCAGTGAACCGAGATCACGCCACAGCACTCCAGCCTGGGCAACAGAGCGAGACTCTGTCTCAAAAAAAAAAAAAAAATGCTTATTCAGTCTCTGCTCTATTTAAGGCATTGTCCTAAGCTTTATGAGGGGTCGAACAAGAATTCATAATTCACAGGAGGTGGTACAGTCATGAGTCACTTAACGACAGGGATATGTTCTGAGAAATGTACCACTGGATAATTTCTTCATTGTGCAAACATCATCGAGTGTGCTTACACAAACCTAGATGGGGTAGCTTACTACACACCTAAGCTAGATGGTACAACCTATTGCTCTTGGGCTACAAACCTTATAGCATGTTACTGTACAAAATATTGTAGGCAATTATGACATAATGCTAGATATGTATGTATCTGAACATATCTAGACATAGAAAAGTTACAGTAAAAATATAAAGGATAAAAAGTAGGGCCAGGCACAGTGGCTCACACCTGGAATCCTGGCACTTTGAGAGGCTGAAGCGGGCAGATCACGAGGTCAGGAGTTCGAGACCAGCCTGGCTAATATGATGAAACCCCCGTCTCTACTGAAAATACAAAAAATTAGCTGGGCATGGTGGCGGGTGCCTGTAGTCCCAGCTACTTGGGAGGCTGAGGCAGGAGAATGGCGTGAACCCGGGAAGCGGAGCTTGCAGTGAGCCGACAAGACGCCACTGCACTCCAGCCTGGGCGACAGAGCAAGACTCCGTCTCAAAAAACAACAACAACAACAAAAAAAAACACAAACACATTGTACAGCTATACAACATTTTCTTTCCTTATATCTGCAAGATTTTTTCCATTTCTAATTTTTTTTTGTAACTTTCTAAACTTTTTTGTTGTTGTTAAAAACTGAGACACAAACACATATGTTACCTTAGGTTTACACAGGTCAGGATCATCAAGACGTCATTGGGCAATAGGAATTTTCAGCTCCATTATAATCTTAAGGGAACACAGACATATGCAGTCCGCGGGCTGAAACGTTGATTGTAAATACAGAACCTTTAGAGTGGTTCTTGGCATATTGTAAGCATTTGAATGTTAACTGTTCTTACTACTTATCTGCCTGTGTCCCTGTCAATGAAGTGAACCCTGGTCCTCTCCTTTCCCCTCTGCTCTGTCTTCTTCAGTGGGGTAGGGAGAAATCCTGCCTGCACCAAGTCACACAGTGGGTGTGTCCTGAAAGAATTCTTTTCATCATCTTGGAATGCTGTCCTTGGGATTCAGCTGACTTCCCTCAATCGGGACTCATACATCAAGAGGTCAGGAGTATAATTATCTCAGCTACTGTGAAGCCACAGAAAAGCACTTGCTGAGTCTGGATGTAAATTTATTGTGAAATTTAACAAAGAAAAAGTCACCTCCTTCTTTCCCTTTCTTCTCTTCAACTCAAATTGCATTTTAAAAGGTCTTCGTTTAGGATAAATAGATGTCATTTATCTACCATTAAAGGGCCTATCCTTCTTGGTTTGGGACATGTAAATACCTTCCTGAAGCACATGAGATGCCTTGGCTATTTACACCCTTTTCTGGGGGCAAGCATGCTTTCGTTCTTTTCTTTGACAATTAAAAATAAAATAAAACAGCTAGAAAGAAAAGTATAAGAAATTGTGGTGAGCCATAATTTTGATTATCAGGAATTTCTCACTCAGTTGATAAAGGGGTCAACCAATCTTCACTGTGTGTTTATCATAATTTATTACCCATGATGGTTTATCCCTCTAAATATGGTTCATCTGTGATATTTACAATAATTTTATGCAGATGTAGGTTACTTTTTGCATATAAACTACAAAAGATGGTGAACTTTCTCTTTTCAAGAAGAAATTCAGGAGGTAGTTTTAGGGGACTTAGTAGAGAGGCTGGTAAACCCTATTTTATGATTTTTAAAAAATAAAAATTTGAATGTAGTTTTAAAAAATATGTTTAAAGCAGAATATTTTGGTTCTGTTTCTAACTAGCTGTATGATCCTGGGCAAGTTAATTAACACATTTGGTTCTTTTTTGTAAAAGAAGTGTGCTAGTTTTCCAATATCTAGGATTTCTTCCAATGATAAAGTTCAGTGATTATATAAAATAAAAAGACTAATCAATTGAAGCTACACAGTGTTTTTAACCTTGTGTATGTATAATCATCATACATTGAAAGCCTTTTACATTGAAAGCCATAATTGAAAGCCTTTTAAAAAAAGTTATTTAAAAAAATTCATGTGCTTGAGTTCTGTCTACTAACATTGTGATTTAGTTTGTCTAGGGCTTGGCCTTGGGAAGTGTTTTTTTTTTTTTTTTTTTTTTGAGATGGAGTCTCTCTCTGTGACCCAGGCTGGAGTGCAGTGGCACGATCTGGGCTCACTGCAACCTCCGCCTTGCAGGTTCAAGCGATTCTCCTGCCTCAGCCTCCCGAGTAGCTGGGACTACAGGTGCCCGCCACCACGCCTGGCTAATTGTTGTATTTTTGGTAGAGACAGGGTTTCACCATATTGGCCAGGCTGGCCTTGAACTCATGACCTAGTGATCTGCCTGCCTTGGCCTCCTGAAGTGCTGGGATTACAGGTGTGAGCCACTGTGCCTGGCTGGGAAGTGTGTTTTTTAATCAAAGTTCCTCAGAGACTCTTCTGATGTACAGTAAGAATTGAGAGTGACTAATTTGCTATCAGTGATTCTTAAATGGAGAGAACATGAGTCCCAGAGAATTTAGGAAACCTCTGGGATTTTTCCAGAGTAAACTGTGTATTTGCACAAATTTTGAAACTGTAACTTAAAGATGTGCATGCCCTCCTATAATTAATAAATCTTGGGTTAAGAGTCTCTGATCCAGGAATCCCTTCCAGGATTCTGTTTTTATGAACTTCTACTAATCAAATTTATTATGTCAAGTAGGATAGGATTATAATGACCACTATGGCCACTGATGTGTCTGGTAGAAAATTCCATTGAGAGCCAGAGACACAGACATTTATGTTGAAACTAGGAAATAATGGAAATAGGGGATTTTTGTGTTTTTTTTTTGGCTTTGGCCTTGTTTACTGAGATTTGACCTTTCCGATAGGTTTCTTGACATCTTTGGAATGCAAAATTGGGGATACTAATATTTGCCACCAGGTAATATTTATTTAATGATGTGAGAACCCAGGGTGTTAGTTGACTGTAACTGTGATTATTAACAGGAAAATGCGATCAGAAATAATGGCACCTTTGTTATCACTGTGATTTTTTTTTTCCAATGGCACTGAAGGAAAAGTGATATTTGTTATCAAATCAGGCAGGGAATTTACAAATGATAACGAGTTAGAGAGGCTGCATTCTTTCTAGTATCTCACTCTACTTGTCACAAGTATCTTTCTCTTATGGAAAGATAAAAACACTTGATTTGGGCCATAAATTCACTCTGTCTTCTATCACCAGGGCCCTAGGAATCCTTGAACAATCTTGACCTCTTCCTATTCTTCTTTGATTGAAAGGATGCTTATTATGTGGTGATAGCTTTAGGAGGGCAAAGGAAAAACAGCAAATATATCAGTACAATTTCCTAAGAAAGGAAGCTTCTGTGGCCTTTTGGAGGGCAGAAATGCATACTTTTTATTGTGATGGTGTTGTGGTGGTGGTGATGATGATGGTGATGGTGAGGGTGGCGGTGATGGAGGTGATGGCAGTGGTGATGATGGCATGGTGGTGGTGGTGATGATGAATGGTGATAGTGATGATGGTGATGGTGAGGGTGAGGGTGGCGGTGATGGAGGTGATGGCAGTGGTGATGATGGCGTGGTGGTGGTGGTGATGATGAATGGTGATAGTGATGATGGTGATGGTGATGGTGAGGGTGGCGGTGATGGAGGTGATGGCAGTGGTGATGATGGCGTGGTGGTGGTGGTGATGATGAATGGTGATAGTGATGATGGTGATGGTGATGGTGAGGGTGACGGTGATGGAGGTGTTGGCAGTGGTGATGATGGTGTGGTGGTGGTGGTGATGATGAATGGTGATAGTGATGATGGTGATGGTGATTTTCCTCCCTCCACCCAACAACTTACACAAGAGCTTTGTGGATAGACCTAAGTGTTAATTGGTTTGGCTAAGAGTAAGCATTAAAAGCAAACACTCCCAATTCCCCAATTTTTCAATGTTAGATTCTAATGGATTTCTTCTGTTTGCAGTTGATTATCCTTGCCTTGATTACAAGTCAATGTTCTAGCAGAGTGAAGTCATTACTGGCCTTAATTTTCACAGCCTGGCACGGTTGGAGACTGCAGTGATAGAAATGGAGTGGCTAAAAAGAATTTAACTTTTTTTATTTTGAAAGTGCTGTGGGACCCTCTCAGCTATAGAATACTTGACAGACCAGATATTTCCGTGTATATACACAGCCTAGCTTTTGAAATAGCAGAATTGGATATACAAATTACTATCTCACTATCCATAGTGGAAAGTGTTCTTTCTGTAGGTTGGGAGCAAGTCTGGCGATTGGTTTAGGGGCGGGTCCAGTGGGCTGGGTCCTGCTTGTCTTCAGTCCCAAGCTTCCTGTTGTACTGTATTTGACCTGAAACTAGCTGCTGATATGACATCATCTTGGGTGTTGCTGGCACATTTTTTTTTTCTTTTCTCAGTAGATGTACACTTAATTATTTTTCCTTTTCAAAACATAATATAGGATGGGTGCACAGTGGCTCATGCCTGTAATCCTAGCACTTTGGGAGGCCACCTCTGGAAAATTGCTTGAGCCCAGGAGTTTGAGACCAGCCTGGGCAATATGGTCAAACCCTGCCTCTACAAAAATAAAAAATAATAAAAATAGCCAGATGTGGTGGCACATACCTATAGTCTCAGCTACTAGGAGGCTGAGGTGGAAGGATCTCTTGAGCCTGCTGTGAGCCGTGATTATGCCACTGCAGTCCAGCGTGGGCCACAGAGCAAGACCCTGTCTCAAAAAATCCGCCCCCCCCAAAACCACACAAAGGAGTTTTGGCTTGCTTTGCATACCCTATAGGTATGTCTGGCTCTTTCTGATGAGTGAGGTATTGTCCTCCTGTTTTCCTCCTTCCAAAGAAGTATCTGTTGACATAATATGCTTTTCAATCATCATTATTATAGAGCAGTCTGAGAAACCTTTAGGGCAAGTCAGGAAACCCCCGGCTTCCAGAGCAACTTTTCAACCCCTGAAAGACAGGCCTAACCAGACAGCAGCAGTTCATGTTTCTGTATTTGTAGAGATTTCGCTAGTGATAATCAAAGACCTCACAGAAGAGTGAAACATTTTATTTAGAATTGTATGTTAGGTGAAGTGAGCAACTCTCCAGGTGTCATTTTCCATCCGTGCACATCAGTCCTGACACGCCAGTGGTATAGTGCGGGAGCTCTTTGCTTAATGCAGAAATGAAGTCAAATTGCTCAGGTCAGCCTCAGCTATTTGGGGCTCTCAGACTCTGCTTTTTTCCCCCATTTCCTGGCTCCTCAGTATCTTTTACAACCCTCTGCTATGAGAGGTTTCTGCTAAGAGGGCTACTACTTTTCATTTTATTGATTGATTGATTGAGATGGAGTCTTGCTCTGTTGCCCAGGCTGGAGTGCAGTGGTGCGATCTTAGCTCACTGCAACCTCTGCCTCCTGGGTTCAAGTGATTCTCCTGCCTCAGACTCCCAAGTAGCTGGGATTACAGGTGCCCACCACCACGCCTGGGTAATTGTTGTACTTTTAGTAGAGATGGGATTTCCCCATGTTGGCCAGGCTGGTCTTGAACTCCTGACCTCAAGTGGTCTGTCTGACTCGGTACTTTACTTTTTTTTTTTTTTGAGAAAGAGCCTTACTCTGTTGCCCAGGCTGGAGTGCAGTGGTGTGATCTCAGGTCACTGCAACCTCCATCTCCTGAGTTCAAGCAATTCTCCCTGCCTCAGCCTCTTGAGTAGCTGGAATTAGAAGCACTTGCCACCATGCCTGGCTAATTTTTGTATTTTTAGCAGAGACAGGGTTTCGCCATGTTGGCCAGGCTGGTCTCGAACTCCTGACCTCAGGTGATGCACCCGCCTCGGCCTCCCAAAGTGCTGGAATTACAGGCATGAGCCACCGCGCCCGGCCTCGTACTTTTCATTTTAGATGCTTGGTAGCATTGGTTTTTCTGGATTCTGGCAGTGGTCAAATATTTTTCTAGAGCCCTGGCTAGGTGCCTGTCATACCTTATTTTGTCTGCTGAGCAGCTAAAATTTGGCGGAATCCTCCTGTACTTTCCCGCTCTTCACCTCAATCCTCCTGCCAGGAGTTTTACACACTTGGGTGTCCAACTCTAATCCAAAGCAAGGAAACTATTTGCTTGGATCTTGTAATTCCTGCCGTCTTTGTTAGTTCTAACTCTTCTGTTGCCTTCTCACAGATATCAAAAAGCAATAGAATTTGTCCTTGCCATATTTACTTTTTAACTAATGTACTGTATTTTACCTTTGCACCACCCACTCTAAGAAGACTTGGTAGCCTATTTGTGGCATGCAGATATATTCACAGAAAAACATAGGGGAAGGAAGAGGATGTGAGTAGGAAACAGGAGAGAATTGCATGTGGTTTTGATGAGAACTTCACCTGAGAAGAGCCTGCTATCTTTGGGCTCTGTTTCATCAGTTGTTGGAATCCTTTTCAGGCCGGAGCGGGCAGGAGGCAGGCCTGTTTCTCATCCTCCCTTCCAGAAGTGAAGTTAAACGTTGATGGCAGAGCATTGCATGAGAGCCATTGCATGGCTTTCATGATGATCGCTTTAGAACAGTTGTGGACAAACTTTCTGAAATAAGGGAAGCTATGCATAGTTAAACTTTAAGTCAATTTCCAATCAGTGCTCCTTGCCAGTGAAGCATTTCTTATAAGATGACAAGAATGGTAAGAATATGTTTTCTATGTTTGATTTCTTTTATCCCCAGGAACTTCAACAACTCTTATAAATCACTGATTCCTATACCTTTACCTTCAGTCTCTTTGGTCTCCTAAAATCCATGTTGCTGTTTCCAAAATTTAATACTGCTTTAAGTCTCCATCTAGCTGCCTAGGAGGTATATCACATTAAACATGAATGTGTTCAGAGAGAATCTGTTATTTTTACTCAACTTTTTAATCTTGTCTTCTCTACCTTTAAACTGCTGTCTAAGTGGGAGGATGGGATCCACCCTTGACTCTTCCTCACAGCTAATTGGATCACAGAGTCTTTTTTATTGTATCTAAATATCCCTAGAATTTGCCCTTCCTATTTCTGTGGCTATTGTTTTAAAGTTCAGTCCCTTTTTATTACTTGCTAGAGAACTGCAACGGATGCTGCCAATAGGCAAGATTTTTTTTTTTTTTTTTTTTTTTTTTGAGACAGAATCTTGCTCTGTCACCCAGGCTGGAGTGCAGTGGTGCGATTTCGGCTAACTGCAACATCTGCCTCCCAGATTCAAGCTGTTCTTGTGCCTCAGCTTCCCGAGTAGCTGGGATTACAGGCACATGCCATCATGCCTGGCTAATTTTTGTATTTTTAGTAAAGATGGGGTTTCACCATGTTGGCCAGGCTGGTCTTGAACCCCTGACCTGAAGTGATCCACCTGCCTCGACCTCCCAAGGTGCTGAGATTACAGGCATGAGCCACTGTGACCAGCCTAGGCAGGATTTTTGAGGAAATTTCTGATTACATCTTTCCCCTGCCTCAAATCCTCCAGGGTATCTTAAGACCCTTCCTAAACTGTCTTTTCTAAGTCCTTCTCCCATTTTACCTCTCCTCATTCTGTTTAAGGTGCCCTAGTTCAAGTGTTAAGAAATCATGCTGTTTGATTCCGTATGAATGGATTCATCCTTCTCTTGGCTCCTCCTCTTGTCACACTCCCTCCCGGACACTGTCCTGCTCACTCAGAAGCCTAGCTCAAAGTCTTCTTTGTGAAGCATTTGTCAATATACTTCTGTCTGTGGACCCTTTGTTATAAAATATCATATTAGATTGTAATTGTTGTTTATATGGCTGTCTTCCCCACTGAACTGGGTATTTCTCAAGAGCAATGACCGTGTAATGTCTGGCACCTGATAGACAGTCAATATTTGTTGAATGAATGTCAGTTGAGGATAGAGGCTATGGGTGTTACACCCTTCTTTTTTTTTTTTAATGCAGATCATGGTGACAATGCATACCTTATGTATATCAATAATGCTCCCACAATTTAGTTTTTAGCATATTTTCCTTTTACCTTTAAAATAACTACATTGCTACCTGTTGGAGATGAGAGTGGAATTTTAAATTAGAAAATTTGGAAACACTGATACAATACACACTTAAAACATTAAAATAAACCATAACCAACCCCTCTTTCATTGGACACATTTAAAAGGATATCTCTACCCTGACCTATGCCCTTATTAAGTCAACTCTTATATTTCTTGAGATTAGAAAGTCACCTGTATGTCTCAAGTGTCTAAAAGTTGTTCATATCTCAGAAATGGAGAGCCTTTTAATCATAGAATGTCTAAACTTATCTAAGGGTAGGAGGAAGCTAGACAAACTAGATTAGATCAAGGCTTTTCAAATCTCAGCATTGAGTTAATTAGGTTTTATAGCGTTGAATTCTTAAATGAATATTGCTGTTTGTATTAGTTCATTTTTACACTGCTGTAAAGATACTACCTGAGACTGGGTAATTTATAAAGAGAAGACATTTAATTGACTCACAGTTCTGCATGGCTGGGGAGGCCTCAGGAAATGCAGTCATGGCGGAAGGAGAAGGGGAAGCAAGATACAAGTTACATGGTAGCAGGAGAGAGATATATCTATAACACACCTATATATGTATACATATACATGTACACGTATACACACGTATACATATATATACATAGAGAGAGTGAGAGAGAGTGTGTGAGTGTATGAGGAAGTGCCACACTTTAAAGCCATCAGCTTTTGTGAGAACTCACTATCACGAGAACAGCGTGGGGGAAACTGTCCCCCTACCCCCGTGATCCAATCACCTCCCCCCACGCCCCTCCCTCGACATTGGGTGGGTGGGATTACAGTTTGAGATGAGATTTGGGTGGGGACACAGAGCCAAACCATATCATTGTTATTAACAAATTGCAAGATGATTAACAGAAAAACAGGGGAAAGGGACCCTATTAAAAATTGTAGTTTTAAGTGACTTATAAGCAACTAGTTAAGGAATAGTCATTTATTTAGTATGAGATTACAGTTGTAGAATATGGCTCAAAGGGTTCCTTAATGCTCCACACCAATATTGGCAGCACCACAGCGGGCACAAACTCAGCCTAGCTTCTGATTTCCAAATGACTTCAGTAGTTCCATAGACTTAATTCTCTCCTGATTTTTAATACACAATGGACTTAATTACATATAATTTTCACAGTTTCAAATATAATACATATAAATGAAACTACTTTAGAAGTTTACCTATTGATTTTCAATTTCTAAATATTTGGAGACTTTCCTATTATTGACTTCTAATTTAATTGAATTATAACCTGAGAACATGCATTGTATGATCACAATCTTTTAAAATTAGTTGAGGTGTTTATTTTTTTTTCTCAAATGACTCAACCTATGATTTCTCTTGGTGTATGTTCCATTTACTCTGGAAAAGAATATGTATTTTGCTGGTGGTGTTGGGTGGAATGTTCAACTAGATTCAATTGGTTAACATGACATTCAGTGCTTGGCTATCCTTGTTGGTCTTCTGTCAACTAGTTCTATCTCTTACTGAGAATAGAGTCTTGAAGCCTACAATTATAACTGCAGATTTATCTATTCTTTTCTTTTCTTTTTTTTTTTGAGACGGAGTCTCACTGTGTCACCCTGGCTGGAGTGCAGTGGTATGATCTCGGCTCACTGCAACCGCTGCCTCCCAGGTTCAGGTGATTCTTGTGCCTCAGACTCTCAAGTAGCTGGGATTACAGACACGTGCCACCACGCTCGGCTAATTTTTTTGTATTTTAGTAGAGATGGGGATTCACCATGTTGGCCAGGTTTGTCTCAAACTCCTGACCTCAGGTGATCCACCTGTTTTGGCCTCCCAAAGTGCGGGGAGTATAGATGTGAAGCATCACTCCCAGTCAGATTTATCTATTCTTAAAAAAATTTTTTTAATCAGTTTTATTTGACGTATTTTAAGCTCTGTTGTTAGGTGCATATACATATATAATTGTTGTATCTTCTTGGTGAATCAGTTATTTTATTATCATGTTGTATCTCTTTGTTTTTTGTTTATTTTGAGACAGAGTCCTGCTG
This sequence comes from Homo sapiens, assembly GCF_000001405.40. NCBI lineage: Eukaryota > Metazoa > Chordata > Mammalia > Primates > Hominidae > Homo > Homo sapiens. The sequence goes on from NC_000006.12 coordinate 21,931,293, forward strand.
TGTTGCCCAGGCTGGAGTGCAGTGGCTTGAATCTCAGCTCACTGCAACCTCCACCTCCTTGGTTCAAGCTATTCTCTTGCCACAGCCTCCTGAGTAGCTGGAATTACAGGCGCCCACCACCATGCCTGGCTAATCTTTTTGTATTTTTAGTAGAGATGGAGTTTCGCCATGTTGGCCAGGCTGGTCTTGAACTCCTGACCTCAGGTGACCCACCCACCTTGGCCTCCCAAAGTGCAGGGATTACAGGCGTGAACCATCATGGCCGGCCGAGATTCTGTGAACTTTTTACCTAATTTCCCCTGATGGTAACATCTTACACAATAGAGTATAATATCACAACCAGGAAATTAACATTGATATAACTCATGGATATTATTCAGATTTCCTCAGTTTTACATACACTGTGTGTGTGTATGTATTTAAATGTGATTTTATCACACATGTAGTTTTGTGTATCTAAAACCAAGGTCAAAATACAGCACAATTCTATTACCACAGGCATTTCTCATGTTGCCCTTTTATAACCACAGTCATTCCCCTGCCTCCAGTCCCTGCCCTCTAGCAACCACTAATCTGTTCTTCAATTGTGTAATTTTGCCATTTCAAGAATGTTATATAAATGGAGTCACACAGCATGTAACTTGTTGGGATTGGCCTTTTTTCACTCAGTATAATTCCATAGTGATTGATCCAACTTGTTGTGTATATCAGTTTTATTGCTGAGTAGTATCCCAATGTTTAGCTTTAAAGGGAACTTCCTAAATGTTTTCCAGAGTGGCTATATCATTTTATATTCCACCAGCAGTGTACAAGCAATACAGTTTTTCTGCACTTTTACCGGAATTAGGTTTTGTCACTCTTATGTGTTAACCATCCTGATAGGTATGTTGTAACATCTCATTGTGGTGTAATTTGCATTTCTTTGATGGCTAATGATGTTGAACATTTTTGCTGGCCGGGTGGCTCGCATCTGTAATCCCAGCACTTTGGGAGGCTGAGGCAGGCAGATCACAAAGTCAGGAGTTCGAGACCAGCCTGGCCAACATAGTGAAACCCCGTGTCTACTAAAAATACAAAAAATTAGCTGGGCGTGGTGGTAGGCACCTGTAATCCCAGCTACTTGGGAGGCTGAGGCAGGAGAATTGCTTGAACCTGGGAGGCAGAGGTTGCAGTGAGCCAAGATCATGCCATTGCACTCCAGCCCGGGCAACAGTGCTTGACTCCATCTCAAAAAAAAAAAAAAAAAAAAAAAAATTTTGCATGTACTTATTTGCCATCTGCGTATCCTCTTTGGTGAAATGTCTGTTCATGTCTTTTGCCTTTTTTCTGATATCGTTTGCTTTTCTAGATTTCTAATTTTTGTTTGCCTTATACTTTTTGTAGTTTACTTTTAACCTACCTATATAAATATATTTGAAGTCAATTTCTTATAAATAGACTATATTGAGTCATAGTTTTTAGTCCAATATGACAATCTCTGACTTTTAATTGTGTTTTAGACCATGTGCATTTATTGTAATTATTGATACATTTGGATTTAGATCTACCATTTCATTATTTCTTGTTTGTTTCTCTTTTTTTTTTTTTTTTTTTTTTTGAGATAGCATGTCGCCTTGTCACCCAGGCTGACAGTGCGGTAGCATGATCAGGGCTTACTGCAGCCTTGACCTCCTGGGCTCAAGCAATCCTTCTACCTCAACCTCCCGAGTAGCTGGAACTACAGGCGTGTACCACCATACTTGGCTAACTTTTAATCTTTTGTAGAGATGGAGTCTCCCTATTTGCCCTGGCTGGTCTCAAGCTCCTGGGCTCAAGCGGCCTCCCAAAGTATTGGGATTATAGACGTGAGCCACCACATCTGGCTTGTTTCTCTTTTTTATTGTTGTTTTCTTTTTTTACTTCTGACTTTTTTTTATATTTGAGCATTTTTAGTATGGCCTGTTAATTTATTATGATTTTGACGATATCTCTTTGTATAGCTTTTTTAGTGGTTGCTCCATGGATTACAAAATACATATTTAACTGTTTAACATCTACTTATAGTTAGTATTTTATTACTTTCTTGGGGATGTAATACACTTACCATCTTATAAGTTCCTTTCCACTCCCTCTTTTACATCTTTATTGTCTATGTGTAACATCTGCATACATTGAAAATCTCATTAGGTACTTTTTGCTTTTGACTATCAAACACAATGTAAAGAGTTGAAGAGTAATATATTTTATTCAGATACTCATCATTTCTGTCACTCTTCCTTTGTTCCTGTTACTCATGTTTCCTTCTATTGTCATTTTCCTTCTGTCTGAAGAACTTCCTTTAGTAATTCTTTTAGAGCAAGTTTGCTGACTATACAGTGTGAAAGTTTCCCTTAATCCACAAATGCCTTTATTTTATCATTATTCCTGATAGATGCTTTCACTGGATACAAAATCTAGGATGACAGTTCATTACTTTATTTTATTATTATTATTATTATTATTATTATTATTTTGAGACGGAATCTTGCTCTCTCTCCCAGGCTGGAGTGCAGTGGCGCGATCTTGGCTCACTGCAAGCTCCGTCTCCCGGGTTCAGGCCATTCTCTTGCCTCAGCCTCCAGAGTAGCTAGGACTACAGGCACCTGCCACCACGCCCGGCTAATTTTTTAATATTTTTAGTAGAGATGGAGTTTCACCTTGTTAGCCAGGATGGTCTCCATCTCCTGCCCACTTCGGCCTCCCAGAGTGCTGGGATTACAGGTGTGAGCCACCGCACCTGGCCAACAGTTCATTATTTTAGATTGACAAGTATTTACTTTAAAAGATGACAGTTCTTTAAAAGTTTTTTGCTACTTCCTTCTGGTCTTGATAGTTTATGTTAAAGATCCATAATCATTCTAATCATTGTTTTCTAATCAATGTTACTTTGATGTAATGTATCTGTCATTCTACTCTGCTTTGAAGATCATTTTCTGTCTTGAGTTTTTTAAAATATTGTGGTAATTTTACCATTTTAACCATTTTACAATGTGTAATTCAGTGGTGTTAATTACATTCACAATGTTGTGTAACTATCAGCATTCTCTGGTTTTAGAATATTTTCATCACCCAAAACAGAATGTCCTTAGTTTTTAGCAGTTTATCTTAGCATGAATTTGTTTGAATTTACGCTATTTAGGATTTGCATAGATTCTTGAAACTGTAGGTTTATCTTCGCAATACCTGGCAAATTTTCCACTCCTACTTCTTTTTTTTTTTTTTTTTTTTTTTTAAGACAGAGTTTTGCCCTGTCACCCAGGCTGGAGTGCAGTGGCGCAATCTCGACCCACTTCAACCTCCGCCTCCCGGGTTCAAGCAATTTTCCTGCCTCAGCCTCCCGAGTAGCTGGGATTACAGGCATGCGCCACCACACCCAGCTAATTTTGTGGGTTTTTCTTTTTTTTTTTTTGAGATGGAGTCTCGCTCTGTCACCCAGGCTGGAGTGCAGTGGTGCGATCTCTGCTCACTGCAACCTCCGCCTCCCAGGTTCAAGCGATTCTACTGCCTCAGCCTCTGAAGTAGCTGGGATTACAGGCATGCGCCACTATGCCCAGCTAATGTTTGTGTTTTTAGTAGAGATGGGGTTTCACCATATTGGCCAGACTGGTCTCGAACTCCTGACCTCAGGTGCTTCACCTGCCTCAGCTTCCCAGACTGCTGGGATTGCAGGTGTGAGCTACTGCACCCGGCCTCTTACTTCTTTAAACATAATTCTAGCACGCATTATTGCCCATCTCCTTTAGGGACTTCAAGGACCTGAATGTTAGACCTTCAGTTATTCAGTCATATATTTCTGAAGTTCTGCTCATATAATTCTTAACCTGTTTCTTCCTGTTATTCAGAGTAGGTAATGTCTATTGATTTATCTTCAAGTCCAATAACCTTTTCCCCTGTCATCTCCACTCTGCTTTTGAGTTCATCCAGTGAATTTAAAATTTTGATTTTCATTTCCAGTTCTAAGATTTCCATTCATTTCTTTTTTGTATTTTCTATTTCATTGCTAAGACTTTATTTTAACATTTGTTTCAAGAGTGTTTATGATTGCTCATTCAAACATAAAAGAAGTGCTCTATCATATAGTAGCTGCCTTAAAGTCTTTTTCACATAACTTCAGCATCTGTATTATGTTGCATTGATATGTGTATCTTTTTCTGTGTGAGTTGAAATTTTCATGGTTGTTGGTATGAGTTGAAATTCTCATGGTTCTTGGTATGTTGAGTAATTTTGGAGTCTCTCCTAGATATTTTGATGATTATGTTATGAGTCTCTGGGTTGTGTTTAATCCCATGGAAATTTTTTTTTTTTTTTTTCTCTAAGCAGGCAATTGATCTGGTTAGGTTCAGGCTCCAAGTTCCAACCTAACTTCAGGGGGTTGGATACTCAAGGGAGTATCAGTTTACTTTTCAAAGTCCTTGAAGTACTCTTCGGTTCTAGTCTGTGAGTGTGCCACCTTGTGGTCAGTCTGTGACCTGTGCAGTGCGTCTATCTGTTAGTTCCATTCTCTGAGCCTTTGGTATGCTAATTACAATTGATGCAAACATTTAAGGGTTGGTGATGATCCCTGGAATTCATGAGCAACTCTATGGTGTCACTTTCCTGAACTACTCCTCTGTATTCTCCTTGGAACTTTTTAGCTCCTTAGGGCTCCCCCTTTCAGTCTTTTAGGAGCTACTGTGAACTTCCTTATTTGGGACTTTCTCTGGGCCCAAGCAAGAGAAGGATGGTGAGAGTTAAAAAAGCAATAGAGGTCGGCCTCATCACACCTCCACTAAATGGAGAGAAAGGTTCCCCTCCCTCAGTTTTCCTTCTTGCTGACCGCTTTACTGGTCATTGCCCTCACTGTCCTGGAATTGCCTGGAAGCAACCTCATGAATGACAGACACAAAAGAGCAGAAACAACAGAGAACAAAGTCAAGGATTTCACACCGTCCATGAGTGTTAGGAGCCCTCTTGTTTGTCCATGAGCCATAACTAGAGGGCTTCTGGAGCATTCTCCTTCACTGCAGCAGTGCTCATTTCTAGGTTTCCAGCTTGATTAAGTTCAGGCCTGAGGCTACTAGGAGAAAATAAATGGTAAACCCACTAGTAGTTTGATTGCAACTTTGATTCCAGTGGTCTTCCATGATTTCCCTGATGCTATTCACTTTCTAGAATTTTTTCCAGTAGTTGCTTTATATCTGTTCAGGTTGTATGCTTCTGTTCAGTGGGAGAAATGAGTGAAGTGTTTTTATGCCATTTCACCCAGAACCAGAAGTCTGACCTAATCCATATTGATTTTGTACATAGGAGGTGGCCGCTGTTCCTTTCCACGTTAAAGCAGTCGTGCATGTAAATTCTGGGGACTATAGTCACTTCTACATTGTACATGAGTCCTGTGAGGCTTTAGGTAGTCTGAATTATCATGTAATATAATTAGGTTATATGTATATGGAATTATGATGGGAATCTAGGTAAGGAGACAAAAAATTAAGACGGCATATGAGGCCAGGTAAGGTGGCTGATGCCTGTAATCCCAGCACTTTGGGAGACCAAAGCAGGAGGGTTGTTTGAGTCCAGGAGTTTGAGACCAGCCTGGGCAACATAGTGAGATACTGTGTCTACAAAAAAATACAAAACTTAGCCTGGCGTGGTGGTGCACACCTGTAGTCCCAGTCCCAGCTACTCTGGAGGCCAAGATGGGAAGATGCAGTGGGTCATGATTACACCACTGTATTGCAGCCTTGGTGAAAGAGGGAGACCTTGTCTTAAAAAAAAAGAAAAGAAAAAGAAGGCATACAATATGTATGTATAGATTTGCGTGCACACACATAATGATACTTTTGATAAGCTTAATTAATAACAGGCTAAGCCTCCAGTGATTATATTATTGTCCTCAAGGAGCATCCCTCTACTTAATATGTCATTACTATTCTAAAGGATAAACATATCTAATTCAAGAGAATATTAATCTTTGTCAAATGTTTGATATAAAAACATTAATTTTCCTGTATCATCATTCTCCATATTTTTGGCAATTAAGAGAGAAAGCTCATAATGATGGTCAAAAAATAGCTTTAAAAAGTTGGTGGTAGAGTTAGAAGACTATGTTTTGTACACTAGGATTTAGCCTTTTTCCAAAAGAGACCAGAAGAAGAGATTCTGCCATTTCCTGACTGAGTCATGGGTCACTCGAAGAAACTGAACCTATTTATCTATTAATATTTCAAGCAGGGTAGGAGTCAATACAGGGAATTAGGTTGTAACTGTTAAAAGGACTAGAGCAGCAAATGAATGGTGGAGGTGTCGGTGTTTCCTAGACCAGTAACTGCAGGAAACTATTACTTCTAATGCCAGAGTATGTCTTCGTCGCCCCACCACGGCCTACTCAGTCACTACAGGAGACCAGCGCCTAGAGCTTGTGTTACAAGACTCTGTACAAATCTGCTGCTGCTATTGCTGCCAGAGTCAAAGACAAATGGATTCTGCCATCTTCCAGTTTTGTATAAGTGCCTTTGAAAGAACCTAAACCTAGAACCTTGCTGGCCAAGGAATCTGAGAAATATAGTTTCCAGACTTAGAACCCCTGTGATCGTGTTAGATCTTAGAGAAAAATAAGGATGGCTCTAATTAACATAAGTATTCATTGACATCTTTGTATTTGGTTTACATAATATTGTGTGCTGTCTGATAGTGAAGACTCTAAGCTGCTTGAAGGTAGGAATAGGTCTCATATACTTTTATAATCCCACAAAGCGTAGCACAGTGCCTTATGCTTGTGCAGTTTTCTTCTACATAATTATTTCATATAACTGTAACCCAAACACTAAGCATGCCTTCAAATGAAAGATCAATCTTCTTTATCACTGGTCAGTTCCAGAGCCATCAATTAAAGAATCTGAGGCCTTCTTCTCATTAGTCCCTGAGGCAAAAGTCAAGGAAACTTAAGACTGTATTCCGTAGGATTCCTGAGCTAGGTCATCAGTATATTACATTTTTCTACTTAAAGAATAGTATTAGATTTCTTACAAGATGAGGGCTTTGGAGGCATAAGTATATGCAGGTACGTCAATTAATAGTTGCCCAAGTGAGGCCGGGAACGGTGGCTCACGCCTGTAATCCCAGCACTTTGGGAGGCCGAGGCGGGCGGATCACGAGGTCAGGAGTTCGAGACCAGCCTGGCCAATATGATGACACCCCATCTCTACTAAAAATACAAAAATTAGCCGGGCGTGATGGCACACGCCTGTAGTGCCAGCTACTCTGGAGGCTGAGGCAGAAGAATCTCTTGAACCCAGGAGGCAGAGGTTGCAGTGAGCTGAGATCATGCCACTGCACTCCAGCCTGGGTGATAGAGTGAGACTCCGTCTCAAAACAGAAAAAGTAAAAAAAAAGTTGCCCAAGTGATTTCACACTTACTGTTTAGAGAACTGTTTTGTGGTGGTGTGGTGCATTCTGTGCTTGGTGAAACAGAGGAGAAATTTCTGACTCACCCTCCCAGATGTAGTGGAAAAAAAAAAGATCAAAACATTCTGTAATATTAAGTAATAATAATAACTTCTTATTTTTTCTAGTCTAACAAATGATGAAATTTTTTTTTGAGATGGAGTTTCACTCTTGTTGCCCAGGCTGGAGTTCAATGGTGCGAGCTCAGCTCACTGCAACCTCCGCCTCCTGGGTTCAAGGAATTCTCCTGTCTCAGCCTCCCGAGTAGCTGGGATTAGAGGCATGCACCACCACCCCCGGCTAATTTTGTATTTTTAGTAGAGATGGGGTTTCTCCATGTTGGTCAGGCTGGTCTTGAACTCCCGACCTCAGGTGATCGCCCGCCTTGGCTTCCCAAAGTGCTGGGATTATAGGTGTGAGCCACCATGTCCAGCCATGAAGACAATTTTTTAAGAGAAGCAAAAAAAAAAAAAAAAAAAAAGTTACATAAAACCCAGTTACTTGAATACTGTACTGAATGATTTTGGCATATTTCCAACTGGCTCACTTTCAGTCATTCCTTGTCTTTTTTTTGTGTGTGGGGGGATGGAGTTTTGCTGTGTTGCCCAGGCTGGAGTGCAATGGCGCGATCTCAGCTCACTGCAACCTCCACCTTCCAGGTTCAAGTTATTCTCCTGCCTCAGCCTCCCAAGTAGCCAGGATTACCGGCGCCCACCACTACGCCTGGCTAGTTTTTGTATTTTTACTAGAGACGAGGTTTTACTTATTGGCCAGGCTGGTCTGGAACTCAAGTTATCCACTGCCTCAGCCTACCAAAGTGCTGGGATTACAGGCGTGAGCCACCGTGCCCCCACCTGTTCTTTGTCTTTTGTGAGTGTTTTTGCATAGATCATTGGGTCATGAGTATACTTCTTTCTCTTTTTCTTTTTTTTTTTGAGATGGAGTTTTTGCTCTGTTCCCCAGTCTGCAGTGCAATGGCGTGATTTTGGCTCACTGCAACCTCCGCCTCCCAGGTTGTAGCAATTTCCTGCCTCAGCCTCCTGAGTAGCTGTGATTACAGGCACCTGCCACCATGCTGGACTAATTTTTCTATTTTTAGTAGAGATGGAGTTTCACCATGTTGGCCTGGCTGGTCTCGAACTCCTGATGACCTCAGGTGATCCACCCGCCTGGGCCTCCCAAAGTTCTAGGATTACAGATGTTAGCCACTGTACCTGGCCATGAGTATACTTTTTATTGCTAGGTAATATTTTGTAATATTTTACTAATTAGGTCCGCCATAGTTTACATTTCCTTATCGTTGAACACTCCTCATTTGCCATTACAAATAATGCTGCCTGACATATTGTGCCTAAAATTTTTCAGGCTTTTGATCATTTCCTTAAGCTGAAGCTTTAGGACCAGACCTTTTTGGGTTAAGTAAATTAAGGATTTATTTTTCTTTATATTTCAAATAATTTTTTAAAATTAAAGTATAACACACATGTGGAAAGTACACAAATCATACGTATAAAGCTCAGCTCAATGAATATTTATAAATTCTTTCACATAGGCAGCATTTGATTAATTGCCAGCACCTCGGAAACTATTGTCATGCCTTCTCTTGGATTAGTTTTGCCAAATTTATAACTTTATATAAATGAAATATTACTGCATATATGTTTTTGAGTTGGGCGGTTTATTTTCCCCTCAACATCATGTTTGAAAGGTTCAAAGATGTTACTATCACTATTTTGTTATATGAATATACTTTATCCACCCTACCATTTTTGTTTGTTTGTTTGTTTTGAGACTGAGTTTTGCTCGTATAGCCCAGGCTGGAGTGCAATAGCACAATCTCGGCTCACTGCAACCTCCGCCTCCTGGTTTCAAGCGATTCTTCTGCCTCAGCCTCCTGAGTAGCTGAGATTACAGGCACCCGCCACCACCCCTGGCTAATGATTGTATTTTTAGTAGAAACGGGGTTTCACCATGTTGGCCAGTCTGGTCTCGAACTCCTGACCTCAGGCGATCCACCTGCTTTGGCCTCCCAAAGTGCTGGGATTACAGGCATGAGCCACCACACCCTGCCCATGCATTCGGTTTTAATAGGAATCACCAAACAGATCGTGAAACTAGTTGTACGTTTTTATACTACTACTAAAATTGCATGAAATTGGGTCTCTCTCTGTGACCCAGGCTGAAGTGCAGGGGCGTGATCATATCTCACTGCAGCCTCAACCTCAAGTGATCCTCTCTCCTTAGCCTTCAGAGTAGCTAGGACTACTGGCACACACCACCATGCCTGGCTAATTTTTAAATTTTTTGTAGAAAGATGGGGTCTTGCTATGTTGCCTAGGCTGATCTTGAACTCTTGGCCTCAACCATTACTACTCCCTCGGCCTCTCAGAGTGCTGGGGTTATAGTCATGAGCCACTGTGTCTGGCCTTATCGTAATTTTAATTTGCATTTCCTTCTAATGACTAATGAAGTTGACAGCCTTTTCTTATGCTTAGTAGACATTTGGATATCCTCTTTTTTTACATTTATTTATTTTTTATGGGCAGATAATAGATGTACATATTTTCAAGGTAAATGTGATAATTTGATACATTCATATAATAAAATCAGGGTGGATATCCTTTTGAAGGACTTATTCAAGTTTCTTACCCATTTTTAAATGGATTATGTTTTTCTTCTTGGCATCTAAGAGTTCTTTTTTTTTTTTTTTTGAGTCGGAGTCTTGCTCTATCACCCAGGCTGGAGTGCAGTGGCGTGATCTCGGCTCACTGCAAGCTCTGCCTCCCAGGTTCATGCCATTCTTCTGCCTCAGCCTCCCTAGCAGCTGGGACTACGGTGCCCGCCACCCGCCCGGCTAATTTTTTTGTATTTTTAGTAGAGACGGGTTTTCACCGTGTTAGTCAGGATGGTCTCGATCTCCTGACCTCGTGATCCGCCCGCCTTGGCATCCCAAAGTGCTGGGATTACAGGCGTGAGCCACAGCGCCCGGTCGGCATCTAAGAGTTCTTTGTATACTTTGGAAATGAGCCCTTTGAGGGTTATGTGAGTTACAAATATCTTTGCCCACTCTCTGCTTTGTCTTTTGGCTCTCATAATGGTGGCTATTATGAATAGAAGATATTAATATTCATTTAGTCAAATTCATCTTTTCATTTATGATTTATGTCATTTGTGTTCTGATCAAGAAGTTGTTTTTTTTTTTTAATCACCAAATTATGGAGACATTCTCCTACATTATTTTCTGGAAGTTTTATTGTTTTGTCTTTCACATGTAGATCTAGATTCCACCCAGAATTAACTTTTATTTATGCTGTGAGGTAAAGGGCCACTTTTCTTTTATTTCCAAATTACTATGGAAATTAAGTCAGCCATTTGTTTAAAATACCATCTTTTCCCAAATGCCCTGCAGGGCTGCCTTCATCTTAAGTCAAGTTCCCATGTATGCGGGCTCCTTTTTAACATCTTAGGGTAGAGCACAGATCCCTATTTCTGAGTGGCTTCTCCATGGGCTGGGTATCTCCATCACCTCTGCTCCCCTCTGACTGGGCTCCACACCCTGCTTGGCTTCACAGCCTTTTATTTATTGCATGATTTTAGTTGGAACACCGGTAGGTACCTCTCAGACCAAAACTGTGCAGTGTTACCATTTCTACCTGATGTTTTATGAATTAGGCATGTGAGTTATGTCTCCATATGTCGAAAAAGACTAACATGATGGGCTTCCTCAGCATTTCCAAAAAGCTTGCATGCTGGGATTTTCTTTTCATTATTCACTGTGCTTATATTGACTCACAAATAATTTCAAGCCTTCTTTTTAGCTGTTAGTTCTTTCTTCCTCCTCCTAAACTTTCATCAGAGCTGTGCAAAAATAGAGAGATGGATTAATTTAGTAGATTTTTGTCTTCCCATTACCTCTTTTTACTGTTTGTTTGGCACAGGGAGTTCACAATCAATAAAATCATCAAAAGTAAAAGAGCTGGTGAGTAAAAGGAGCAGAAGATTTGACTAATCCACAAAGTAACTGACCTCTTCTTAAATCATTTGGAGCCAGATTTGAGAGTGGATTTTGAGTGCTAAGGGGGGTTTATTTTAGGAAATTGACTTTAAAATATCCATTTTCCCTTGCTATATTTGTATCATCTAATTTTGCTTTTGGAATCCTTCAGATGGCCTCTCTCACCAGCAAGCATTAGTGTTTCCTTTCTTCTCATATCCTGAGATGAACTTGCAGAAAACAACGCTTCATCAAAAAACCGTCTTGAGTCTACTGCATTTAAAAAATAATTAGGAACAATAAAAAGAAAGAAGGATAAACATTGCACATAATGCTTCAACAGGAAGCATTAACATCTTTTAACTCTGCGCTAGTCAGCATGTGTGCATGCATATTTTTGCTAAAGGTTAACTAAATTGTTTAGTCATTTCTAATGGGTGGACATCCGTCTGCTGTACCCAGCTGATTAATGTGCTAGATTTCTGGAGAGAATGGCTTTAATTACTTATGATGAACCGAGAGTGGCTAATATTGTGAAAGAAAATTGCTGTACGAAGTTCTTGACAACCCAGGGAGTTAACAAATATCAATCTATACAAGAAAAAAGAGCTCTTGATTCTTTGAAATGCAGTGGAACTTAGTTCTATAACTACTATTGGTATAACACTAGCAATTTACACAGCCATTTTTCCTTTTATTTTCTTCCAAACCATGCAGCAAATGTTATGAAGACAGGCATATTATGTTTTAAAAAGAAGAAAGCAGAGACTCAGGGATTTCAAGGACTTGGGCCCAAAGGCATTCAACTAGAAAGCTGGTAATAATAACAGCGACAGTTTATTGAGTCTTAGTGTTTCTGAGAACTTTTCTAAGTACTTTACACATATTAAATTTTTAAATCTTCACATTAGTCCTGTGAGGAAGGTACTATTGTTATGTCTGTATTACCCATGGGGATACTGACGCACAAAGAAGTCAAGTAATGTATTTAAGATTCTAGTAAGTGCAGAGCCCAGGTGCATGCAGTGCCTGGGCTCTGCCACCCATGCAGTGCTGACTAGGGCTTCCACCCATGGATTTTTTTTTTTTTTTTTTTTTTTTGAGACAGAGTTTCGCTCTTGTTGCCCAGGCTGGAGTGCAATGGCATGATCTCGGCTCACCACAACCTCCGCCTCTCGGGTTCAAGCAATTCTCCTGCCTCAGCCTCCCGAGTAGCTGGGATTACAGGCATGCGCCACCACGCCTGGCTAATTTTGTATTTTTAGTAGAGATGAGATTTCTCCATGTTGGTCAGGCTGGTCTCAAACTCCTGACCTCAGGTGATCTGCCTGCCTCGGCCTCCCAAAGTGCTGGGATTACAGGCATGAGCCACCGCGCCTGGCCCTTCCACCTGTGTTTTTGGCTTCAGGTGTGGGACTCTTGCTGCTTTTCAACAGTGCCACACAATAATATAGCTAATGAGGATGTCTGCGGATTGAGGTAGCCTATGCTTCAGTCATGGGTCCTCAAGTGCTGTGTTTCTGCTCAGTGAATAACAGTGGTGGGGATTGAAAGATTCCTTGAGTTAATTTGAATTCAAATCCAGTTCTATTCCCCACCCCGCTTTGTTTCCGCTCTACCAGTGCAGTATTTTTTGTTGTTGTTGTTGAGACGCAGTCTCACTCTGTCGCCCAGGCTGGAGTGCAGTGGCTCAATCTTGGCTCACTGCAACCTCTGCCTCCCAGCTTCAAGCAGTTCTCCTGCCTGTAGCGCCCGCCACCAGGCCCAGCTAATTTTTGTATTTTTAGTAGAGATGGGTTTTCACCATGTTGGCCAGGCTGGTCTTGACCTCCTGACCTTGTGATTCACCCGCCTCGGCCTCCCAAAGTGCTGGGATTACAGGTGTGAGCCAACGCACCTGGCCAATTTTTTTTTTTTTGGAGACAGAGTCTCACTTAGTCACCCAGGCTGGAATGCAATGGTGCGATCTCCACTCACTGCAGCCTCCACTTCCCGGGTTCAAGCAATTCTCATGCCTCAGCCTCCTGAGTAGCTGGGATTACAGGTGCCTGCCACCATGCCCATCTAATTTTTGTATTTTTAGTAGAGATGGGGTTTTACCATCTTGGCCAGGCTGGTCTTGAACTCCTGACCTTGTGATCCACCTGCCTCAGCCTCCCAAAGTGCTGGGATTATAGGTGTGAGCCACTGTGCCCGGCGTCTTCCTGATTATAAAAAGGACTTTAGCATGCCTTAACTCTCCATTAAACAGCCTCCTCATCTTGTTTTTGTTGCCTGGAATTTTAATGGCCCACCCACCTCCTTTTTTTTTGAGACAGGGTCTTGCTCTGTCACCTAGGCTAGAATGCACTGGCACAATCATGGCTCACTCAGCCTTGACCTCCTGGGCTCAGGTGATCCTCCCACCTCAGCCCCTCAAGTAGCTGGGACTACAGGTGCATGCCTCCACACCCAGCTAATTTTTGTATTTTATGTAAAGACAGAGTTTCGCCATGTTGGCCAGGCTGGTCTCGAAATGCTGGGCTCAAGCAGTCTGCCCACCTCAGCCTCTAAGTGCTGGGATTACAGGCATAAGCCACTGTACCCAGCCAACTTTCCCCTTTTTAACATAAAAAGTTGGTTATTAATTTTTAAATCAATCAAATGACATCTGGTATTTTACTGATTTATTTGCTTCTGGTTTCTTATATCCCATAACTGTTCTTTGGCTTCACCTTTTAGTTTATTGAAATACATCCTTTAATATTTACTTTTGTTTTCAGTTTACCATCATTTTTCTTAGGTCTTTTTTTCTTTTTCCTGGAAGAAAAATTATAAAATTGTTATATAATATTTGATACATATGAAGGTGCACAAATACACACACATGAACATACACCTACAAACTGTAGGTATGTTATGAACCATAATAGTAAGTGAATTCACCATAGACATTTCCAATAGAGTTCACTCTACATGTATAAAAACCTCCTACTTCCTTCCCAGAGGTAACCACTAGTCTGAATATAGTGTTTCTCATTCTTTTGCCTTCAAAAACATACATACTAGGTTTTCAAAAATAGGTTTCAATAGGTTTTTTTTTTTTTTGAGACAGAGTCTTGCTCTGTCACCCAGGCTGGAGTGCCGTGGCACAATCTCGGCTCACTGCAACCTCCGCCTCCCAGATTCAAGCAATTCTCCTGCCTCAGCCTCCTGAGTAGCTGGGATTACAGGCACGTGCCACCGTGCCTGGCTAATTTTCGTATTTTTTTTTTTAGTAGAGACGGGGTTTCACCATGTTGGTCAGGCTGGTCTCAACCTCCTAACCTTGTGATCCACCCGCCTCAGCCTCCCAAAGTGCTGGGATTACAGGTGTGAGCCACCACGCCCGGCTTCAGTAGGTTTTTAAAATAACTGTAATAGGTTTAAGATTTGCTTATGTTTAACTTCATAAAAAATACTGTCACCTTGTGACTTGCCCTTTATTCAGAATCATGTTTCTAAGACTTAGTGTTACCGGTAGCAGCAGTTTTTCTACTACAGCTGTGGATAATATTACATCATTTGCATATACTACAATATATTTACTCATTCTCCCATAAGTAGACTTTTGGTCATTTAGATTTTTCCTATCAGTAGCAGTGTCATTATGAACACTGTTGTTTGTGTATGCCAACTGATGTGCTTCACGAGTTTCTCTAAGGCATGCACCCTGGAGTGAAGCTGCTTGGTGTAAATTATACCCACGGGCCCATCAGGTATCAAACTCCAGGCACCATTGGCTCATAGCTCTGGATTCCAGCAGCCTGTGGCTTAGCTCCTCCTGCCAGTTGGCCTTTGTGGTCTGTTTCTGGTCCATGATGAGGTTTATAATTTTTGTCCCTTGGGATTTCCCTTTTACCCTTTGCAATAGGTTTGGAACAACAGGGTCTGCCACTTGTGAACTCAAGGCATATTCATGAAATGAAGTCACCATCATTTACTTCTTCAAATATTTAGTGGTCAGAACAGAGGCCGTTTCTGGAATTATAAGGTTGAATTCTTCATACGATGATGTAGCTAGATTTTTTACAACTTGGTTTGTGTGTAAGGAAGCAGGTTCTTTTCCCTGAGTGTAATGTATATCAGCACTTTTCAGTGAGGGTGATTTTTTTTTTTTACCCAGGGGACATTTGTCAATGCCTAGAGACATTTTTGGTTGTCATGAATGGGGTAGGTGAAGGTAAAACTAGCATCTAGTGGGTAGAGGCTATAGATACAGCTAAACATTCTACAGGACATTGAACAGGGCAGCCCCCCACAACAAAGAATTATTGAGTCCTATATTCATAGTATTAGGGTAAAACCACAACCAAAACCCTACAATGTATAGGACAGCATTGCACAAAAAAGAATTATTGGGTCCAACATTTCAATAGCGCTAGGGCACCCTGATGTATGTGAAGATGATCAGTCATTGTGTTCTGAACGTATGATTCTAACACTAAAATTTGGGCCAGGCGTGGTGGCGCATGCATGTCATTCCAGCACTTTAGGAGGCTGAGGCAGGAGGATTACTTGAGCCCAGGAGTTTGAGACCGGCCTGAGCAACATGATAAAACTGTTTCTACAAAAGATAAAAGAAATCAGCTGGGCGTGGTGACATGTGCCTGTAGTCTCAGCTACTCGGGAGGCTGAGGTGGGAGGATCACTTGAGCCCTGGAAGTCAAGCCTGCAGTGAGCTGTGACCATGCCATTGCACTCCAGCCTGGGCAACAGAGTGAGACCCTGTCTCAAAATAAATTCATATTTAATAGAGTCACAACATTTTTTGCTTTTTCCCCCATGCCATGTCTTTGGAAGTGTGTGTTTGGAATGCCCAGGTAATACAGCTAGTGAATTACTTGCCTAATTTAGATCAAAGTATACAATTAGTGTGAAAAGAAAGATGAATTATCAAGAAGTAACGCAGGCTATATGAAAAATAGCAGGGTTTAATTTCTATTTCTGTCTGTCAGTGGAATTCTGTAAACGCTAGTGGACATTCTTCCTGTCCTAGCACGACTTCTCTTCCCAGCCATCTCAAGCTTTGATCAGGAAGGAGAAGGGAGGCATTCCTACACGCACCAGAACAGTGCAGTGGGGAGTTGGTCTGTGGATTTCGTGGAATTTTAGAAAAAAAAACAAAAAGCAACAAAAAAAAAAACCAGAGCACATCTCCCACTACTTACTGGGCCCGGCTCAGCAATAGCATTACCCAGTAAATATGGATGAATGGATGATCAAGAGTTTCCGCAGTCTGGTTTGCTTCCCTTCCTGTTCCAGGTCTTTCTTTGTCCATGAACTGCTGAAACCTGAGTGGGGGCTTCCACAAAGGGAGAGAAAGGGGGATGGAGAAGGAGGGAAAGGCAGATAACAGCCGAATGTAATCAGCATTTTATTACTGTCCTCAGGAAGTAGGAATAGGAAAAAAGAAGTAGGTTGGAGCAAGGAAAGTTAATTATGTGAGGTTATTTGACAGGAAATTACTAAATACAAACAGACAGAAGAAACACATTTTAAAGCAGGATAGGAAATCTCAAGTTACTCCACTCTGTGCATTCAAAACCCCCAAAGCAAATTCTGAAAATAGCAGTTTAAACAAAAGCTATCTTATCTGATAAAAGTATTTCAAACACAAAGGGAAATTTATATATTGGGCAGGCAATCTTAAAATAAACCGATTTTGTTGATAGCACTGCAAATGTAATTGTGGGAAACCCCCTTCTGATGTCTGAATTTATCTTGTAGATGTTTTGAATTTGGCATTTCAGTTCTATAAAGGTATATGTGTGTGTGTATTTCACCTTGGAAAATTATATATATGTGAAATAAAATGAAAAGTTTATTATGTTTGTGTTTTTTTTCAGTATTACAAAATTTTGGGGGAGTTAGGTATTATTAATAGTTCCAGAAGACTGTTACATCAGTACAGCCAGAGAACTGAGGTGTTCTCTAAAATCTTTATTTCTGGAGGTCATATATTTTAAATGTTTTAATTGATGTATTTGATTAACATAATTTTTTTTTATTGCTTTTCAGCCATTGGCAAAATTCGTAGAATCTTTGTAAATTATCCAAACATATTTGGTGTTGTTTTAAAGACTAAGTGATTAAGGAGTAGGACCTTTTCCTACCCTGAATGATTTCTGGTTCTTTAATGGCCTATGCTAAATAGTCAGTGTTGCAGACATAGAAAGGAGGGTCAGAAGTGGCTGTTCAGTAATCTGACCCTTTTAATTAAGGTTGTCATCCTAAGAAAAAAGACCCAAATAACAAAAAACACCAACAAAATACATACATATATGCATAAAGGGGCACACACACACACACACCCATATTTATATGTAGCTTTTCCAAAGAAAAAAGGAAGAAACTTTATTTTCTAGATCTTGATAGTAGGATTCTCTAAGGATTTTTTAAAATAGTTGAGATATTGAAGAGTCATATCATAGAAATTGGGTGGCTGTAAAATTGCACAGTCTGTGGATAAAGTTACACATTCCATGTTAGTTCAAAGAAAAAGCAATATTTTGAAAACATAAATGGAGCTCAAAGTCTGCATTCCTTTTAAAAGGCCAACACCTGTGGAAGGAATGCAGGTTGTTCCCACTTGACCTTCAACTGTGGAGCTGGGCTAGGTACTTCAGATGTTATGGTGGTCAAGTAGGAACCTCTCTCTGCAGCAGTGTCTCCTGGGACAGCACCTGTCCTGTCTGTTGTCAGGAAGCCAACATATGGCGACAGCTAGGAATAATCAGAGAGTAGATCCTAACCCTTGCTTTGAGGAGCTTGCTTTGTATACCACGAAGTCTCACAGTGATGGATGAGTGGGTGTAGATAATGTGCAATAAGCCATAACCTCTCTAAGCAATCAGGCTTACATTTTGCAAGTCCTGGGAAAACCTGGGCAGACAGTATTAGCACACTCAGACTGAGTCCTCTGTGTGTAGTAGTTGAAGATAAAGACATCATTGATGTTCCAGACAGATTCTCATCATGCATAAATAATTCCTTAGGACGGAATTACCATAGTTGCCTTGAGTGGCACTTCCCCTCCTTTAGGCCACTCACATTAGTTCAGCAGTTTATTGTGGCGTCTGAAGAATCAAATGCACAATTCAACCTCAAGAAGAAAATTACAAATAGCATATTCTTTTTGAACCGTGAATGTATTCGTCCACACAATATTTGATGGGAAAGAGATCTGGCTCATTTTTGCTTTTTTCATTAATTCTTTGTTTATTCAGTCAATATTTCTTAATTCCTTGATATATTCCAGGAGCTGTGGTGGAGGCAGAGAATGCAATGTGAAAAGCAATGCATTAGCAGGCAAGGTTGCTACTTCTTAGAACTAATAGTTTACTGTCATATGGTCATGCCTCCTCTATGCCCTAGCTTTGTGATCTTGGGCAAGTGACAATTCCTCTGTACCTCAATTTCTTTGGATACATTAGAGTGTTTTTTCCCCCAGGTGGCCCTTAAGATCTTGTTCAGTGCTAGTCTTTTTCGGATATATACTTTAGTTGTTAAATTTTTTTTTTTTTTTTTTGAGACGGAGTCTTGCTCTGTTGCCCAGGCTGGAGTGCAGTGGCGTGATCTTGGCTCACTGTAACCTCCACCTCCCAGGTTTAAGCGATTCTTCTGCCTCAGCCTCCCGAGTAGCTGGGACTACAGGTGCCCGCTACCACGCCCGGCTAAGTTTTGTATTTTTAGTAGAGACGGTTTCACCATGTTGGCCAGGATGGTCTCGATCTCCTGACCTTGTGATGCCCCCGCCTCGGCCTCCCAAAGTGCTGGGATTAAAGGCATGAGCCACCGTGCCCGGCCAGTTGTTAAATATTTTTATCTCCATATCTCGCTTGGTGTTCTAGTGAGTGACTGAATATGGTGGAACTGGGTAGATCAGCTTAGATGTTTATATGCAGGTTAGAATCATTGCTTTGATTTCTAACTGAACTAGTTACCTTACTTGAGTCTATACCACCTGGGTATCTCCAGCCTGTTTGACTGGCTTACATACATATGCCGTTTCCTAAGACTCAAGCTCACTTTAAAGAGAAAGCATGCATTTCCTTCTATTGATGCTGGAAACTTTTCAAGCAGTTCTGAGGCATGGTCTTCAAGACACAAAAGATCATTGTTACATGTGCTCCTTTGCTGAGACACTAGCCCATGGCAATTGAGTTGTTTTTAGCTCAACTTCAGTGCTAGCAGACAAAACTATGCTTAAGACAGGATTATTGAAACCTGGACCTTCCACAATTTAATAATATTGGTAATGTTGATGAATTCAACTCCTGCTTATATCATCTGTTTTTGTAAATAAAGTTTTGTTGGAACACAGCCAGGTCCAGCCTTTTCTGTACTGTCTATGGCTGCTTTTGAGCTGTAAGTGTGTGACTGAGCAGCTGAAACAGAGACTGTACGGCCCACAAAACTGAAAGTATTTGCCATCCTGCCCTTAACAGAAACATTTGCTGACACCTCAATTATAGGATAAGCAAAGCCCCCAACCCTAGAATTTAAGGTGTGTGGAACCATAACACACACACACACACACACACACACACACACACACACGTATTTTTTTTTTTCAGGAAACAGCTTATTTGCCTTTTTTTTGCAAAATGCTTCTGAGAAATTAGCCTTGTTAATGTGTAACTTTTTTGATGCCATGCTATTGAGATAGCAGCATTGGATACTAACTACATACCTCACAGATTTTACTCTTTTGAAGGAGTTTCAGTTTCCGTGGGCTGGATTCGTAAGTGAACTGATCTGATGAGAACTCTAAGTTATTGCTAAGGCATTTTTTATTCTGTTAAATATGATCCTGTGGAGCCTGAGGTCCTAGCTTTCTTTACACTTGAGCTGTGAGGAGAGATGTGACAACATTTCAGAGACATGTAAGCTCTTGGAGACATATTTATAACCTTCCTCCACCTTTGTTCTGTGTTTATAGTGGACAGAGGTTTAGGGCTGGTAGGTTGTGCCTGCAGGAGTGCTGAACTTGAACTTAGAGAAAGCTGGGGTCAGTCAAAGAAAGTCTAAGGTCAGAGGAAATGAAGGTTAATGAGGCCGGGTTCCTGCCCTCTAGGGGCTTACATGCTATTGGGAGTGACTGATTCTTTTCCTAAAAGAGTGATAAATGCCCTCAATAAGACATGCACGTGGAATATGAGAACATGGTGTGGAGGAGGAGAGTGGAGATGGGGCCATTCACACGGGGAGCCACAGCCAAGGCTTACATGAGCTTATGTGCAATGTCATAGAACTACAAAAGCTGAGAACAAGCGAGTGTCAGGGTGGCAAGTGGACAACATGGAGGGAACATGGGGCATTTGGCCTTTGGCATTTTCTCAGGGGCTCAGAATTGGTTTGCACGGATGGGTCAGTTTCACTTTAAAGGGTTTAAAGGTGAGGAATAGAGCTACTCAGTAAATGTTTACAACAACCAAATACATTAAGGGGGAGATAAATAGGTTTTAGGACCAAGCAGGGCTACTTTTATGGGTTCAAAGGACCTATGATGACCAGTCCTAGCACATAATAATTTCTAAATAAACATTGGTTGATTTAATACATAAGCTCTTTGGTATTTGAAATGAACTACTGAAAAATTGGCATTTTTGACATGAGGCTTCATGTTTGCAGCCAAATGACTGGAAATTCTGTTTCTCCACATGTATCGACCATATGCTAGATACTGCGCTAAGGTCGGGGGAATGGAGGTGAACAGGGCTCATTTCCTGCCCTTTGGGGACTTACATGCTGTTGGGAATGACTGATACTTTCCTAAAAAGGTGATAAATGCCCCGAATAAAGCATGTACATGGAACACAAGCACATGGTGTGGAGGGACGCTTATTTGGAGGAGGAGAGTAGGGACAAGGCCTTCAGAAAGGACTCCTGGAGGAGGAGACCGCCTTATCCTGCTCTGCCTTTTGGTGCTATTGCCTGAATGTGTCCCTCCAAAAGTCATGTGTTGGAACCTAATACCCAATGTGGTAGTACGGTATTAAGAGGTGGGGCCTTTGGGGGAAATGATAAGGTCACAGGAGTTTTGGCCTCATGCTCTTACAAAAGAGGCTGAAGGGAGCTGCCTTGCATCTTGTGAGATGCTGCCATGTGAGAACGCAACAAGGAGGCCCATCTGTGAAGTGGAGAGCCAGCCCTGACCTGACGCTGAATCTGTTGGCTCCTTGATCTTGGACTTCCCAGCCTCAGGAAGTGCGATAAATCAATTTCTTATTAATTTAATTAATTTTATTCACTTTATTGTATTTAGAGACAGGGTCTTATTCTGTCACTCAGGCTGGAGTGCAGTGATCGTGGCTCACTGTGGCCTTGACCTCCTGGGGTAAAGTGATCCTCCCACCTCAGTCTCCTGAGTAGCTGGGGCCACAGGCACATGCCACCACACCTGGCTAACTTTTTAATTTTTTCATAGACATCAGGTCTCACTGTGTTGCATGGGTTTGTCTTGAATTCCTGGGCCCAAACAATGCTCTGCCTCGGCCTCCAAAGTGCTGGGATTACAGGTATGAGCCACCATGCCTGGCCAATTTCTATTATGTATAAAGTATTCAGTCTAGTTATTTTGTGATAGCAGCAGGAATGGGCTAAGACACTAGGGATGTCCTTTTCCTTAGAAAGGGAGGTATATGGGAAGCCTGCGTACAGGCCTCTGAGGATGGACCTTGGGACAGAAGCTCAGACAAGGGATGTTGGGGAAGCCTTTGCCCACCATAGTCTGACTTTACCTGCTGACAGTCTATCCCTAAGCTCAGTCCTTTCTGAAAGAGAAGAGAGCCCAACTGTGTAAGACAAGCAGCTTCCATTCTAAGAGCAAGACAGTGTAAGTTCTGTGGAATTGTGAAAAGCGAATGCAGCCCCGTCGGCAGTCAACCAGACAGACCACTGAAGCTGGGGTGCAGCCCACAACCCCTCCTTCCTCAGAACCTGGCCCAGCTTTCCATGATGGGTTCTGTTCCTTTCTTTCATAGAATCCTTCCCTTTTTCCCAAGAGATTTTATAATTAATAGAGATGAAGAAAGGCAGGAAATCTGTGATAGAGTACAAACTTCCACACAGGCCAGATTAAACACACACACACGCACATACACACACAGCAGCCCACAAAGTAACTCAGTCTGGTGGGAAGAGATCAAAGGGCAGCCATATGACTGGGCTGGCAAAGGGCTCCTTTCCCAGGCAGTCCACATCCTGCCCCTTAGTAGATGAGACAAGTCAAAGGAGGAAGTGTGCAGTACAGTGAGTGAGTGCAGTTCTCAGGGATATGGTCTTAGTTCAAGGGCTCCAGGAGTGTGCTGTGAGCATGGGAATGATAAGCTCACATCTGCTTGTATTCATAAACAGCTCCAGGAGGTGCGGTTTTAAATTACCACCCTACCACTGCTAAACCTCCTCTGTAATCCTATAAAGATGTCAGGTACAGATAGACCTTGGAAGGGCAGAGCCCTATCTGACAACCCTGTATCAAATAGCTGGAGAGCCTGAGGATTGGGTTGCAACAGGAATACCCTAATCTTGATTTCATTGTTTTTCCTCTCCCTAAAAGGGTGGGATTGGATTTGGAGGTGGGAGGAGAATCTGCAATGGAGTTACCGACACCATGTAAGGAAAACCTTGGAGGCTGCTATTCCCATTTGGAGGGATCAGCAAAAAGGCCAGCAGACAAGCCTGCCACTATTCGTAATCCTTCTTGCTTCTGCTGGCGAATCCTTCCAAGGCAGGCAGGCAGGCAGCAGCAGCTGGGGTGGAGGGACTGCTGTCCTGATGAAGGGGAGCTGAGTGCTGGCTTTGCTGTGCTCTGGAATTATTACCTGTAAGTGCAAGCAGCCAGGTGACTGCAGCTGTGATGGGGGGTGTGGAGACCCCGCCCATGCCAGCTGTCAGAGCCCCAAACAGCCAGGACAGCGCACGGGATTTATGCTTCCTCTCCGGCCTTTCAATGCTTCTGTAGATATACTTAGCAATTACAATGCTGGTTTGGGAATTTCCCTCGGATGAGACAGGACTTGTTTCCAAAATAACACCTTTCAAAGCATGCAGAGACTTTTAGAAATTAGATAATTGTGTGATATTTATAAAGTGAATTACGTTGTGCTAACAAAGTCTGGGCAGATGGTTCTGATGCTGAAGTAAATAACACCTTATGATTCATTAAGGTTGGGAAAAAAAGGATTTTTAAAAAGTTGCTACTTTACAGCTGAGTCTTTGCAAGAAACTTAGACAACTCACCAAGTAGGCAATACATTTTCAAGGTAAAATGTTAATGTCTGGGTGTGCGTGGCATGGTTAAGTTGTCCTGTTTCACTCATAACACTTAGTGAGCATTTAAAATATGCTTATCCCTGGATGCAGAGAGACACAAAGATGATACTTTATTGCTCTTGTCCTCCATGGATTCTCAGTCTAGTGAGGGAGACAGATGTATAAACAGATAATTGCAATACAGTGAGCTAAGTGCTAACAGAAGGATAGAAGAAATGCCATAATGGTGGGAGGGATATCAATTTACAGTGTGAATGGAGAAGAGAGAACAGCCTCACAGAGGAGTTACATTTGAGCAGTATGTGAAGGAAGAGGAAGGATTTTGAAAGGAGAGAAGGATGTTGCCTCTTTGTGGCTCCTCATTCACCAGCATCTTCATACCCCAGGGCCTTTGCACATTCGTATTCACCTTTGGTTCCTCTTTTTTACCAGCTCCTTCTTACCTAGGGCCCTCTGCCTGGAAAACTTCTTTCATCTCTCTTACCTGGTTCAATCCCTTAGAAGTTACATCCCATGTTAACTCTTTCAGGGAGGTCGGACTTCTCTAAGTCAACTCTATTATAAACGTTCACTCATCAAGTATCTCATCTTTAGAGCAGTTATCCCAGCTGCACTTTTACATTATTGGCATGACTATTTGAATGATATCTGTTTTTCCCACTAGGCAGAGCCTGTCTCTTTTTATTTGACTTTGTTTCTTGACTAAATAAACGTTCGTTGAATGAATTAGACGAAGGGCGTTCCAGGTGTGAAAACACATGGTATGTTCAGAGAACAGCAAGTATTATGTTGGATCTTGGTGTATGTGAATTAGGGGAGGCCGAAGATTAAGCCATTTAAGGAACTTTGAAGATCTAAACTTCTGTTTATATACTAGCTCAGCTAATATTTTTAAGTATTAAGAGGCATTTCAAAGATCTGCCTCTTCGTTATTATATTATCAGTATCAGATAGTTTAAGTCAAAGATGAAGTGTTAAAAATGTTTTTTAAAGTTTTTTTTGGCATATGGTTTTGGGGCTCAAATATATGTACTTTAAAAATGTGATTCAAGTATAACATACATATAGAAAAACGCACAGCACATAATTGTACGACTGGATGGATTATCACAAAGCAAACATATGTGTAACTCTCATGCAAGTCAAGGAATTGGGATACTTCCTAGAGCCTGAATTGTGAAATTCAGCACGTGTACTGCATCAGAAATGGAAGCGGATGAGCTAGAAGATTCTCTGCCAGCCTCTAAGAAAGTTTAAGCTTTGGCTGGGTGCGGTGGCTCACGCCTGTAATTCCAGCACCTTGGGAGGCCGAGGTGGGTGGATCAACTGAGGTCCGGAGTTTGAGACCAGCCTGACCAACATGGAGAAACTCCATCACTACTAAAAATACAAAGTTAGCCAGGCGTGGTGGTGCATGCCTGTAATCCCAGCTACTTGGGAGGCTGAGGCAGGAGAATCGCTTGAACCCAGGAGGTGGAGGTTGCGGTGAGCTGAGATCGTGCCATTGCACTCCAGCCTGGGAAACAAGAGTGAAACTCCATCTCAAAACAACAACAACAGCAACAACAACAAAAAACCCACCAAAAAACAAACAGCAACAACCAAAAAAAAAAAAAAAAACAAGGACAGTTTAAACTTTCTGAGGAATAGAGGAGAGGGATTCTCATATAAGGTAGCCCCCAGTTGCTTCCAGACTCACTCATGAGCTTAAGAAAGTGGTGTGAGAGAAATGCAAACCTCACTAGCCCCTCATCCATCCCCAGGCAGGGCTGGAGCCTGAAGGGTGGAGGGTGTGCTGTGTTGCAGAGAGACACAAGGGGGAATTTTTTCAGAGGAACATTGAATCCTTTCTCTGTCCTCACCAGGAACACTGCCTCATTGGTGTGGAGCCTGGGGGCTGAGATCTTGTCATCCCAGTATTGTGCAGGGGACATTGACGACTTAACCAGCTTCTAAGCAACTTTGGGGTTGCATATAAGACAATGGTGCTGAGTATAAGAATGTAAGACTTGGGACTGAACGCCTGCTCTGTCACCTATTAGCTGGGTGTCCTTTAGTCACTTTTAGTTAATTTCTCTGTGTCTCACTTTCCTTATTCATTACATGCGGATAATAATGTACCTCATGTGGTGGTTAGGATTTAATGCATTCGTGGATGTAAAGTACTTACAATATGACCTAGCAGAGAGTAAGCACTCGGTAAAAAAGAAAAGCTCTCTAGTTGAAAAAACCTTGTTTTTGCCTTATAGGAATGTGGTCGTCCCTAATGGGCTACCACAGTAATGAGGACTTTTGAGAGAGAGACTTTTTGGTATAATAAAATAATTTCCTACTGAAATGGACTGTGGGACTTTGCTTGTAAATGACTCCGCCCTAATGTATCTGCCGTATAGTATTTACAAGTTTGGGATTTCATGCTATTAATAGAACAAACCATAACATTTTTCCTTATTTAAAATCCAGTTTCTCCATTTTCTCGTAGCATGTGAGCAGGATAGGTAGAAGAAAACCACCAGATTTCCCTCAATATACTATTTTAAAATACTTATCAGGTCCAGATTACAGTGGCTTTTGCTGTAATCTCAGTGCTTCAGGAGGCGAACACAGGAGGATCGCTTGAGGCCAGGAGTTCCAGACCGCATGGACAATATAGTGAGAGCCCCATCTCTACAAAAAATTAAAAAATTAGCCAGTCATGGTGGCACATGTCTGTAGCCCTGGCTACTTAGGAGGCTAACGCAGGAGGATCGCTTGAGCCCAAGAGTTTGAGGCCACAGTAAGCTGATTGTACTACGGCATTCAGCCTGGGCTACAAAGACCCTGTCTCTGTAAACAAACAAACAGACCAAAAAAAAAAAAACAACAAAAACCCTTATTGTGTAGTTTTAATTGTAGCACTGAAATTTGAGGGAATTATTTAAAAATAGATCTTGACTTGCTACTCTTTGAATTGGTTGTTGTGGCATTGTTTTGCTAGCTGTTAAACTCCATAAATAGTTTATACATGATTACAACTTGATCACATTTGTCCTATAATTTCAAGGCTTCTATGATTTTCTGACTCTAGGCACCATTAAGCCTCTTCCCATGGTGATGACCAAGACTGGGGGTATGTGTGTATGTATAAGGATTGATGGTTCACAGTTCTAAGTCCCCACTCTGTGATAGGTGGTGCACAGAACATCTCAGTACCTGTGCTGTCTGTACTTGATCCTTGGCAATGTCGCTTTTTTTTTTTCCCCTGTCCCCCAGGCTGGAATGCAGTGGTGTGATCAGCTCACTGCAGCCTTGAACTCCTGGGCTCAAGCAGTCTTCCTGCCTCAGCCTCCCAAGTAGCTGGGATTACAAGTGCGTGCCACTATACCCAGCTAATTAATTTTTTTTTTTTTTTTAAGAAATAGAGCCTGTCTCATTTTGCCCAGGCTGGTCTTGAGCTCCTAGGCTCAAGTGATCTTCCTGCCTCAGCTTTCCAAAGCACTGGGGTTCTAGGTGTGAGCCACTGCACTTGCCCAAGCTCACTTTTTAAACAAGATAGGAGAGTCAATATTGTAACTTTGATAGAGGACAAAGGATGTATAAAAGGAACAACTGCCTTTGTAAATGATGCCAAGAACAGGATATGATTTTATAGACCAGGACTTTGTATATAAAAGTGACAGAGTCATGGATATGGATGGGATGCATCTCAGGAAAAAACAGGAAGCATGCATGTTGGAAGGGAATGTCACTTTAATCCTCAAGGTTATAAGCGCACATTTGTGTATATTTCGTGGGGAAGGGAGGCTGTGAGAAAACTGCAAGAGTGGGAAGGTAACAAGAATGATCTCTGGACAGCCGCCATAGGACATGTACAAAACTGCTAGAAGAAATGTCAAGGGGAAAGAGATGAGGTCACTGCAACCTCTGCCTCCTGGGTTCAAGCAATTCTCCTGCCTCAGCCTCCCAAGTAGCTGGGATTACAGGCATGCACCACCACACCCAGCTAATTTTGTATTTTTAGTAGAGACGGGGTTTCACCATGTTGGTCAGGCTGGTCTCGAACTCCTGACCTCAGGTGATCCACCCACCTCGGCCTCCCAAAGTGCTGGGATTACAGGCGTGAGCCACCTCACCCGGTCTGTGACTCAGATATTTAAGCCAAATGCAGGGCTTGGCTTTTAGAAAGGGAATTTGAAATTAATATAGAGAGGTAAATTTAATTGCTTAGAAAGCACTGATACCGAGGTACTCCTTCTTGGTAATGAAAGAGCCTATAGAAGGGTACACACATGTATGTATATATATATGTACAAATGTATGTAAGTACCTATTTTTCTACCATATCAGATACCATGTACAGAGATTTCAATTTATTATTTAGGTCTATTCTGAAAACAATCCTGAGTATTTAATATTATTAGCCCCACTTCAGAGATAAGGAAACTGAGACCAGGAAAGCTAAGTATCTTGGCAACGTGCTTAACACCATATAGACATCTAACAGTGGTAATGTGGATTAGACCTAAGGCTGTGTAACTTTAAACCCCAGATTCTGTCTGTTCTCTTACAGTGACTCTCATTTATGAGGAGGAATGCACCTACATTAAAAATACAACAACAGGCTGGGCGCGGTGGCTCACACCTATAATCCCAGCACTTTGGGAGGATGAGGCGGGCGGGTCATGAGGTCAGGAGATCGAGACCATCCTGGTTAAAACGGTGAAACCCCGCTCTACTAAAAATATAAAAAAATTAGCCGGGGTGGTGGCGGGCGCCTGTAGTCTCAGCTACTCGGGAGGCTGAGGCAGGAGAATGGCGTGAACCCGGGAGGCGGAGCTTGCAGTGAGCAGAGATCGCGCCACTGCACTCCAGCCAGGGCGACGGAGCAAGACTCCATCTCAAAAAAACAACAACAACAACAACATAAATCTGAAGGGAGAAGCACTGAGAACAGCATTTGGGGAGGAATAAAAGGGCAAGAGAAAGAAGTGATATTATAGTAGTCATGTCCCAGAAAACCAAGTCAGATGGAGTGGTTGTTGTCTGATGTTTTTTTTAAAGCTTGAATTACAAACTTAACATAGTAAAATGAGACTAAGGAGGTGAGACCTCCAATGTCCAGACCATTGCAATGAATCTCTTTTCTTGCTAAAAACAGCATGTAGTAAAACCTGGACTTGCTATTCAAACAGTTTTATCTCCCGAAGTTTAAGTAGATAACCCAGAAAGTAGAGCACAAAGTTTAATTTTAACAAAGAAAATTTAGAACTGGTTGGGAAGTGGCAGGAACCTGGGCAAAAGTAGCATTATTTCAAAAATCAGAATGAAAGGAAAGAAGAGTAGGCATAGGATGATGTAGACCTCAGATGCCGAATGACTAAGAGATTTTCTATTGAGTACCATTTCTCATCGGGTGTAGCTTTGCCTTCAGTGCTCTTTTGAGAAGTCTTTTGAGACCACGTCCAAACTGCATAGGTAAAGTTAGTTTCTATGGGTGTTTGAATAAAAAAATGGCTTTATGTGAGCTAATTCTGTTCTAAGCCATTAGAAGTGAGATTCAACCTAAAGAACCTAAAGAATACATTTGAGGGCCAGGTGCGGTGGGTCACGCCTGTAATCCCTGCACTTTGAGAGGCCGAGATGGGTGGATCACCTGAGGTCAGGAGTTCGAGACCAGCCTGGCCAACATGATAAAACCCCGCTCTACTAAAAATACAAAAAATTAGCCGGATGTGGTGGCAGGCGCCTGTAATCCCAGCTACTTGGGAGGCTGAGGCAGGAGAATTGCTTGAACCTGGGAGGCGGAGGTTGCAGGGCGCCGAGATCGTGCCACTGCACTCCAGCCTGGGCGACAGAGCGAGACTCCGTCTCAAAAAAAAAAAAAAAAAAAAAAAAATATATATATATATATATATATATATATATGAAATATATTGAGCTTTTTAGCTGAAATGTTGAGGTATTTTTTTTTTCTTTATCACAAGCCAGAGCTTTCCCATCCGATGCTTATGTCATTCATTTTTTTTTGATACTGGGTCTCACTCTGTTGCCCAGGCTGAAGTGTAGTAGTGTGATCATATCTCACTGCCACCTAAAACTCCTGGGCTCAAGCAGTTCTCCCTGCTCAGCCTCTTGAGTAGCTGGGACTACAGCATGTGGCAACATGCCCAGCTAACTTTTTAATTTTTTGTAGAGATGGAGTCTTGCTATGTTACTTAGGCTGGCCTCGAACTCCTGGGCTCCAGCAATCCTTCCATGTTGGCCTCCCAAAGTGCTAGGTTTATAGGTGTGAGCCACTGTGCCCCAGCCATGTGGCTCATTCTCAAACACTTGAATGAGGAATTTTCCATTTGTCTCTATTAAACCCCATTGTGTGAGTTGGGGCTTATTGTTCCCTTCTGTCAAGATTTGATTCAGTGGTTCTGACGTGCACAGTACGGTGCTAAGTGGTGTAGATAGATCATCAATGCCTGAGTCTCAGGGAGGTTGTGGTGTAGAGATGAGATTAAAAAACCAACAAGCAAAATAAATGACCATAATGGGCGTTCTAGGAGTCAGAGAGGACTAGAATACATTCAGTTGTGTGTAATCAAGAAAGATAGCCAGGCAGCTTTTGTACTGGGAAGATGATGGGTGTGAGCTATCTTCCTGCCCGAAAAATTAACACAGTGCCTGGTTTATCATAGACAAAAACAGGTACAAAATAAGTGAAAAATATATGTTAAGGGAACTTAAAATGGGTCCTTTTTTTTTTTTTTTTTTTTTTTTTTTTGAGACGGAGTCTTGCTCCGTCGCCCAGGCTGGAGTACAGTGGCGTAATCTTGGCTCACTACAACCTCTGCCTCCCGGGTTCAAGCGATTCTTCTGCCTCAGCCTCCTGAGTAGCTGGGATTACATGCGCCCACCACCATGCCCAGCTAATTTTTGTATTTTTAGTAGAGACAGCGTTTCACCATGTTGATCAGGATGGTCTCAATCTCCTGACCTTGTGATCCGCCTGCCTCGGCCTCCCAAAGTGCTGGGATTACAGGCGTGAGCCACTGCGCCTGGCCTAAAATGTGTCTTGAGGGAAGGACAGAGATTTTATGGTTTGGAATGCAGAGTATTCTGAGGAAACATGTAGGTAAATATGGAGCTTCAAATCCTAAAGAATTTTTCAATAAAAGTGAGTTATTTAGTTTTTATGGTATATTGGAGCATATTTTTGAATCTTAAATATTAGTTAACATATTAACATTTCCACATTTTCTGTGTTTATTTTCTATTAAATGCCATTCAAGTTATTTTTATTTTACTTGTTTTTTTTTGAGACGGAGTCTCGCTCTGTCACCCAGACTGGAGTGCAGTGGCCTGATCTCAGCTCACTGCAAGCTCCGCCTCCTGGGTTCACGCCATTCTCCTGCCTCAGCCTCCCGAGTAGCTGGGACTACAGGCACCCGCCACCACGCCCAGCAATTTAGCTGTCTCAAAAAGAATAAAAAAAAAAAATAAAAGGACCCATTTTAAGTTCCCTTAACATTTATTTTTCACGTTTTTTTTTTTTTGAGATGGAGTCTCGCTCTGTCGCCAGGCTGGAATGCAGTGGCGTGATCTCAGCTCACTGCAACCTCCACCTCCCGGGTTCAAGCGAGTCTCCTGCCTCAGCCTCCCAAGTAGCTGGGACTACAGGTGCATGCCACCACGCCCACCTAATTTTTGTATTTTTAGTGGAGACGGGGTTTCAACATGTTGGCCAGGATGGTCTCGATCTCTTGACCTCATCATCTGCCCGGCTCAGTCTCCCAAAGTGCTGGGATTACAGGTGTGAGCCACCACACCTGGCTATTTTTCACTTATTTTGTACAGTGCATTAAAGATATCATTTTGTATTTTTAGTAGAGACGAGGTTTCACCATGTTAGCCAGGATAGTCTAGATCTCCTGACCTTGTGATCTGCCTGCCTCAGCCTCCCAAAGTGCTGGGATTACAGGCATGAGCCACCACGCCCGGCCCATTCAAGTTATTTAAGCAAATATTGAACAGGACAGAGTAAGTAGAAACTTAAAGGTATTCTTTAGTCTTCAGATCTATAATTTGACTTTGTCACATCTACTTAATTAAAAACACTCATTGCGGGAAGAATGGTACAACAAGCTTTCATCTGGGATTATTTTTCTTCTGCCTAAAAGGTCGTTTTTGAATTTCTTCAGTTCAGGTATTCTGGTGATACAATCCCTCTGACTTTATTTAAAGGACTCTATCTTGCCTTTATTTTTAAGAAGTATTTTCACTGGGCATAGAATTCTTGGAAATTATTTTCTTTCAGTGCATTAAAGATATCATTTCTGATATCAAACCTTCTGGCTACCATGTTTCCATTGAGAGTCTTATATTTGCCATTTGAAAACTCTCTTCCCATAAGCACCGCCATCCCTGACAGCTTTAAAAAATGTTCTCTTTTCCAGTAGTTTTGAAATTTCATTTGTCTTTGAACTATAATGTTCTAGGTATAGATTTCCTTCTATTTACCTTACTCAATATTTGTAGCACTTCTTTTACTTGCGGCTTGAAGAAATTTATTTTG
Source organism: Homo sapiens (assembly GCF_000001405.40). Classification (NCBI taxonomy): domain Eukaryota; kingdom Metazoa; phylum Chordata; class Mammalia; order Primates; family Hominidae; genus Homo; species Homo sapiens. The sequence goes on from NC_000006.12 coordinate 21,963,566, forward strand.
GAAAATTCTCTCCTATTATCCCTTTAGTATTGCTTTTACCTAATTCTCTTCTCTTTTCTGGGATTCTAATTAAATGTGTATGAAACTATGTTCCACGTTACTTTCTGTTTTTCTCTCCATGCTTTAATCTGGATATTTTCTTACATATTATTCATTTTTCTTTTATCTCTTTAGCTGTATACGATATGCTGCTGGACCCATCTTTTGAATATTTTCCTACCAGTAGTTATATTTCAAATTATAGAGTGCTCCTTTTGATTCATTTTACATGGAATCCTTTAGTTTTGCTGTCTGATTTATTAAACATATAAATCACAGTTTATACTTAAATCTCCTTCTGTTAACTACAATATCTTACTTCCCTATGGGTCTGTTTCTGTTGTTTCTTTTCTCTTGCTTTTTGGTTAATTCTTATTTTTGTAAGCAAAATTCTTATTTTATAAAATAAGCATCTTATTTTTATAAGCGTGAATGCTGGGCATTGTGTATTAAAATATAGAGACAATTTTACCTGTGTGTGATGTGGATTTCCTTTTCTTCTGGGGCTGGGCGGACAGGGTAAGGATGGATCACCTTGATCTGTGCAGGGATTAAACTGTTCTGAAGATGGGCTTTAGTCTTTGTGAGGGCTGCTTCTGGTTTATGCTTACTTCTTTGGGTTAGCACTTTGGAATCACAGCTGAAAGTGGGGGTTGCAGGACCTTTTTCCCTTAGCAGGCTATGAACTCTGATTTTTGCCTGTCCTGCTCTCGGAAGCTGAAATAAACCTGTTCAACTTAGTTTTCCACTGTCTGCAATAGAGTCAGCAAGTGGGTTAAAGAGAAGTCAAATGTCAGGCTCCCTTCTCTCCACAGTCATGACCTTTCAAATCATTGTACCTTGATAGTCCTCTAATACCTTCAAGCAGAGGCTGTTTTAACGATTTATTTTCCTGGTTATTTTAGCTCGCTGTTGGGAAGGTTGGTCTGATCTAATCTAGCCCATTATATTGAAGTAGAAGTTGAAGTACTTCTTTAAGGCACTCTAATCCTACATGTTTTGATACCTTGATGCTATGTTCAATAATTTCAAATGCCAAGTTGCTGTTAACCTGTGCCATCTTGAACTCTTGTTTATCAGAAGTTTTTGATCAAGCTACTGAAAATTTTGTATAGCCATAACGAAAACACCTCAATGTTATGTCATATGTTTGCATTTAAAGATAGTTTACAAATTTTACTCATATTATTGCATTTAATCTTTACAACAGTCATGTGATGTCAAATATCATGATTAAGTTCTCCATGGAGACTTATCTGTAATTTTAGTGAATAAAGAAAATCTGTATTAATTTACCTCTAGTTAAGTGAATATTCTGGAAAATGGGAATGAAAAGAAGGGGGTATTTGAGAGCAATTTAACAGGTTAATATTGAGATTAACCCGTTTGTGGAATGCAGAGTGGTGATCATTTTGCTTGGGTAAACGACGAGGATGGTTATTCTTCCTTTAAGTAAAAGGAGATTCTATTAAGAGGAGAATTAAATTTTGGCAGGTTAATAATGAATGGATAAAATTAGTACTGAATTGTGCTCCCAGAAGGGAGAATTACTGTGGGCTAAAAAGAGCTTTGTGGTGGAGTTGAGATTATTATTGGACGTTTTGAGGAGGAGAGGAAATGAGAAGGAGGCAGGGCAATCTTAGGGGAGAATCTAAAATTAGAAACCACTCCCCCTCCTCCTTCCTCCCCTCCTCCTTCCTCCCCTCCTCCTTCTTCCCCTCCTCCTTCTTCCCCTCCTCCTTCTTCCCCTCCTCCTTCTTCCCCTCCTCCTTCTTCCCCTCCTCCTTCTTCCCCTCCTCCTTCTTCTCCTCCTCCTTCCTCTCCTCCTCTCCCCCCACCACCCCTTTCATTAAGGGCTTACAAAGTACCAGGCACTGTGCTATGTTTGTGCATACATCCTTATTTAATTTTCAACCCTATAAGATAGTTAATCTAATGGTCCCTATTTTATTTATTATTTATTTATTTTTGTGAGACAGAGTCTCACTCTGTTGCCCATGCTGGAGTGCAGTGGCATGATCTCGGCTCACTGCAGCCTCCACCGCCCAGGCTCAAGTGATTTTACTCCCTCAGCCTCTGGAGTATCTGGGATTACAGACGTGTGCCATCACGCCTGGCTAATTTTTGTATTTTTAGTAGAGACGGCGTTTCACCGTGTTGGCCAGGCTGGTCTTGAATTCCTGACCTCAGGTGATCCACCTGCCTTAGCCTCCCAGAGTGCTGGGATTACAGGTGTGAGCCACCACGCCCAGCCAGCCAGTGGTCCCTATTTTATAGCCTTGTCCATTTGTCAGGCAATGAAACCACTGCCTTAAAATGGAGCCAACCGCTGAAGCATAACTTTGATAATGAGATTGTTGTCAATTATAGGGGTCCCTGAACTGAGTCCAAGTGAGTGCATTCAGATTTTCACCTGAAGACAACTGGCCATGCAAAGTGCAATTTTCAGAAGATGGTGTAGACAGTAGAGTGCCCGATAGGTGGGATGCTGGTTGGGAGGTGGAGAACGTAGAGCACAGGGCACGGTTGGGGGCCACCTCTGCAGTACACAGTACATAAGGAAGTCCCCCTGCTGGAGCGGAACCAGCAGGAAGAGAAAAGATGGGGCTGATGTGAGATTTCAAAGCCAGAAAAGTCAGGACTTAGTGACTGTGAAGATGTGAAAGGTGACGGAGAGGAATGTTATAAAGAGGGTTTCAAGCCTGGGACAGAAGTTCTCCAAACTGTTGTTTCCTGCCTCTGTCCTTCCTGCATTCCTACCCTCCTAACTCAACAGGTGAGTAGGTGAGCGTCTCTGTCCACGACTCCTTTCAGTTGCTACTCTCAGCCAAGTCTGGCCTGCAGCTCCCCTCAAACATCCTCCTGCCCTAGAATGTTCTCAGCGATTCCCTCCTGTTTTTACTTTCTGTTAAGTGTGTATTTCCAATTTAGTATTGTGATTTCCTCCTTTTTCCCTTTCCCTTTTTTCCTTTTTCTTCCACTCCCAACCTTCCTCTTTTTCATTAATTTTTTTTTAATTTAAAATGTTTTGAACATATAAACTCAGTACTACATTGAGCTTTTTGGGTGCAGGGACCGTGATTTCTGTAGACTTCTATTTCTGTGATCCAGTACTATGTCTAACATGTATTACATGCTGAACATATGAATGAATAAATGGGAAATCCTGGGGAGTGTACCAGAAATAGGTATAAAGACATAAAGTTCATAGCAATATAGAAGTAGAAACCGACTATCATTGATTTTATTGTCAAGAGGTGTTCTTCCTTTTTCTCTTACAAAAATCCATATGGATTTCAGTATATTTCATCTCTGACTACTCCATAGAATAACAGTTAACTCCACAAATAATATATTTTGAGACAATAATAACCAAGAAGAACAAAATCAACAGAACACGCTATACCATAATATTTTTGATGGGTTCTTCTTACAGCTGATTTTACCCCTTCTAGTCCAAATTTTTGCTTGATAAAGGTCCTGCTGGATAAAGATTCTGATAAGCTACAAAATGCCCAAATGTTGGACAGTAGAAGGGAGGGAAAGAGGGAAAACACTTTGCAGAATGGTTCATTTGCTTCATGGAGTTGAATATCATCGAGTCCTAGGGAAAGCCTGCTGTTTTTGGAAAGTGGACAAAAAGAGGGATTGCATAGAGCTTGGAATTTAAGAGAGAAACTGTGGAACAAAGATGTAACGACATTCATTAATTTAGATCTAGATTGAGAATTTTTATATTAGGAAAAAAATGCCAATAAAAACAATTTGCCGCCTCATCTGAAATCCAGCATTATGTGCTTAGAAATTACTGCCTCTGATCATTAGCCGGCAGGCGGGCCTTCCCCAGAGGTCTGTCTTGTGGTAGGGAAATCAAACAGCCATGCTGGCAGCAGTTTTATCCTTTTCTGGAAGGAGATTCGCACTCTCGGCTTTGTGTGTAGTTATCTGACTATCTCTTCTAATGCTGGAGTGTTAGCATGTGCTTAGTAATTTTTAAGCTCCTGGGACCAGACTGGAATTGATTTCATCTGCAATTTGTCTAGTGACAAGCACAATGCTGAAGAAAAATAAATATTCACTATAATTTTTATTAGTTCATGACCCATCATAAATCAAAGCTGTGAAAAGAGTTTAAGTAGCTTTTCCCAATCCCTGGGATTCATAGCTCTCTCAGTTATCACTTGAACAAAGGTGATAGCTGGACACCAGTGATACCCTGGGATGGTGAGCTTAAGGGAATTTAGCTTTTCCCTTCCTGCAAGCTTTAAAATGTGATGTCGTTAGGAGACTAGGGAGGGTAGACTTTTCAGTTTAAATCTCCCCTTTTCCCTTTGGTAGGACTCCGAATTTTAGATTTCATGGATGAATAAGTAACCTTAGTGAGTGATTTGAGACTAGAGTACATAAAAATGTGTCAATAGTTCAGGATGACTGATAGCTCCCTTGTAACCAAAGCCACCTGCAATTTTTTATAGTCATGCAGCATAAGCCATCTTGAACAGATAATCAATTCTATTGCACAAACAGTCACTTCTGTTCACCAAGGAGGCCCACTTTTTCTCTCTTCAAGCAGGGCTATGAAAAAAATAACCTATATAATCCAAATGATCAAAACTTCTGAAATACTGGGGCACTTGTAAAGCTAGGCTTCTCTTCCACCTCTCCATACCTTGCCCGTCTCTTTCTTTTTTAGTGAAAGAACAGTGGACTCACTTATGCAGCTGTAACAAAGATCAGAGAGACCTGTACTGCCATGTGCCCATGCACACATGCAACTACACACACACACCCTTTTAGAAGAGCGTATTTCAGTCCAAGTATCGTTTCTTGCCCAGCCTTTGTCAGAATTTTGATCTCTGGAGGATTAGGAGAATATTTATTTATTTATTTTCCTTACATAAAATATCAAGTGGCATTGCGGCAGCAGCATTACCACAGCAGAAATTCATTCTTCTTCAGCTACTTCCTGCATCTCATTGAGTTAAAAAGAGTGAGGATGTGATTTTGAAATCTGAATTTGTAAAGGGTGTGAGGTCTTCACTGAAAATATGATTGTGAATTAAAGGCTTTTGATTAAAGTAGACTTACAGATAAACACTTCATCTATTTTTCCTCATTCATTAAAATACCATTATACTGTATAGTCTGGTGCTGGATTTTATATTCATTTTTTCAATAGGGTGAACACAGTATCATCATAGTTGCCATTAGATTATTCAATGGTATTTATATGCAAACTAGGTCATTCATTCATTTTACAAATATAGTTTGAGCTTTGAACAGGTAACAGGCACTGATTTTTAGGTGCTGGAACTGGGGCTACAGTATTAAGCCAGACAATTAAGTCCCTACTTTAGGAGCTGACATTTGAAGATGTAGGTTAACAGTTAGGGTCTAATGATTAAAGATCTAAAATTCTCTTAGTAGCAGCTGGGTCTCTAACAAATAATGATTATGGAGGAACCACTAAACCTCAGAATTTAGTAAAGACAAAAACATTGGTAGTAAATGATTCTGGCTTGTTAGTTATAAAATATTATTTTCAGATCTAGATTTTGGCCTAAATCGTGATTATTGTTGCTTAAACTTGGGCACTTTTGCACTAGAGATCAATGTCAAATCCAATGAGTCATAACCTTTCTGGTGTCTGAAAGAAAGCTTGGAAGCCATATAGAGCTCACGTGTTTTAGAGTAAAGTCAATTTGGGGATATGTTTGATTTTCATGTCATCTGTCCCCTAAAAGGACCCTTAAAGGTTGGCCCAATGACTGGGCCAACCACTACCCCCTTCTCAGTTTGAGTCACTGTTTTCGGGTATCATGGTGGCCTAAATAGCAGTTCTTAAAGTTTGGTTCATAAACCCCCGGGGTTCCTTTTCAGTGGATCTGCAGTGTTGATGTATTTTCGTAACAATACTAAGTTGTTATTTGTTTTTTCCATTCTTTTTCTTTCACAAGTATACAGTGAAGTTTTCCACTGTATATTCAGAACCCCTGTATAACTCAGCAAGTCGCTATTTCCTAAACAACCGATGATCGATGTTACAAAATGATATATTGGTAAAAGATCCATTCAAAATGCTAGATAAATTAATGGGTTTTAATATATCAGAGTATGTAAAGTTCACTGATAGGTGTTCCGATTCCTATACAAACTTCCAGTTGTTGAGTTTGGGTGTAGTATCAAAGAAAGAATATCCACAATTATCTGAAAGGCTATTTCATCAATCCTGCATTTGCCAACTAGGCATTTGTGTGGGAATGGGTTTTCTACACACATCAACCAAACATGATGCCACAACAGATTGGATGCAACTATCTTCAGTTATGCTGGGCATTAAAAAAACGCAAAGTAAAACAGTACCACTCTTCTCACTAAATGTTTTAGGAAAATCTAATTATCCCTTATAAAAAAATATATATTATTTATGTTAACAGTAATGGGTTATAAATTCTTTTTTGGAGACGGAGTCTCTCTCTGACTCCCAGGCTGGAGTGCAGTGGTGCAATGTTGGCTCACTGCAACCTCTGCCTTCCAGGTTCTAGCGATTCTCCCACCTCAGCCTCCTGAGTAGCTGGGATTACAGGCATGCACCACTACTCCTGGCTAATTTTTGTATTTTTAGTAGAGAAGGGATTTCTCTGTGTTGGCCAGGCTGGTCTTGACCTGCTGATCTCAAGTGATCCACCCGCTTCGGCCTCCCAAATTGCTGGGATTACAGGCATGAGCCACTGTGCCTGGCCCATATATTCTTTTTTAAGGAGTAACAAATATTAAACATTTATCAGTTTTAATTTGTATCATGATAAATGTTATAAATTATATCATGAGATATGATGTACATGAACTAAAGCACTTTGAAGTCCTCAACAACTTATTTATTTATTTTTTTTTGAGATGGGGTCCTGCTATGTTGCCCTGGCTGATCTCAGACTACTAGGCTCAAGCGATCCTCTCGTCTCAGCCTCCTGTAGCTGGGACTACAGGCATGCGCCACTGTGCCCTGCCTCAGAATTTTTTAAGATTCATAAGGTTATCCTGAGATTAACCAATTTAAGAACCGCCGGTCTAAAGCAATGTGTTAGTAAATCCATCTTCCAGGAAGCTGAAGCGTAGAGAAATTTGCGCTAGTTACATTCCCTGGGGTCTAGGATCTGCTCCCAGTTCTCATTTTGAAGCAGGGTTTCGGGAAGTATAAGTCAGGTCTCCTTAATGGCTCGGGGCTTCCTGTTCTGTGTGCAGTGACAGAGGATAAAGACAAAAAGGCTGTAGTCCATAAAGTCCATTTTTAATTTCCAATCTTATATGCCCCAAAGTCATGAAATCCTCTAGGATAATTTCTGAGTTTCAAACCACAGCTACTGAAGATGGAGCATTTTACAAGGGCTGCATGACATTTATTCTTCTTGGAAGTGCAGCTTGCAGCTCCGCATGCTAAAAGGAAATCAAAACTGCTTATCTGAAACATCTTTTATCATCCATTTGGAAACGAAGAATTCAGCCTGCTCTGCTTCCACCCCTGTAGGAAGCTACACCAAGCTGACTTCTCAGTCTGGACTTGTTCTCAAGGTCACCTATGTAATTTTTTTTCAAAGCTTCAGTGTCCTTAGTATTCTCAGAGATAATAGCACCAAACCCATCAGTCATTTCCTTGTCCTCAATTTTCTTTTTGGCTTCCTGCAATTTTAATCCCAAGTCCTTGCAATTCCTTTCTGTAGAGGCTTAAGTGGCCCCATTTATGACCAATTTACAGCTAATATTTGATTCATTCTTTTAAAATAAGCCAAACAGTCCTCTGCTCTACAGGCCTTGTAGCTTTGGACTTAATAAAATCAAAGGCCTGATAGTGGGGTAAACTGATATGCTTTTTATGATTTTCGAAGAAAAATTAAGAGATCCTTAGAAATTGGAAGGAGGTAGATATTTGTTAATTTCAGAATCTAGTGCTGTTGTTAATAAAGGGAAAGAAATAGCTCTTTCTTCTGTATTGCACATTGAACCAATTTTTATAAAGCGGGGAGAGGGAGGGGTGAGGAGGATAGATGAGTAAAGAAATCAGAAATTTTTCTGGGGCCTGCTTACTTGTAACCTCCTTTGGATGCCTTATCTCTGGCCCCTTCTGTAAGCTGATCCAGCTCATGTCAGCATGACACATGAACCATGCAAAGCTTCTTTTTAAAGAGATTTTAATTCCTGCTTGACAGGCTAGGCTGAAGCCCATGAGTGACAATAGATTTTTTTTTCTCTTAAAACAGAGTGAAAGCCACAGTGCACCTGGTATTTCATTGAACACCAGGTTGTGTGTGTGTGTGTGTGTGTATAATATTTCTGGGAAGGAAAAAAACAGTTTAAAAACCTAAGTAATAAAATGTTCAGTTTGCCAGGAGTTATGCTTTAAGAAAAGATATCCACCGTTTTTGGCCTGCCTGAAGACTGTTTATGCCCTTAAATCTGTTTTAAATCTTTTAAGAGTTTTATCACTTTCCCCCTTCTTGTAAAAGTAGCTCATTGCTTTATTTTTTTATTCTAGTCTGAAATTGCATCTTTAATTATCTCCTGTGTGGTAAAGTATCAAACTCTCACATTTCATGTGATGAATTTCATCTCTTATACCCAAGAAGTTTGGGGGAACTGACTATATCCAATATCTTGGGGGAGAATAGCTAGAAACTGGGACCATCCTTAAGCATTGTATGAGGCCCAATGCAGAAAGACAAGGAAGTACTTTAGGAGTTGCCTAAATGTTCTCTTGCAAATATAAAATGAGCTTTATTTTATTTATGACTGCCTGAGTGAGTTCGGACAGCTATAACAAAGTACCCTAGAGTGTGTTGCTTATAAACAAGAGAAATTTATTTCTGATTGTTTTGGAAGCTGAAAGTCTGAGATCAGGGTGCCAGCATGGTTGCATTCTGATGAGTGCCCTCTTCGTGGCTGCAGATTGTCAACTTCTTGTATCCTCACATGGCAGAAAGTGAGTGAGAGCTTTCTGGGTCTCTTTTATAAGGGCACTAATTCCATTCATGAGGACTCCACCCTCATGCCCTGATCACTTCCCAAAGGCCCCACCTCCTAATACCATCACACCAGGGGATAGGATTTCAACATAGGAATTTTGGGGGCCAGAGCATTCCATCCATACTAATGACCATAGCACATTTGAAATAGCTCTCACTTTCCACTGGTATTGCGCATTGCGAACTACTCAAAGGACTGAAGGTGATAGGGATGACTCCGATAATGGAGGTAGTGATGGTGGTAGCATGATGAAGGTGGTGGTAATAGGGGCGTCTTCCTTTATCAAATGGGGCACTGGACTTTGTGTGAATCACTTCCCATACTTTTTTCTCATTTAATTTGCACACCAGCTCTGAGAACTTAGGTGTCATTGTCTCCATTTTACAGATGAGAGATAGAGGCTTAGAGAAGTTCAGTGACCTACTCCCTCCCAAAGCCATCCAGCCCAGTAATGGTGGAGCAGGATTAGAATTTATACTGATGACAAAGCCCAGCCTCATAACCCCCACTCCAGAGGTGCTTGTCTTCCTCAGGTATAGGCAGGGTAGGGATTTAATTCCTCTTTCAGGGAAAACTAAGACCCCAAAAGCTTGAATGATGCTTAGTGATACGCTTAATGTGAATGAACTTGGAGCCAGAGTGGAAAGCATCTTACCATGCTGGTTCAACCAGCTTCTGAACAGAAGCTGTCTATGTACGTCAAAGGGAAAGGAGCCACTTGTAATTGTATAGCACACCTCAGGAGTAGTGTTTTCACAAGTACTGTCTTGATCTTCCCAGTGCTTATGAGGTAGGTAGGTCTTATTGTGTCCATTTTGCATTTCTTCTTACCTATACTCTGTTGCTGGATGCTAATTATGATGACTTGGAGAAATTACAGAATACTAAAGTAAGGAACAGTTTCTGGTTATATGAACTATTTTTATAGTTAAGCATTTGAGTGTTTTTATTAATGTTCTCATGGAAGATACTGTTTCTTCTAGTGATTTGAAGTAAGCTTGCTACATTCATGTTTAGACATTTTTCTTATGGGTGCTTGTGACATTACGTACTTCTCAGTGGTCATATTTTAAAATTGTATGTTATAATCAGGCACGGTGGCTCATGTTTATCATCCCAGCACTTTGGGTGGCTGAGGTGGGAAGATTGTCTGAGGCCAGGAGTTTGAGACCAGCGCGGGCAACATAGTGAGACCCCCTATCTCTCCAGAAAAAAAATTCTTTTTTTTTTTCTTTTTAAATTAGCTGGGCATGGTGGCATGTGCCTGTGGTCCCAGCTACTTGGGAGGCTGAGGAGGGAGGACTGTTTGATCCCAGCAGTTCCAAGATGCAGTGAGCTATGATTGTGCCACTGCATTCTAGCCTGGGTGACAGAGTGAGACCCTGTCTGGAAAAAAAATTGTGTTTTACTTTTGCAAAACATTTTCAAAAGTAACATTGCATAATGATCTGGAAAGTCAGAAACTCCAGGGTTGGATTGTGCTTTGCTACTGATTAATTCCGGGACCTTGAGCAAGACCTGTGACCTTTCTGGGCCCCACTTTCCCCATCTTCACTATAATGGGGATGGGTGTTCAGTAAGGATTCACTAGAATGTCTTTGATCTGTTTTGAAAGAGCCACACATGGTTCTTAAAGCTTTTGTTACCCAATAATATATACATCAAAAAATTTTTGTAGTAAAGATGTGAACAATTGTGTGTCCTATACACATTGAAAGATGACAAGCCATTGGAAGACTGCTTTAAACTCTGGTATCTGCTATGGCCAGGGAGTGAGCTGTTGTGTTGATAATTTAGCCTGATTATATTTTGTTCATAAATAGATTACCAATTCTTAAAAAGTTGGTATTGCCGGCCCTCCTTCCTTCCTTCTTCCTTTCTACCTTCCGTTTGTCAAAAAGCCATTAGGCAGGTCTCAGCAAGGAGACCTATCAGGGCAAATAAGTAAATATACTGAAGATAATGGGAGCCAGACTTCTTACTGTTGGAGAATAGTTACAGATATAAAAAAGGGGAGAGCCAGAATGAACCCTGTATTGTGGATAGGAATTTAAGGTTTCATTGTGAACGTGTGGATTTTGATATGTAGAAATTTCATAGATATAGAAATTTCAGTGTAGAAATAATATAAACGTTAAAGTGTATGCATGTCTATGAATAAATGCACATACACACATACACACACACACACACACACACACACACACCCCCCACACACACCCATTTCCTAACTCTGTTCACTGAAAGGGCCAGGATGTAGTGACAGCCCAGTAAATATGAGCACACCTGCTACCCAGATTGTAGTTTCTAAATTCCAGTTTTTGCTTAAAGCAACTATGGGTCTTTGAAAAAAATGTCTGGTTCTAGAGCTGGGAAAGAAAAGGTACAAGATGAGCCCTGAATGTCTTGTGACAGAAGATATAGAAACTCTGAAAGAATAATGGGAGACGCCACAAGGACACAGCAGTCAGCTTCAAGGGATTCTCACTAAACCCATGTGAAACCTGGAACAATTTGAGCACCAGAATGACAATGATAGTTACAGATTACATCCCACTAAACAAGAAATACATGAATCTACACTTGCATAAATAAATAAATGCATAAAAATGTGGGGAGAGGAGAAAGTTCTTCCTTAAAATAGAACGCTGTGTGATATACAGAAGGAATTCTGGAATTGGAGAGATTACCATTTGGCAGTCATCATAGTAATAATTAATCCAGGTAAGAAACATCAACGGATGCTAACAATAATGAATACAAGTTGGATGAGGATCAGAATCTTTATATAATCATAAAGTATCTGTCCACAAATCCTTGTGCATTTTAAGGGGCAACACAGGAGCTTTACTGGAGAAACTTGGAAGACACAACCTTACTCAAGTGATCAAAGTTCTCATCAGCAGTGATGGGACACACAGTGTTCTATGTCACTTGATGGGATGCAATGAGAAGAACACAGCATCTCTTCCAAACAATGCAATCTTCAGATCTTTTCATGAGAAAATATCTCTAATCCTAGTTCAGGGGCGTTTTACAAAATAATTCACCTGCTGCCTTCCATAATATAAAGGTTGTGAAGGTCAAGGATACTATTCCAGATCAAAGGAGATGGAAGAGCGATGACAACTAAATAGAAAGTGTGATCCTGAAATGGATCCTTTGACTAGAAAGAGCATTACTGGGAAAGTTGGCCTAACTCGAATTGGGGTCTCCCAGTGAAGGATACATGAGAGTTCTTTGAACAGCTTGTGCAACATTTCTGTAAGCTTGAAATTCTTTTGACACAAAAAGTAAGACATAATTTGTACAGGAAGGCTTAGCTTTTAGTTTTAATTTTACAAAGTTAAAAGGAATAGTTTCTGAATTCTTTTTTATTTTGGATTTTTGTAAGAATCCTATGGGGTATAATTATTAAATTAGACTTTTAGTTCTGGATTTCTGTGGTGGTTGTGCAGAGAAGAATATTGTTTTATGAGATAGGGACTTTTCTGGATGTGTGATATCATTTGTGTAATTACGGAAATTCATTCAGATTTGACTGGGAAAGCAGTTGGAAACTTGGAGTGTCTTAAGGCCATTGTTAGATATTTATGAGGCATTTTAGATTAATGGGATTATGAGTTGGTGTTCTGGAGTCATGCTTCCTGAGCTCAAATCCTGCCTCCACCACTTACCAGTGTGTGGCTTTGAGCAAGTGAACTAACCTCTCTGTTTCTTACATCATCTATAAAATGTAGGTAACCATAGCACCTATCTCATGTGGCTATTGTGCAGACCATCTGATTAATACCGGTAGAGTGCTGAGAAGAGTACTGGCTTAGAGTAAATGCTATGTCGTTATTATTATCATCATTATATATTATTGCTGCTGCTGCTGTTACTGTTACAATATGGATATAATTTGTGTAGCACAGGGAGGGGAACATCACACACTGGGGCCTGTCAGGGAGTTGGGGGAAAGGGGAGGGAGAGCATTAGAACAAATATCTAATGCATGCAGGGCTTAAAACCTAGATGACAGCCCAGGTGCAGTGGCTCATGCCTGTAATTCCAGCACTTTGGGAGGCGGGTGGATCACGGGGTCAGGCGTTCGAGACCAGCTTGGCCAACATAGTGAAATGCCATCTCTACTAAAGTTACAAAAAATTAACCGGGCGTGGTGGTGGGCGCCTGTAATCCCAGCTATTCGGGAGGCTGAGGCAAGAGAATTGCTTGAACCTGGGAGGCAGAGGTTGCAGTGAGCCGAGACCGCACCACTGCACTTCAGCCCAGGTGACAGTGCGAGACTCTGTCTCAAAACAAAAAACAAAAAACAAAAAAACCCTAGATGACGGGTTGATAGGTGCAGCAAACCACCATAGCACATGTATACCTATGTGACAAACCTGCATGTTCAGCACATGTATCCCAGAACTTAAAGTAAAATTTAAAAAAAAGAAAAAATAAATAAAAAGGACATTTCCAAAGCAAAGAAAAAAAAATTGTGTAGCAAAGGCTAGAGAAACTGGCTAAGAGAAATTTCCTATGGCAATTTGTTGGAAGTTTGATTCTTTCTCACGCTCTGATGATAGAAAGGCCGTAATGCCATTGATTTTGGATACTAACACTGTGTACTGATCCTTTAAGATGCTTTCTTATTTGCAAAGCCAGCTTCCACGCCCAAGCACACCTTAGAGTTTCTTTACCCTTTATACAGGCAAAGGCACACATTTTAAACGTTCAAGAAGAACAGCAGAAACAAGACAGGATCAAAGCAAAATACAAAGAAAACAAGATTGGAGAATCAGAGAATCAAGATCCAAGGAAAAATGTTTACTTTGGCAGAAATACCTAGAAAATATAGTGACTGCAGGCCTTGTTTCAAGTTCACATATTGAATCTCAACATGTTTACTTATTTGCAAGTGTAAGTAAATGTATGCAGCACACTGAGTTAGCAAACATGGGATATCCCTGAAGGAGGGAGATGTACAGCTCATCAGTGTTGTCCACAGTGCACCCAGCATCCTACCACTTGCTCCGGGCTCTCCAGCCTGTTCCTTTTCCTGAAAGGGCTTCCAGTCAAGCTCATGCTATATTATTATATATAAGACCTAGGGAATATTGAGCATTATGCATTTTTATTTCTTTATGCTTTGCTTTGTTTCTAAAAGGGTTCAAATGAACAAATCGAATTGTCTGTTATCCTAAGAAATGCTAAATTGTCCAGAATAGACCTGCATTAACAAAGTGTAAAGTGAAACAAGAGACCAGTTGGCAGAGAGAGAAAAGAGAGAGATTTCGACTAAAGCCTAGAAGAATAGGTAATGAATGACTACTCAGAAAGAAGGTAACAGATTGGTGATGGAGGAGGTCAGGGGTTTCACAGTGTATGCTTCTTTTTTACAACTAAAAGCACATTTCTGGTCATCTAGCCCAAAAGCCTAAGTTTTTAGGCACAGGAGAGTTTCAGATATGTCGTGAACACATAGCCCATTGCTTGGTCCTCTGTCTCAAATACCCAGGTTGTCTACCCTTGATTCAGTCTCTTGTCACTATCTCACCCTGACTATAGTATTTTGAATTTTAGATGACATTTACATATTTTTGAGAAGCACTAGCAATCAAATGGGAATAAACCATATAGGATTCCTCATACCATCTAAGTTTTAAAACTTTTTCCTAGAGTATATGGACCTATGTCAAGACAGTGTGTTAAGGTTGTTCTGTGATTAAGAACTCAGAACCTAGAGCCAGAATCCTTGGGTATAAATTGTGACTGTCATTTACTAGCTGTGTTCCATTTTCTTCATCCGCAAAATGACATCAATGATAAGAAACAAATATGGGCCAGGCACGGTGTCTCATTTTTGTAATCCCAGAACTTTGGCAGGCTAAGGCGGGCAGATCACTTGAGGTCAGGAGTTCAAGACCAGCCTGACCAACATGACAAAACCCTATCTCTACTAAAAATATAAAAATTAATTAGGCATGGTGGTGCGCACCTGTAGTCCCAGCTACTCAGGAGGCTGAGACAGGAGAATCGCTTGAACCTGGGAGAAGGAGGTTGCAGTGAGCTGAGATCACACCACTGTACTCCAGCCTGGGCCACAGAGCGAGACTTCATCTCAAAAACAAAACAAAAAAAAGAGACAAATGTAGTTACATACAGCAACATAGGAAGCTTTCAAAAAATGTTAACTAGTATGTATTTGCCTAATGAGTAGAAATAAAAAACTTCAGTACTATTTGGAGACTTGGTATGTTTACATGATTCAGTAATAACTACACAGCACCTTTCCTTCATACAAAGTTCTAATAAATTATTGCTTTTTCTGTAGGTAAAATCTACTGGTGGAGTCACTCCATTATTCTTATCTGTGGAGATCTAGATCTTGATTTGAAAGTTTCTGAGAAAATCTTCAGCTCAGACTTGAGGGTCAACTTTACCAGCTGAAGGTAAAAGCTAATTTTATTCATTTAAGTGTGAATTGCTCATTACTGAAGCATAGAAAATAAAGATCATTAACATGTCTTAACTAGAACATATCAAATAGAATCCTGGTTTCTTGATGTTGAAAAAATTATGAAATACTAATAGAAACAGAGAAAAATGGCCAGGCGCGGTGGCTCACACCTGTAATTCCAGCACTTTGGGAGGCCCAGGCGGGCAGATCACCTGAGGTCAGGAGTTCGAGACCAGCCTGGCCAACATGGTGAAACCCTGTCTCTACTAAAAAATACAAAAATTAGCTGGGCGTGGTGGTAGGCGCCTTAATCCCAGCTACTTGGGAGGCAGAGGCAGAAGAATCGTTTGAACCCGGGAGGCGGAGGTTGCAGTGAGCCAAGATCGAGCCATTGCACTCAAGCCTGGGGTGACAAGGGCGAGACTTCTTTCAAAAAAAAAACAAAAAACAAAAAACAACAAAAAAACCCAGAAAAATAAGATACAATGAATAAGGAGAAAAGCTCGTTTCCTCTTGTGGTTATGGAAAGCTTTATAATAAGCATCTTCAAATCCATTTTTATTTTATTTTATTTTTGGAGACAGGGTCTCACTCTGATACTCAGGCTGCAGTGCAAGTGGCATGATCCTAGCTCACCACGGCCTTAAACTCCTAGGCTCAAGTGACCCTCTCACCTCAGCCTCTCAAAGAGCTGGGATGGCAGGAACATGCCACCACATCGAGCTAAGTTTTTTCATTTTTTAAAATAGAGACAGGGTTCTCAGCATGTTGCCTAGGCTGGTCTCAAACTCCTGCCTCAGCCTCCCAAATTGCTGGGATTACAGGTGTGAACCACCGCACCTGGCCTCATATCCATTTTTTATATCTACAGTACCCAGTTGTTGAAATAATCTTAACATCTAAGGAAAACAAATAAACTAAGAAACAGTCTACTGCAGGACTGGAGCAGTTGGGGAACGGAATAGGAGAGTACCAAAAAAGATGCAAATGTTCCTATAAAAACCAGGAGGCAGTAAGCCTGCTGCCTGGAGCCAGGAGACTGGACAGTGGAGAAAATCTCTTCTCAGATGCTCCTATTCATTTGATGGCTAAGTAAATTATTTTGTAGTGTTAAACATGGACGTTGTTGTTGTTTTTAAATGGTGGGAACCTTCCAATAACTGGCTTATTTTCTCATCGGTCTGTGTCTCCTATTCTTCAGAGGTTGTTCTTAACGTCCTCCATTCACCTCAAATTTCCTACCCCTCCAGGTTGCCAGTTACTGCCAGTCAGAAAAGAAGCTTTAGATGTCAACTCCCTCAAATTTTGCCTCCAGGCCTGCACAATTAACCTGTACTCACATTCAGTGCTTTGTCACTAGTGAAGGGCAAACCACATCCCAGTCCCACTTTGTTCCTTATTCTCCTGCTCTGGAACCACCTCCTCCTCCCTGCTCCTGAACCACCTCCTTCTTCCTGCTCTGAAACTGCTGAAACGCACCTCCTTCATCTGGCTTTGGAACCACCTCCTTCTTCCTGTTCTGCAGCCTGCCTCCTTCTTCCTGCTCTGGAACCTGCCTTCTCCTCCTTCCTGCTCTGAAACTGCCAAAACCTACCTCCGTGTTCCTGCTCTGGAACCACCTCCCTTTTCTTGTTCTGGAACCTGCCTTCTCCTTCATCTTGCACTGGGATTTGCCGCCTCCTTCCTGCTCTGGAACCAGCCTCCTCCTTCCTGCTCTGGAACCCACCTCCTCCTCCCTGCTCTGGAATCTGCCTTCTCCTCCTTCCTGCACTGGGGTCTGCCTGCTCTTTCCTGCTCTGGAAACTGCCTTCTCCTTCATCTTGCACTGGGATCTGCCTCCTCCTTCCTGCTCTGGAAACTGCCTCCTCCTCCTCCTTCCTGCACTGGGGTCTGCCTCCTCCTTCCTGCTCTGGAACCTGCCTTCTCCTTCATCTTGCACTGGGATCTGCCTTCCCTTCCTGCTCTGGAACCTGCCTTCTCTTTCATGTTGCACTGGGGTCTGGCTCCTCCTTCCTGCTCTGGAAACTGCCTTCTCCTTCATCTTGCCCTGAAATCTGTCTCCTTCTTCCTGCTCTGGAACCTGCTACTCCTTCTTCCTGCTCTGAAACTGCTGAAACTCGCCTCTGTATTCCTGTTCTAGAGCCACCTACTTCTTCCCGAGCTGGAACCTGCCTCTTCCTTCTGGCACTGGGATCTGACTCCTCCTTCCTGCTCTGAAAACTGCCTCCTCCTTCTTCCTGCCCTGGAACCTGCCTCCTCCTTCCTGAGCTGGGAACTGCCTTCTTCCTCCTGCTCTGAAACTGCCAAAATCCACCTTCACATTTCTGCTCTGGAACCAACTCCCTCTTCTTGCTCTGGAACCTGCCTCCTCTTTTCTGCTCTGGAACCTGTCTTCTCCTTCCTGCTCTAGGATCTACCTCCTCCTCCTTCCTGCACTGGGATCTGCTTGCTCCTTCCTGCTTTGGAAACTGCTTCCTCCTTCCTGCTCTGGAACCTGCCTCCTCTTTCTTGTTCTGGAACCCACCTCCTCTTTACTACTTTGGGATCTGCCTCCTCCTTCCTGCTTTGGAACCTGCCTCCTCCTTCCTGTGCTGGAACCTACCTCCTCCTTCCTGCTCTGGATCCCACCTCCTCCTTTCTGCTTTGGGACCTGCCGCCTCCTTCCTACTCTGGGATCTGCCTTCTCCTTCCTGCTCTGGAACCTGCCTCCTCTTTGCTACTCTGGGATCTGCCTTCTCCTTTCTGTTCTGGAACCTGCCTCCTCCTTCCTGCACTGGAACCTGCCTCCTCCTTCCTGATCTGGGATCTTCCTCCCGCTTCCTGCTCTGAGACCTACCTCCTCTTCCTGCTCTGGAACCTGTGTCTTCCTTCTTGTGCTGGAGCCCACCTCAGTTTCTCCTTTCTCCTTATCAGCTATCATTTTTGTCACTTCCCCCTTCTTTTTCTTCCTTTTGATGCCTTTGTTCAATATTTTCACATATTCACTATTATTTTTTCTCTTTTTTAATTAAGATTATTCATATGCCACACAATGTATCATTTTCACATGTAGAATTCAGTGGTTTTTAGTATATTCACAAAATTGCATGACTCTTCATGATCTAAAATTCCATGATCTAATTTCAGAATTTTGTCATCACCTCAGTGAGAAACCCCATACCCATTAGTAGGTGCTCCCCATTTTCCTCTTCTTCTTAGTCCCTGGAAACCACTAATCTACTTTCTGTATCTAAGGATTTGCCTGTTTTGGGCATTTTATGTAAATGGAATCATACAATTTGTAACCTTTTGTATCTGACTTTTTTCACTTAGTATAAATTTTCAAGGTTTGTCCATGTTCATACATGTGGTAGCATGAATTGCCATTTCATTCTCTTTTATGACTGAATAATACTCCATTTTGGAATGCAGCATATTTTGTTCATTGATTCATCAGTTGAGAGACATTTGAATTGTTTCTACTTTTTGACTGTTTAGAATAATGCTGCTATGAACATTCATGTCCAAGTTTTTGTGTGGATGTATGTTTTCGGTCCTCTTGGTTATATATTTAGGAGTGACATTTCTGGGTCATAGGGTAATTCTATGCCTAACATTCTGAGGAACTGCCAAACTGTCTTCCAAAGTGGCTGTGCCCTTTTACCTTCTCACCAGCAATGTACGAGGTTTCCAATTCCTCTATATCCTTCCCATTACTGATTATTGTCAGTCTTTTAAAATATAGCCATCCTAGTGGATGCAAAGTGGTTACTTATTTCCTAGTCTCTCTTGGACATCACTTCCTTTGGGGAATTGTTCTGAACACCCTGAAATCCTTTCTCTTCAGGCTGTGTTAAATGTCCCTGTATTAGTCCATTTTCACACTGTTGATAAAGACATACCTGAGACTGGGTAATTTATAAAGAAAAAGAGGTTTGATGGACTCACAGTTCCATATGGCTGGGGAGGCCTCACAATCATGGTGGAAGGCGAAAGGCACTTCTTACATGGCGGTGTCAAGAGAGAATGAGAGAACCAAACAAAAGGGGTTTCCCTGTATAAAAAACCATCAGGTCTTCTGAGACTTACTACCATGAGAACAGTATGGGGGAAACTGTCCCAATGGTTCAATTATCTCCCACCGGCTCTCTCTCATAACACATGGGAATTGTGGGAACTACAATTCAAGATGAGGTTTGGGTAGGAACACAGCCAAACCATATTAATCCCCCCTGTATATTTCTCAGGCACCCTGTCCTTGTAGCATCCATCATCACACTGAATTATCATTGTCTATTAACTTTATCTCCTCCATTAGAGTATGAACCTGTTAGATAGAGTACCAAAATATTCCTGTGGTATTTCCTAGGTTAACACAATGCCTGACACAGTTATTTAGTCTCATCTTTTTGTCAGGAGTGGTATGGTGGGAGACTTATAGACTAGACTTCATAGCATTATTACCTAAGCCCCTAAATACAAGAATGAAAATATTCATTAGTATTGTTTGTTAGTTGATATCTAGTTAGAAGGAGAAGACAGGATTTTTTAGCCTATGTGTTTGACTTTTTATTTTTATTTTATTTTATTTTGTGATGGAGTTTCGTGTTTGTTGCTCAGGCTGGAGTGCAATGGTGCAATCTCGGCTCACCGCAACCTCTGCCTCCCAGGTTCAAGCGATTCTCCTGCCTCAGCCTCCCAAGTAGCTGGGATTACAAGCATGTGCCACCATGCCCGGCCAATTTTGTATTTTTGGTAGAGATGGGGTTTCTCCATGTTGGTCAGGCTGGTCTCAAACTCCCGACCTCAGGTGATCTGCCTGCCTTGGCCTCCCAAAGTGCTGGGATTACAGGCATGAGCCACCGCACCCACCCGTGTTTGACTTTTTATGAAGTTATTTTTTCTTTACTGTTGTACTAATACAGTACTGTCCTTTAATTCACCAAGAAGTTGGAAGGAAAGAAATAGGGATGCTATAAAATATCACCATAGGGGGAAAATGCCTGGGTGATTTTAAAAGTATAAATCAATTAGCCATTTTTACTTTGATTTTTTAAAAGCTTGACTGATTGAGAACTGTTTCTTTTAAAAAAGAAAATACCAGTTCCATAGATTAGACTTTAAAGATTTCACATGCAGATAGAAGTCAAGAACGGTAAAGTTTATGGATCTTCAAAAATGATGTGTTTCACTGTAAGTATCAAAAATCTGAGATTCATTTACATCAGGGTTGAACAGATAGGGATCAGTGCCGGGTAACAAAAGCTGGAAGTGGAATTAAACATAATTAAAGACTTTAAATATAAGTTTGAATTAAAAAGTACATCCGGCTTGAAGGCTGACTCATACTAAATTATAGTGCCCTATGCGTAAGTACAGATTAAAAGGCATATTTAATTAGTTCTTTTAAGAATTTCTCCCCACAAACCTATTGGTTTTTATAATCAACATTTAGATAATGTTGTTTCTTTTTTTTTTCCTGATGCCAGAAAGATTTGTTTTAGCATTTTAGATTTTTCTTAATTGAAATGAAGTTATGCTTGGACTAGATAGCCATTCTCTTATTTGACAGTGTTTTCAGTGTATTCTTGGAAATTCTATCCAGCTTCTTTTCTATGGTTTTTATATGCTTCTGGAACAACGAGGAAATAGGGGAGGGAAAGAAAGAGAGAAACAAATGTAAGTTGGACCCAGATCAGTGAGATAGTATCAAATGGGGCCAAAATGAATTTGGCAGATGCTCTTCTCATGTTTCCCACTGGAGCATGCACATATTGTTACTTGGAATACCACTTGCATTTCTTTCATTCTTGTAAGATTTTTCTTCAGCTTCAGTAACAAACTTTAACTTTAAATAGGAGCCAGGAAGGAATATTGAGAATTTTTAAAAAATGTGTAAATGTACTTAGAAAGGATATTTTGCCATGAAGGTTTGGTTGGTAAAGGATATAATAGATGCCTTTTAAGCGTAGGAATGAAAGTGTGGAGGGCCAGAGATAGTGGAAGGTGTGTCGTGTTTAGAGATCTGAGTTTGAATCCTCATTTTGCCACTTAATAGTGGCATGACTTTGGCAAAGTAAACTTTAAGAGTCTATCTTTCCTTATTTATAAAATGAGAAGATCCATTTTTACTCTATAGTGCTGATAGTAAGTGAATTTAGTGACAGATAGAAAACATTCAATGAATGATTGCTGTTTCAAAATTGTCATATTTACTAAAAAAAAGTAATTCTTAGGATAAAAAAGTAAATTTTCTTATCAAATGTTCTTTTAATGTCAGGTAGGCATTTCAGTTTCATGATGTTCATTGTAGATATTACTGGTAGCTGTATTTCCTTGGTTCCTGTATGTCAGCGTGGTAGACAAAGACAAAAATGAGAAAACCTTGAATGTGGGAGCACACGAATTTATATAGATGAAATTGTACAGTACCATGTACTTCATTAATATGCACTTAATGAAAGTTTATTAAAATTGAATGAGAGTTGAAGGTATTCAATATCATTTTATTTCTTGCAGTATTTAGGTTACTGCAGACAACTGAGAATTAGCTTTTTTTTTTTTTGTGAGACTGAGTCTCGCTCTGTTGCCCAGGCTGGAGTGCAGCAGCGCGATCTCAGCTCACTGCAAGCTCCGCCTCCCGGGTTCACACCATTCTCCTGCCTCAGCCTCCCCAGTAGCTGGGACTACAGGCGCCCGCCAACACGCCCAGCTAATTTTTTGTATTTTTAGTAGAGACGGGGTCTCACCGTGTTAGCCAGGATGGTCTCAATCTCCTGACCTCGTGATCCGCCTGCCTCGACCTCCCAAAGTGCTGGGATTACAGGCGTGAGCCACCGCGCCTGGCCAAGAATTAGCTTTTTTTTTTTTTTTTTAAATATATGTATCCAAAGGAGAAAGATGCTGTATAACTTTCCAAAATGTCTGTTCCCTTACTTACAAAAGATACTTTTAAGTTTAAAGGAATCTTAGGCTGCAAGGAGGTGCAAAACTTACAGAGTTTTCATGTACCCTTCACCCAGCTTCCCCATGATACTACTATCTTTAATATCCACAGTACCATTATTAAAACCAGGAAATTGACATTGGTAATTTACCCCTTCAATGCTTAACCCATTTTAGCGTTTTTAAGTGGAGGAAATTCTTTTTGATGTCTTGCTTAATCAATTTTCACCTACATATACTTTTTGAGTGTCAGTATGCTGAACAGAAAGATATTTTGAAATCAGAAACCCTTAGGCTCAAATCTTGGCTCTGCCTCTTATTGCTATGCAACACAGGGGAGCTTTCTTAGCGTCGATGATGGTCTGTTTCTTCATTTGTAAAAGGTGCTATCACTTACCTTGCAGAGTTGGCATAAGGATTAGCAATTGTGTATTGTCAAGAGCCTTTTCAATAAATGATGGCTTTTGGAATAACTGTTCTCTTGCTATGTTTTCATCAAAAATTGAAAAGAGCTGGCCATTATCTTTAACATAGCATGTGTACTTTGTGGACACCTATCATTTCAGGACCACTAACTGGTAAATATGCTAAAACAACTTCATGGTTCCTGTAGCCCCCTGCTTGTTTTGCTCCCTGGTCACCCACTTTATCTGCACCTTTTTTTCTGGCCTATAGACCAAAAGCCACTCCTCTCTGTGTATAGATTATATTTCTTCTGCCTTTTGTTATATGAATTCTAGGAAATGTAGTTCTTTTTAGTTTTTTGTTTGTTTTCTTTTATATAACCTCTTCCAACTTAGTTCTGTTTTACAAGCAGTTGATGATAGCCCTAGGTAGATGCCTGCTTCAAACTCAGGCTGATACGGCTGGCTCTTGAGTATCCCTGTACAAACGCTGCCCTTCAGGGAACATCGTGTCCAGGGCTGCTGCCTCCCTCCGTTTGCAGACCTGGTGCTCTGCGTCTAAAACTGGTCACTCCTTCTCATCTCTCCACTTGAGCACAGCCGCAAAGGTAGAAACAGAGTTCTGCACCCCACTTTTTGCTGCACCTCAGTTAGCCCAGGAACATCTACCCCTATTTAGCTCAGAAGTGTGTAGTCCTGTTTAAATACTTAAAATTTGCTATGTTCTGTATTGGCCAAGAAATGTTTTCTGGTAAGAGCTTCTGGTAGGAAGAGGACCTAAAGCTGCCCTCACAAGACGATATTTGGTTCATTTGAAATAGAAAGTTTTGTTTGCTTTTAATTTTTATTTACTGAACTGAAAATTGGAAACAGCCCATTGACTTTTCTATCTTATACAGCATCTCCTCCTACACATATTTAGTTTCCTGCTCCCTTGAAATCTGGGCGACCTACTCCTGTTTTCAAGTTTTTTCTATTTTATTATTTTGGTCCTTAGCATTTCTGCCTTTTTTGTATCTTCCAACTTTCCATTTCAAAAGAGAAGGATCATATTTTTATATATTTACATCCCGTTTGAATGTGTTTAAGGAACGCTTAGAAATGTTCCTTTATGTTTTAAAATATCCCTTCTGCTAAAGCAAGTAGCATATCATTTCCTGCTTTAGTTGCGGCCTCAGTCTGACAGGCCAGGGCTAAGTAAGGGTGAAAAGTTCACCGTCCGGAAGTGCTGTTGAGGTCAGAATCACGTGATGAGGAGCCGACCCAGACTCCCGGTAATTCCCTGAGAATGTGAATCTTTGGGAGAAGGAGCACAAGAGAGAGCTTTTTCTCAAGTCGGCTGCCTGTGCTCGGGCTCTTGCTTACAATTCTTAGTTTTATGGCACTATTCTTCTTCTTCTTCAAGGAACTCACTGTAATGCCTTTATTATTGTCTACATCAGTGTTTTAAAAAGTAAAGTTGTAACGCATTGCTAGGTTATGCAATCAATTGTGTGGACAGAGATCAGCCTTAAAAAATAAAAAAGGAAACAGGAAATGTAAACAGAGTGCATTATATGGAATAAGAATATGTGTATTTTGTAAAACTCTTGTTTGATACATAGATCCGTACACATAGACACACACAATCTCATAGGTCTCTATTGATTTGCGTATGGGTACACGCTGGCAGGCGTACATTCTCCTTCATCCTCATTCCTAGTCATTTGAAAACTCAGTCATTCAAAATGCATGCCCTTGCCAGTGGATGTGTTCTTATAAATTTCACATAGTTTCATATTTGGAATTTATTGTAACTGCATTTTAATTTATGTGAATATGAGTTATATATCTTATTTTGTTTCTTTGTATTTTCTCCACTCAGTATTCTATTTTAAGGTCCATGGATATTGCTATGTGTACATCTAATCCATTGCATCCAAATGCCCATAGTTGTTGAAGTGCGTCTAGAATACATTTTACTTCTGTTCTCTCCCAGGGATGGACCCCTATATTGTCTCCATCTCACCTCACCATGAACACAACTACTGTGAAAAGCCTCAGATACATCCCTTACTGGAAAGTACCAAGGGGAATTTATTTGGGTTCTAGCCTAATAGTAGACTTGCTGAGCCAGAGGGCATAGGTACCCAGCTCAGATACTGTATACAGTATAATTTCAAAAAGTATACTGATTACCTCCGGAATGATTCACCAGTCAAAGCACCCACCAGCAGTATGAATGCTTATTCCCACATTCCCACCAGTACTTAGCATTATTAAGCTTTCTAATTTTCCCTATTTCTGTCTAGTGAGTGTAAAATGATATATTTTTTGTTTTGTTTTGTTTTTATCTGATTATTGTTGGATTTGATTATGTCTTCATGTGCTTGATTTTCTTGGATTTTTCTCATCTGTAAATTCCCCTTCAAATTCATTGCACATTTATCTACTGGAAATTTTTTACTTTTCCTATTGATTTATAGGCATTCGTTGTATAGTCCAGATAGTCCCTGGCTGGCTTTAGACATTACATGTATTCTCCTAGCCTGTCACGTTTCTGTTAACTTTTGTCTCTTATACTTTTTATTGAACAGAAGTCTTTAATTTTGATGTAATTTAGTTTATCAGCATTTTACTCTGGGGGCTTTGCAAAATATTCCCTCTTCTTCTAATACAAAAATTATCTATTCATATCAGTTTTATAGTTTTATCTTCCACATTTAGGTCTTTAATCTATCTGAAGTCCATATATGTATGTGGTAGCAGGTAGCAATCCATTAATTTTTCATATGGTGATTCTGTTTATTTAAGCTGGTGTTGCCCTTCCGCTCTCTGATATGCTCCATTGGTTTTTCTGTTCTTTAACTAAAGTTTATGCTGTTTTGTTACTATGGCTTGGTAATATATTTTACTATCTGGTAGAGTAAGTCCTACTTATTGTTCTTCTTTTTCATAGTGGATTTAGGTATCTGTGAACTTTTCTTTTCTATGTGATTTTTTTTTTTTTTTTTTTTTTTTTGAGACTGAGTCTCACTCTTTTGCCCAGGCTGGAGTGCAGTGGTGCGATCTTGGCTCACTGCAACCTTCGCCTCCCTGGTTCAAGTAATTCTCCTGCCTCAGCTTCCCGAGTAGCTGGGACTACAGGCGCGCACCACTATGCCTGGCTAATTTTTGTATTTTTAGTAGAGACGGGGTTTCGCTGTATTGGCTGGGCTGTTCTTGAAGTCCTGACCTCAAGTAATCTGCCTGTCTTGGCCTCCCAAAGTGCTGGGGTTACAGGCGTGAGCTACCGTGTCTGGCCATATATAAATTTTGAAATAAATACAATCGAATCAGTTCCTCAACTACAACTGAATTTTGATTTGAATGTTATTGAATTTATAAATGAAAATTGAAGAACTAACATATTTTTGGTAAGTTATTCCATCTAGGAGCTTTTACTGTCTCTCCATTTATCTCAGCATCTTTCATGTACCTTATTAGAGTTCAATGATTCTCCATAGAGGTACAGGTGTTCTTTCTGATACTTGAAGCCAATCAAAGATGAAGACAAATAATATACACAATCCATAAAATGATTTTAAAATAAAAATTGAGGGTTTAGCCGTTGTTAAAGTAGTAATATCCTTTGATTGCAGATATTTATGTTAGAAGAGATCTTAAAGATAATGTCAGATAATGTTAGAATCCCTGATTCTAAAACCTGAAATCTGAAATGCTCCAAAACCTGAAACTCTTTAAATGCTGACCTAAAGTTCAAAGGAAATGATCGTTGGAGCATTTCGGATTTTGGATTTTTACATTAGGGATGCTT
The DNA here is from genome assembly GCF_000001405.40 of Homo sapiens. NCBI lineage: Eukaryota > Metazoa > Chordata > Mammalia > Primates > Hominidae > Homo > Homo sapiens. The sequence goes on from NC_000006.12 coordinate 21,990,195, forward strand.
AACCGGTAATGCAAATATTCTGAAATCTAAAAATATCCCAAATCTGGAACACTTCTGTTCCCAAGCATTTCAGATAAGGGGTACTCAACCTGTATAAATAAGAAAACTAGTCATCAGTGAGGGACTAGTTTTTTTTTTTATTATTATCTTATAAGGAATGATTCGCTCAAGATTACAGAGTTAGACAGTGAGAGAACTGTCTAACTCTGCCTTTCTTTCTCTTGGTAGAGTTAATGTTAAGGTTTGCTTATGCTTCCAGACAAATCAGATTCTTTTTTCAGTGATGATCACACAAAGAATGATTGACCTGCCAGAGCCATAAGACAGAAAGGGGGAAAAAAATCTCTTGAGCAGCTTTTTGTTTTCTCATTAATAATGGCGTGAGTTAGTATTTTGGTTCATTTTTCAGCAATTATGTCCTGCATTCTGGCTGTGGTTGATAGTGACTTTAAAAAAATAGATATGGTGGTACTTGCACAAAATAATTGTCACACATTAGCATGTTAATGAAGTGTTAGGGTGCTAAGAATGGCTAGCACACTAAAACAGGAGAGAAAAGATCCATCCTCACTGCTGCATCAGCCAGACTACACAATCTGAATGGAAGGCACGGCTCAGATTGACTGGCAGGGCATTCTGTATTATTGACATGCATTTTCTTCCTCTCCCCACATGCATGTTGAAACTTGGTTTTTGCTGTCTTTAACCCATCTAATTTTCCTCCAAATAAGTTGGTTTGGGGACAGAAATGAGTGCTTTTTCTTTTTTTCAGACAGACAGCAGAACTCATCAGGGAATAATTACAAGACTAATTCCTCTGTTTTAATGACATCAATTGAATAACATTAAAAAATCAAAGCCCATATGATTTCATAGCATTTTAACTCTGAGCATTTGAATCTAAATAACATGTCATTTTGTTGTATGTCTGTGTAGTAGGGCCATTAACTTAAAACTAAATTCACCGTGTGTATGTGTGTGTGTGTGTGTGTGTGTGTGTGTGTGTGTTTGTGTGCCTGCCTGTCTGTCTATTTCTGGAGCTAGTCATGTTGATGGTGGCAGAGAGAATTCTTGCATGTTTCCTGAAGGTTGGAGAAAGATTAGTATGCTTTTGAAGCCAACATGGATACTACTATCCCTTACAGGAAAACACAGAAATGCTGCTGATCGACCATATGGCCGAGGTACTCCTGATCCACATCTTAAGGGCCAGCCTTTCTTCTGAATTTCAGTTTCATATTTTTACCCACCTGTCGGGACTTCTTTACCCAGCTGTTCCCTGTCTACCTAGATCCCATCAGGTCAACACATTAAAACCCAAGTTCAGTGTCTTTCGCTAAAGCCCAGACCCCCTTTAGAGCTCTCCATTCCTCTAAGTGTTAGCAACACACTCAGGTTTATAGGCTAATCCCTCACCATGTCTAGTCCACCAGGTCCTGTTTGCGAATGCCCTATAGCATCACACAGGCTTATACATTTCTTCTGCTCTTGCTCCTGTCCCTTAATGCAGGGCTCATCATCTACCCAGCAGGCCTGGGCTCCTGCTCTCTGTCTTTTTATCCAGCCATTTTCCAAGCTTCTGGCCCAAAGCTTACCTGGACTCTGGTGTGACCATTTGTTAACTGTTCACCTTGGGCAGCTTATTTAGCTTTTATGAACCTATTTGTGTTCTTCTATCAAGTATAAACAGTAATAACTTGACGGCTTGTTTGGAGGATGACGGATATAATGAATGCCAAGTGCCACACACAGTGCCTGGCATGTAATTGGTGCTCATATTGTATCACCCTCCATAGTAATTTCTTTGAACGCTGATTTCTTTCTTTTCCAGAAATACAAGCTCCTTCTTGCTGTTTGTCCCTAGAACTCCTTTTCCCCTCTGCTCAGCTTTCACCTTCTTGATGACACAATCCAAAATAGCCTTTCCCAGCTCTGTCCCCGTACTCTCCAGCATCACGTTTATAGTCTTGCCTTTTTAAATCTCTTTATCTCTGACATTATCTTTCATTTGTTTGCCTGATTTTTAAAGTAATCTGTCCTTTTCCCCACTTGTGCACTAGAATGTAAGCTCTGCAAAAGCAAGGGATGTGTCTGTCTTCTTTGCAGCTGTAGCCCAGGATGGAGGAGTCAGCCTTAGATATCTTTTTAAGACTTATGAGTCAGAACTCAGGCTTCATACACAGAGGCGCCAAGCCCTTAAGCCATTCGGGGTACACAGTGGCTGCAGCAGGAAGTGGAAGAGATGAATCTTCTAAAACTGAAGATACAGCTGTGTAGGAGATGAGAACCTACCTACCTACCTTGATTGACCCTTGCCTTTTATACTTAGAAGAATCATCATCATTATAAGGAAAGACCTGAATAACTTAATATACAATCTAAGTTTTCTTTTTGCTGGATCAGATAGAGATAGACTTTCTTATGATATGTTCTTATGGCCTTCCCATTCTTGGCCTAGGCTTTTCTTTAGCTAGGCTCTGATCCCTGCTGAAGCCTCAACCTGCCTTGTCCATTACCAGGACCTTAATCCCTGTTTATAATCCTGCTTACCGGCCTTTTAATCCTTTGAGATTGACCACAGATTCAAACCTTGCTAAAGGCTTGGCCTCCTGGCCCCTACTTCTCCCTAGCCTACTTCTCTGGGCTGTGCCTTCCTCCCTGTCTGTGTAACCCTAAGAAGGTCTGCACCGTCACTTTGCCACTTTTTTCTCTGATTCGGTGGACAAAGAGTAAGCATTTGCTTTGTATACTATGTACGCCCTTTCATTTCCAGTGTAGCGTATTTAACCAGAGTGAAATAGCACATGGATCCAGCCCACCATGTAGGTTAAAACTGTGGTCTCCATACCTTCAGCACCTCTCCTTTCACCCTACCTTCAAATTTTCCTGCCACTGACTCTTCCTCAGCGACCACTGTGTATATATTGCTGCCTGCTGAGAAATGTTCAATGCTTCCTCAGCCACTGAAGGATAAGCTTGAACTTCTTAGCTTGACATTCAAGCCTTGCCCAGTCTGAATTGTACTTAGTTGCCCATCATGGTTCCTACATGAAGACTTGCCCTGCTTCACCCAGACCCACAAGACGCATCTTCTAGCTTATGCCACAGCTACATCTCTGCCTGGAATGACCCTCCTGCTCCCCCGTGTATATTCAAGCCTGACTTGCAATTTAGTTCACAATTCAAGTTCTGGTTGCTCCAGGGAGTTTCTCCAACTGTGACCACCCCTTCCTCTCGAACTCTTCTCTTTTCTCCTATCCCCTTTACTTGGTGGGTGGCTCTTTCTTCTTCCACTGCCACTCATCTCCAGATGAGTAGATTGGGCCTCTTCATTTGGCTTGAAAGTCCCTTAAAGATGGAATTTTGTTTTCTTCCTCTTTAAATTTTCATTGTTTTAAATATTGCAGCTGTTGTCAGTTATTGCTGAAGATGATCATGATATTGCCATTTTTCGGGGTATTATCTTTTATGCATTGCACTAGATGTTTTATATGTATTATCTCATTAATTGTCCAATTATCCTATGACATTATACATGTATTTTACAAGAGAAAATGAAAATTTATTTTATTCTGCTAATAGTTGGGGAAGGCTGGTTTCAAAGGTCTGTTGGATTTTAAAGCTTGTACTCTTTCCACCATTCACTGATGATGGCCCAAAGTAGTATGCATTTAAAATTTGGGAATAGATAGCAGGAAAGGAGAATGAGGTTTCTAATGTGATCTGAATACTACTCTGGAACCCGTTACCAGAGAAAGGGTAATAAAGATGGGGACCAACACACACACACTCACAAACACACACAATTCTTTATGTAAAGCTGGTTTTAATTTTTGTTTTCCCATGAGAAGATGAATGGGCAGGAATTCAATCAAATCAGCAAATGGAAAACATTGACAAATAGATAAGAAAATATCGTTGATAATATCTGAAATATACTTTAGCCAGGGGTTTTCAAGATTCTCTTTAAACCTTTTTCCTTAGAAAGCTTTACAAGTAAGAAAACTATTTTTGACTTCTTTATTTTACACTTTCTTAGGAATCAGCTTGTTTAGTGGAAAGAACCTATTGGTTTTAAAGCACATCAAATGTGGTTTTAGATTTATATTGAATACAAGAAGAAAGGGATATAAGTGTAATTTCTAAAAAAATTGCTTGGTAACTGAAGCAATAAAATCACAAATTTTGAATTTGTCTTTAACATCTAACAGGTTTCTCGTGTATATATATGTGTGTGTGTGTGTGTGTGTGTGTGTGTGTGTGTATCCTTCTATATTCTTTGTGTGTGTGTGTGCTTTTTACAAAAGTTTATATTCTTCTATGTGTTCATCCAAATTATTGATCTGGGTCATTCACTTATAAACTTAATAAGAACAGGTGATGCTTGTCATGCATGTTTTTGTGCATACACATTACAGTTTTTTATAATTTAATTATTGCTATCATCAGTTTAAAAGCCCCAGGAAACAGACATTGGGATCACAGAACCACTGAACCCAAAGTATATCTTGATGTCAACTTTTGATGCAAGATTTTAAGACAGGAAAAGCACTGGAATAGAATTTTCAGAAAATTAAGGCAAGCAATTTTACCATCCCGGGACCTAGGTTCCAAAAAAACAAAATTAGAGGATTAGACTAGATGGTCTTTAAGTAAGTTTCCTTCAGATTAAAATTCTTTAGTCTATGCCTTTATGTCTGCTTCTTGCCTCATTAATCTCTCCTGCAAAAGAAACCTTATGTCTGACAACATCTGAGGAAATAAAGATAGCATGTTTGTAAGAATTGGAAAGACTGTTGAAAGAAGTGGTTATTTCCTTCTTACTGTGTTAATGACAGCAGTGTCTTGAATATCAGGGAATGAATGCATCAAAGGCTCTCACTAGTCCTGTGGTAAAGAAGTTAAAAAAAACCCTGAGTAATAGGATTTTATCTGTCCATCTATGATCAAGAGTGGTTTTAAAATGGGGTGGTGTGGGAGGCTGAGGCAGGAGAATCTCTTGAACCCAGGAGTCGGAGGTTGCAGTGAGCCGAGATGGTGCCATTGCACTCCAGCCTGGGCAACAACGGCATCAACAGAAAAAAAGCGGGGGGGGTGGGGGGGGGATGGTGATTGCCCCAGAGTTTTTATAACTCACAATAACCAAAAATGATGTTATTATTATAATGTGACTAGTAAAGCACATGACTAGTAAAGCATGCATTTATTATATGCTTGCTTTATGCAGGGCATTCTATCCAGGATTTACTTAACATTAAGTCAGTATTACAGTATATTCCCATTTTTCAGATGAGAAAACTGAGGTTTAGCGAGATTGACTTCCTCACAGTTGTACACAGAGAGAGAGTTGTAGGACCACAATTCAATTGTCCATTTGATCATGAATCCTAGGTTCTTTATGTTGTGTCCGTTTATATCAATACCATATTTTCTGCCTGAAATATTATTTACAGGTTCAAGATCTAGCACTCTGTTTTTGTCATTAGCTATGGATAGTATGGGTGCTGAAACTCACTACCAGATCTTTTCTGGTGTTATGACTTAATTAAATGTTGAATAATAATGAAGGCACACTTCTATAAGAAGTGTGAAAACACTGTTTACACCTGACAAAATCAACTCACTGTTATGTCTATCAAGGTACAAGAATGCAAATTGTAAAGTGTTAGACAAAGTCCTTTTCTATCATCTTCTCATTCTTAAAATTAGGGGAAAACAATACCAATAGAGTGAAATGAATATTTTTTCAAGTGTACTTTTCCTTCCTAAAATACTCATGGAACAGCCTGATTCCCATGTTTTTTTTTTCTTTCAATAATGTGTTGCCTTTTTAAAAAGAGCCTAATTATATGCAAAATATTCCAGTATGTGGAAAATCAAATGACACATTGCTTTAAAACACAGACATCTTTAGATTACTGCCCCCTGCTACTGTCTTGGTGATGTTGAGAGCCCATTGCATGTTTGGTCTGTTATAATTTAATTGTAATTCCAGTTTCAAAATTATTCTTCCATTCCAGATTTTAAAATGGTTGTGAAGCAGGATCCAAGTGGTGATTTTTTTTGTGTTTTTTTTTTGTTCTCTACTAATTTAGCCTCCTAGAGCCATTCTGTCCAATATGGTGGTCGCTGAAGATCTATGGCTATTTAAATTTAAAGTAAAATAGATTGACAATAGATAAAACTAAAAATTTAATTCCTCTGTCACAATAGCCCTGTTCAAATGTTTAGTAGCTCCATGTTGCTCGGGACAGCCAGGCTGGAAAGCCTAGGTATAGAGTATTTCCATCACTGCAGAAAGTTCTATTGGACAGTGATGATCTAGGGTCATTGTAATGATCTGCTTTTGATCATCTGTTAATTTGGGTTAAAACAGTATGAATTGGGTTATTGCCATAAAAGGGAGGCAGATCTGATAGCTGGAAGAGGTTCTGGCATGTGTAGTGTGCTTTGGAAACTCTGGGAGAGCTACGTATTATGGGTTTGCTTTAGCGTATGTAACAGTGTTGGCCACTGCAACTTTACCTGGTTTCAGAATCTGTATTCTAAATAGCTAACATTTTATTACATACACTGACTGTGCCACTCACTGGTTTTGATTGTTGTTTCTCTGGTGAGTGGACCAGGTAAAGAGCAGCCACAAATTCAAACTAATTTAGAAAGAAATCCTAAGGCAGAGAGTCTTAAGTTACAGAACTACTTGTTTAAGTTCGTTTTGTAGTCTGGAGACTGTCCTACAGAAATTCACCCTTGAAGGCCGCAGGGAGTTCAGCAAGCCTGTCTGGTGGCTGTCTGTCTAAGTTCCTTGAGGCAAAAAAAAGAGACAATGGATCCTTGTTTTTTTGACAGCTTTATTGAATGTATTCAGTCCTAAGTTCTGAATAATTTGCTTAACTAGAGATATATTGCACAGTGAGTAAAATTTTCTTGGTATGAAATTTAATCCTCATAGTATCTTCAGAATAATTTTAACACTTGCCAGATCTCTTTGTCTACTACCCAGTTCTGGGTAAATGTCCAAATGCCTTTACTTGTTGAAAAGAACTCTACTCTGCATTGCTGATTTGTTATTCCTGGTAACAGCCAGAAGTACAGAAAATATACGTGTTTAAAAAAAAGTAAGGAAGATGATTGGTTTTAATGTTTCTCTTGATCTTGCTCCCTTCAAGCATATAATAATTTACCAGTTTTCTCTCCCAATTCTTACGTTTCTCTTTCATTGATAGACAAATAGAACAGTGTTTGAAAGATCATTTACAGATTGCACAGTTAGCTCAATGGTAATAAAAAATGACTGGATAAGTCTCACCACCAAGGGCTTACATGAAGTTGAATGTGAACTTGGAGAACAATTTTATGTTCAGCCAGCTCTGGTTGTTCTTTAAAATCTTTTATGATTATACATTTCTTCATTTAAAATTGTTTGCTGTAAGTTTTAATAGGAAGTGTTTTCTTCATTAAGATGTTCTGATTCTGTCCCCCTTTTTGTAACCAGACTCCACGCATATTATAAGCATGAACAAACAGTCACTGCACAGGCACCAGTGAGCCCCTTCCTTTAACAGATCTATTTATAAACGCTGAAGCAGGAGCGAGTGGGTGGGTTCATGTCTCCTGTGATATAATCTTGCCTTCCTGTGTTTGGGAGCTTACAAAGGATGACAGCTGTTTATCATCCTTCCACATTTCTATCCAATCTAAACCTGGTTGGGCTAAAATGTAGAAAGCCTCTGTACTCAATCAAGAGTGCATGCCCAAGAGCCTCCATAGCAGATGGGCTTCACAACATTGACTATCCTGAAAGTTTTCTCTCCTTAAATGATAACCTTACTTACTGCAGTTGCCATCCTTGAAACTGGCTCTTCTGAGAGTGGCAAATTATTTAGGTTGCATTAGTTTTGTAGGTTTGGTTTTGAACAAGCCGAAGAATTTGATTAGTATAATCATCTCTATTCATCTCTTTTTGCAAATGATTTATCAAGACTTGAACAGCAACTGAGCAACTCTTCTTGAAAAAACGGGAGGATAATGTTTATTTTGCAGTATGGTGGTCTTTTAAAATTCGTTTTTTTTTGCTTGGCAGCTCCGAACAGAAGACAAATATAAAATGGGAGATGCTAGGTTTCTAAGTAGCAGTTGTCCCATGGTTAAGCTGAAGTGCTTTCTTAACATAAGGGTTTATAGGAGTGAATGAAGGCGGGCAAGGAAAATATTGACTCTATCCTATTACAATAACACTGATGAAGTTCTAGATACTTCTCTATATGCTATTAAAGTAACACTGATGAAGTTCTAGATACTTCTCATTCTGTGGCAAAGGAAGCTGTCAGTATACATGCAAAAAAAAGAAAAAAAGAAGGTTATGCAAAGTTTGGGTTTTCTTTGTTCTTAGTCCTTGCTTGGGATTTTGAGGAAAATGGAATGTATTTCTATTTTCTATTTCACTTGATTTTCTCATCTTTCATATTTGGCCAGCTACTTTCTGAGAACATATTGTACACATGTTCTGATGCTGTTTGAAGGCCCTGTGAGAGACAAGAGTTGATTGAAAGCTCTCAGTTCTCCTGAAGTGGGTGGCCAAAGAGCTGAAACTGAACAGCTGCTGTACACCCATTGAACTTTTGTCATTTATAAATTATTTTCCATGCCATCTGGAGCAAGAATGGTGCCATGGTTTAGAGAAGCTCTTTGTGGGGTACATTTCATATCCAGTGCTTATATAGCTTGCTTATTACCACATTCAACTGAAGTTTTAAAATCTTTATTTGCTTGGAGGCTTAAGGATGTGAATAAATATGAGTGATTTCTTTAAATGTTATATGAAAAACACCACCTCCACCTCTACCAACGTTTTTCCCTCCCTCTCTCCTTTCCAGTGACTACATCCTGCCTGCTTTCAGCTCCAGTGGAAAATGCATTAATCCCAGAGTCTCCGTGAGGTTTCCTGTTTGATGACATAATCAGAAAATCCTCCTCACATTGCCCTTGGGGTTGCTGTCTGGATGTTATGTTGTCTTGGTGGGTGTAACTCAGCCATCAAAAAAATCAGCACAGGCCATAAACTCAGGACCTGAAATGCATTAATATAATGTTAAACGAAATAACGCTGTGGGTATGTCTGCAGCACTGGTAGGGAATTTCATTAAACTGCAGATTCTCCCTGGCATCAGATGCATTGGCTGGTGACTCCGGTACATATGGCATGAGCTGCTGCAATGCCACTAGCAGGAGGTATTTGAACTGCTCCAGTGTAAGCTGTTAGACTACATCTCGTGGAAAAATAACACACACCCTTGACTACCAGAGTTTGGTAGTGTTGATTTAAGTAGTTCTTCCCTTCCATTCCCCTCTGGGGCAGCCTGTTTACCTAATAACGTTTTGCCTTTGGTGTTGATCACAGGAAGCTGCAAAAAAGAAAACTAGTGGGAAGAGTCAGAAATAGAAGATGAGGATACACTTTAAAATGAGAAAAGCAAAAGATGGCATCTGACATGTAGAGTGGGTTTTAAAAGTTTTAAAGATAAGATATTGTGAGGCAGAAACTTCAGTAGCTGTGAATATAGTTGGAAAGAAGAAACCTTGATATAAAAGTAGAACCAAGAGTAGGATATTTAGATACCAAAGGGCACGTACAATTTTACAAGTTTAGAAGATATTGGCATAGGAAATTGAGCATATGCTTAAATATGGATTTCCTTTGCTATTTGGAGAATTTTTTATATTTTTTTTATTGTTTTGGTAGGCTGCCATAACCCTCCATTTGGTTGTCTTGGATGGAATATCTCTTGCCTTGGATCTTGGAAATCCAAGCTTGATTGGCACTTGGTCAGGATGAGAACAAGGAATGGGCCTCTTAGGATGTTTTACAAGTTCTAGAAGTTACCTCCATGATCCTCCCTCCTGTTGTTGTACCAAACTCTTTCTTGCATGTGTCTTCCTGGGGGTGGAGAGAGGTGGTGAGGGAGCTGGTGGGAGAAGCAGGCAAGATACAGCTTGATAGAGCTTCACTGGAGAGAAGTTAAAGAGGAAGGAGAGGTCTAAGCTCTAGCCAGTTGAAAGCCTGGGGTGATGTCACCATTCCTACCTCCTTATATCAGAAATATTCTTGGGTTTTCCATAATGTATTCCAAGCAGCGGGACACCTTTCACAGATGCTTCTCCTGTGTTAGGGGAATCTGGACTAATATAACACTAGGAGGGAGAAAATTGTGTTTCTTTATCGCTACTGTGAACGTTGTTGTTTTTTAAAATTTACAGCTGACTACTGAATAAACTCTAAAACTTGGAGTTCTGGATTTCAGGTTCTGTGATCTGTTTTCTTGTATAGCTCTGTGATGGTTACGTGACCAAGCTGTGAGCATTTACTCTCAAAACAGCTTCATTTAAACCATCCTATGCCTTGTACTAGAATAATGCTACCCCAGAGCGGGAAGGGCTCTGAAAGATCACATCTAATGGGTGAACCTCTTTACCCAGGTGTGTTGTGACAAGAGTGGGGGAGACTATGATCCTTTTTATTCTAGATATGTAGCGCAGGTTGGTTGTGTTAGTGAATGTACCATCTCACACATCATATTGAGCTGAATGTTTCAGGACATCCTTGGGGACAAAATGTTACCTATATGGTCACACTGGGAATCTATTTGAAATTATTAGATATTGCTCCTCATTTCTGCTTGTCAAGATCTTTTTGAATCCTGCATCTATAGCTATTGCCTGTCCCAGGTTTTGGTCCCAATGTGAAGTCAAAAAGACTCGATACATGAGGTTAAATCCTGGCTCTACTGTGTTCTGCCTTTGTTACATCAAATGAATAATTTAACTGCAGTAAGTTTCAGTTTTCTTATCTGTAAAATGGAAAATAGAATGTTCTGCCTCCCCTGTTGAATAGTTGTGAAGGTGAAGAATAATAGTGCATATAGAGATGTTTGAAAAAATAAAGCACCACACAAATACTAGTTTTTATTAAGCGACCTGAAAATATGATAAATACTCTTTCTTTGGCTTCATCCAGGTCATTTGTTTAAAAAAAAAATGATGAAGCAAAGGGACCAAGGATAAAACCCTGCCTCTAGGGACCTTCCAGAGAGTGGCAGTGATGGGATGTTGACAGCCTTTGGTTCATGTGTTTATTAGTCTAATAAACTGCCCTAGCATTCTGCCCATATTTTCACATCTTGTCCTTTAAGTTGTCCTGGGAGCCCTTGTCAGATTCCTTACTCAAGTTCAAATACATTATGTCCACAGTGTTTCCCTGATCTGCCAGGCTACCAGCCTTGTCAGAGAAGGAAGTGAGGTTTGTCTTGTCCCTATTGAACCCACACTGTCCGCCAGGACTGGTGCTTTCTTTTCTGAGTAGTTACAAACCATTCTTTTAACACTCTGCCAAGAATCTTGTCCAGGATCAACAGTAAACGCACTGGTGGTGTGCAGTATTGGGATTCTCTCTTCCTTTTTGTTTTTCTTTCTTGTCTTCTTCAAAGTGGGAACTCATTTCCCCCATCTCCAGTCTTCTGGCACCAGTTCTGTTTCTCCATCAGTATTTCCAGGAAGGGGAATTGAAGAGCAGTTAACTTTTGCCTGAGTCCAGGTTGCAGTCACACTGACATTTGGTGGCTCATCTCATTTTTGCTGAGGTTGTGGTAAATGCTTAGCAGCAGTGGGATGTGTTTACTGCTCTAAATTCATAATAGTTAAAATCCATGTAATGGGAAGACCTTAGAAATATATTCCTACCTAATATGAATGCATTTTAAAATCCAGTATTGTTTTTAGTTCCCTTATGAAAACAAAACCAACAATTTAAAAAGCTAGATTTTTTTGTACTGAAGAGCCCAAGAAAGCCCATTAAATACAATTTTTAGTTTGCCTGGTTAATATGGGCATGAAAAAAATAATATAATTTAAAATAATATATCCTTAAGGTTTTATTCTAAACAATAATACTAATAAAAATTGCTATTTAGTGAAGAGCTATTGTATTCTATGCTGTATATCAGACATTTTACATTTATTACCTTATGTAGTACAATTACTCTGCAAGGGTAAGGGTTTGCACATTTTGGATATGAGAAAACTGAGGCTCAGACAGCTTTAGTACAGTGCTTAATAAGTGCCAAACTGGAATTTGAATTTAGATCACCTGACTGCAGAGCCTCAGATTTTCCATTATAGCACAGTGTAGCTTTAAATGATGTTTTCCATTTGACTTTAAAATTTTTAACTTATTTAGCATTATGATAACCATGCTGAGTGACCTTTAACTTGGGCCATGTCAGTGGGAATTGCTTAAATAAAGCTGTGTTTTATTAATAAGTAGAGTGATGATTGAATTGGACTGCTTTAAAAATTTCTAAATTAAAAAAAATTACCAATGAAAAAAGAGCTGCTTTTATCAATTGGTGGTCTTAAGTGGAGATTTTGCTTTATTTATCTGTTTTTTTACAAATCCATTAATGGTCCTTTTCTTTAACACCCCATCAATCAACTCAGACTCTCCCATTGATAAGCATACCTCACTGAAAGAAATCAATTCTCCTTTGTCATTTTGACAGGAATTAACTAAAAAGGTGGGTTAATCCAGAAGCAACAGGAAAATACCTGCAGGCTACGACTAAAACCTAATTTTGTAAAATCAAAATTGTCATAATATTTCACAGTTGGCCAGGCACGGTGGCTCATGCCTGTAATCCCAGCACTTTGAGAGGCTGAGGCAGGTGGATCCGTTGAGGTCAGGAGCTCGAGATGAGCCTGGCCAACATGGCGAAACCCTGTCTCCATGAAAAATACAAAAATTAGCCAGGCGTGGTGGTGTGCACCTGTAATCCCAGCCACTCGGAAAGCTGAGGCAGAAGAATCGCTTGAGCCTGGGAGGTGGAGGTTGCAGATCTGAGATCACGCCATTGCACTCCAGCCTGGGAGACAGAGCGACACTCTGTCTCAAAAAAAAAAAAAAAAAAAAAAAAAGAAAGAAGAAAAAAGAATATTTTACAGTTCATGATAACAAAGGGCTTTGTCTCTTTTCCATAGTAAAGATAAATTTGCCATATGAATGTGAGAGTTTAACACTACTTTTGTCTTTTCATTGTGGCATTCACATCCCATTGCCCGATGCTATAGAAAGGCTCAAGATAGTGTAAGCTCTGTTTCCCAAGGCTTGGTTTGGAATTTAAACCATTTTAATAGGGAACTGTATAAGAAAATCTCGTGTAATGCCTGAAAAATGTACAGTTTCAGATCTGGTGCATGAGGCTGTTTGCTGGCTCTGACACAGGATTTTTGTAAGAGTGACCCATAAGAATCTTTGGAAAGGAGAATTTTCATTAACACAGGGTGTTCAAAGCTGTGTTTGAACCAGTAGGAGCCCAACAGCTCTACACACACAGTGTTCTAACAGTGCATTGTCAGAGGGTAATAAACCCAAGAGCTGCATCTATAAAGTCTTATTTTGAAAGCTGATTGCTAACACGTGAACACTTACCATGATTATGGCCAAAATTAGAGCTTGTTGTTTTTATAATACTTACAGAAATTCATTTTTAAAGAACTTTAAAAATTAAACATTAATATCCTCTCTACTTAGCTGTGTGATACAGAGTGTTCAGGAAAATTTATGTCTCTTGTAGTTCATGTTTATCCCTAGGCTGAAAAACTTTAAACCATTTTTAGCCCCTTCCTTCGAGGATATTGCCTAGCTTTTTGATTTATGTAACTTAGATTATGTAGGTCAATTCGTTGACTAGAAACTCATCTAAATAAGGTTTACTTCTGAATCTTGGTGTTTAAATAGCTTTGGGGGAAAATGTGCTTAACTAAATGTTTTTTTTCTTAAAGTAAGGCAGTAACCATTGAGTGTTTGTTTTTTCATTAACTTTTTTTTTAAATTTTAAGTTATGCTTTTTAGAAATATCAAAGTCGTTTTTTATGTTTGTTTCTTCGGTAGTATATTTGGAAACCTTTGGAAAATAGGTTTATGTTTTGTTGTTTATAGCCATTATAATATAAACCTTGAGGCTGGATAATCTTTCTGGATATTTCTTTTCTTTTTTTTTAAATTTTACTTTAAGTTCTGGGACACATGTGCAGAATGTGGAGGTTTGTTACATAGGTATATGTGTACTATGGTGGTTTGCCGCACCTATCGACCTGTCCTCCAAGTTTCTTCCCCTCGCCCCCCAACCCTGGATATTTCTTTTTTTCTTTTCTTTTTTTTTTTTTTTTTGAGACGGAGTCTCGCTCTGTTGCCCAGGCTGGAGTGCAGTGAGTGGCGCGATCTCGGCTCACTGCAAGCTCCGCCTCTCAGGTTCACGCCATTCTCCCGAGTAGCTGGGACTACAGGTGCCCACCACCACGCCCGGCTAATTTTTTTGTATTTTCAGTAGAGACAGGGTTTCACTTTGTTAGCCAGGATGGTCTCGATCTCCTGACCTCGTGATCTGCCCGCCTCGGCCTTCCAAAGTGCTAGGATTACAGGCGTGAGCCACTGCGCCCAGCCGTTATTTCTTAAAGAAGTATCAAATACTAGTCCAGTTTAATTTGCCATAAGTTTTAAACTCCTTTCTTGGTCTCTTGATATCTCCCAATACTCGATTCCTACAGGTAAAGCAAGTGATTACTATTTGGTTTTGAAATGATATGGGATGTTTAAAAAATGGTAAAACTCTAAGGTACGATTATATGATTACACTATTCTCAGTCTCTTTGAGTCAACACTTTGGGTGAAGAACAATACTTGTGTTCCTAAAAATAAATACTTTGTCCATTTCCCCATGAATAGTAATCAAACTTTTACCTGATTAAAGAAATTCTTTTTTTTTTTTTTTTTTTTTGAGGTGGAGTCTCACCCTGTTGCCCAGGTTGGAGTGCAGTGGCATGATCTCGGCTCATGGCAACCTCTGCCTCCTGGGTTCAAGCGATTCTCCTGCCTCAGCCTCCGAAGTAGCTGGGATTACAGCCATGCGCCACCAGGCCTGGCTAATTTTGTATTTTTAGTAGAGACAGGGTTTTACCATGTTGGCCAGGCTGGTCTTGAACTTCTGACCTCAGGTGATTCACTTGCCTTGGCCTCCCAAAGTGCTGGGATTACAGGCGTGAGCCACTGTGCCCAGCCAAAGAAATTCTTTTAGCAATTCTATAAGTGACTGATTTTTTTTTATTTTTAATTTTTACTCTTTTTGAGACAGGTTCTCACTCCCTTCCCCCAGGCTGGAGTGCAGTGGTATGGTTATGGCTCACTGCAGCCTTGACCTCCTGGGCTCAAACAATCTTCTCACTTCAGCCTGCCAAGTAGCTGGAACCACAGGCATGCACCACAGTGCCTGGCTAATTTTTATAATTTTTGGAGGGATGGGGTTTTGCCATGTTGCTCAGGTTGGTCTCGAACTCCCGGGCTCAAGCAATCTGCCCACCTTGGCCTCCCAAAGTGTTGGAATTACAAGCATGAGCCACTGCACCCAGCCCTGATTTTTATTTTTTTATTATTTATTTATTTTTTTTTTGAGACAGAGTCTCGCTCTGTCACCCAGGCTGGAGTGCAGTGGTGTGATCTTGGCTCACTGCAAGCTCTGCCTCCTGGGTTCACGCTGTTCTCCTGCCTCAGCCTCCCGAGTAGCTGGGACTACAGGCGCCTGCCACCACGCCCGGCTAATTTTTTCTATTTTTTAGTAGAGATGGGGTTTCACCATGTTAGCCAAGATGGTCTGGATCTCCTGACCTCGTGATCTGCCCGCCTCAGTCCCCCAAAGTGCTGGGATTACAGGCGTGAGCCACCGAGCCTGGCCTTTTTTAAATTTTTAAATAAGAGACAGATTGTCACTATGTTCTCCAGGCTGGAGTTTAGTGGCTATTCACAGGTGTGATCATAATGCACTATAGCCTTGAACTCCTGGACTCCTAGGCTCAAGCAATCCTGTCTCAGCTTCCTATCTGGGAGTACAGGTGTGCACCACAGTGCCCAGCTTTGAGATTTTGAATAAACTCAGTGGGGAATGTAGTTATGCTAAATTAGGCTGTTATTACTTTATTATTTTAATTCCAAATGCAAGATAATATGCCGAGCTGTTAAACAGGTTTCTATAATTTAAAAGGGACTGAGATCACACGAAGTATTTGCTCTGGCCATAGTGAAATTAAATTAGAAGTTAATAACAAAGCCATCAAGAAAATTCCCCACCTTTGAAAATTAAACAGCACACTTCTAAATAACTCATAGGTCAAAGAAGAAATCAGAAGTACGATTAGAATAGGTTTTGCAGTGATGATGATATATACCCAAATATATCAAAATCTGGAAGAGATGCAGCCCAAACACTGCTTAGAAGGAATTTTATTTGCTTTAAATGGTTCTGTTAGGAAATTAAAAAGTACGATTTTGAATGTATACAAACATAGTTGGTAAAACTATCAAGAAATGCCAGACAAAAATCAGAAGAGTGGTTGCCCTTGAGGAAGGAAGGGATGTGATTTGGGAGAAACCCACAGAGGGGCTGCAAATGTTCAATTTCTTTAGCTGATGCATTATATTGGTGTCCATTACAGGCTGAGTTATATCCCTCTATAATTTATATGTTGAAGTCTCAACCCTCAGAACCTCAGAATGTGACTATTATTAGACATATGGCCTATAAAGAGGTGATTACATTAAAATGAGGCCATTGGGGTAAGCCCTCATCTAATCATATGAGGATGAAGAAAAGACATCAGGGATGCTTGTGCCCAGGAGGACCACCATGTCAAGAGGCAGTAAGAGGGTGGCCGTCTACAGGGCAAGGAGAAAGACTTCAGGAGAAACTCACCCTGCTGGCACTGTGATCTTGGACTTCCAGCCTCCAGAGCTGTGGGACAATTTCTGTTGTTTAAGTCCTGCAGTCCGTGGTCTTTTGTTACGGCAGCCTTAGTAGACTAATACATTATTCATATTTTAAAAAGTTCTTTATCTTTACACCTGTCATAAACATTTTTGTATCTATTCACTATAAGTCAATTGCAAATGAATAATAAATGGATAATGTCATACTGAGCCTGAAAGTTGCCCTTTTGTGTCAGAGCGTGCTAATGACATTTTTCAGGACTCCAGTTTTAATGTTTAAACTATGGGAGTAGCTATGTGTAAATATTTAAAATGTGACAGATAGTACTATCACTTGCAGTGATTTTATACCTCCTAGTTGGGAGGTTAAATGAGAAAAACCTCGGTAAAGTCCTTATAATGTGTGCCTGGCATAATACTTGTTAGCTGTGATTATTACTAGTACTGTGTTTCTTATGCTTATTTCATTGCAGTTTCATTTTCTTAAGAGGTATAGGCTCTAAAATGAATCTCATATAGTAGACCTTGGGAAAAAGGTGGCGAGTTAAATTTGTAGAGAATATAGCTGTTTCCACTGGCCTGAGGTTCAAACAGTTTAGAGTGAGATTGTGAGCACCCTCTTAGGGACAGACACATCTCTGTTCTGCCTCCAGCTCCAACACAGTTCTCTGCCTTTTGGGATTGGGCAGCAGCAGCAACAGATAATGAGAGACGAATTTGTCATTCCAGAGCTACTTTTGCCTTTAGGATCACGTCTGTGCTTTTTCCAGGAGAAGGTAGAAAAGAAAGAGAAGGGAGGGTTTGGTGGTTTTGAGCTATGGAGACCTAACTTTATGGACCAAAATGGCACACAGGCTGTGCAGGTTTGTGTGTGTGTGTGTGTACATATATGTACGGGTATACTAACATCAGGCATACAGAAATTATTTGCTGCGAGAATGTCATTAATAGCACATTGCTGTTGAATGAAGGATGAAAAGTGTACCTGAGCACCCTGTTATTATTGAGCAATGAGAATTAAGCAATTTCTCTTTAAATTCTCTGTCCCTAAATACATCTCATTCTGCTTCTGCTTCTCCTCTCCTTCCTTCCCCAATTTAGCTCTCCCACTCTCCCTCTTTATCTCTTCTCCTCCCTCTCTCTCCAGTCCACCACAGTGCCTGGAATTCTGCATTTAGAAATTTGCTCTTTGGATTAAAGACACTGTGGCCTTTTCCAAGAATTTCCTTTTAAATCACGAATATTCTTGGAAGGTAAGACATGGCATCTCCCTGTGAAGGGTTGACGCATTCGATTGCTTTGGCATATGGTAGCTTGGACTGAGTAGAGGAGGGAGGAGTGTTTTTGGAGAGGTATCCATTATTGGGGCTCTGTAGTCCTCATTCTAGGGCATCTACTCCTAGGGACTTCACTTATCTGCTAGAGCATCTTAACTTTGTGTTTTTATTTTGATAACAATAAACTGATATCAATACATTCTGAATCATCTGAATAATAATTTCATAACAAGGTCATCCCATGAAACTTCAGCACCTGTGTTTATATTTGTGTCTGCCCCTAAATCTTTGTGTCTGGCTAATGACTGACTCGTAAATGATGTATTTCCACCAAGATTAGGCTGGATGACATCATTTTTTGCTGTGTCTAATAGAAAGAGTGGCAAGAGAATTGAGCTGTCCTGCTGCCTGGAGTAAGGAAAACAGTCCCAGCTCATAAGAACCTTGGCTGTAGTCTCAGTGCCATTATCACACTGCAAGAGAACAATTAGTTGTAGCAAAACCTCTTCTGCCACATTCCATGAATATTGTTAAATTGTGTTGGTTTTATAACTTTTCTTGAATTTTTCTTATACATTTATTTCGGTTTTGTAGTTGCCTAGGAGTTACAAGCCTAAGGAGTTACTCCTAGTTGTGTTTGTACAAATTTTGAAAACATAATACAATAATTTAAGTCAATAGTGGGAGTAAACTTTTATAGACCACTTAGGTTTAAGAAATGATGGTCGGGTGTGTAGCAGAGCCTGCCAAGCCTGGGTGAGTGCTGCAAGGAGGGATCCCGGGAAGGGATGGGAAAGGTGGAGGAGGTCAGGATGAAAGCGATGGATGCTTGAGAATGAAAAGGATGGTCATTTTATAGGTGGCTGGAATGAATAAAGGGGAGCTAGAAAAGGATTTCAGAAAGCCCTCCCAAAATTTAACCAACTTCACAATTTGGCCTGTAGCTGGCTATCTTGTTAGGTTATTAAATAATTGAAGGTAAACCTGACATCTCTCTTCTGGATTACTTAAAAAAATGCATTTCTAAAGCAATTCATTTTGAAAATTGGGGTCAGTGACCTCTACAAATCAAGGTAAAATGGTGCCAGACCCTTTTTATTTAGCCATTGGTCAGTCTGTCGCTTGCACAAAAAGCAAATGGAGTGAACAACAGTTAGACGGGGAGGTGGAGGGGGGACAGGCAGGTAGTCAGAGAGCCGACCCTCCTGCCTCATATATTTTGGTGGCGCCTCATGCTAATGCTGAGTTTGTGTGCTTAAATGGTACTGAGATAAAACTATTTTTTGTATCCTTTATAGTTCTTCATTCACAAATCCTACTTTTAGATGGATTCAAAGATGAACCAGTTTTACATGAAATTCAGGGAAAGGGAGTTGTATCCCCTAGTTTCTTCTGCGGTTGACAGAGCGGGAAAGGAACTTGAGCTAAATGACCTTAAAATCTGTTAAGAGATTTTAGTTTAATGGAAGTATAACCCTCCCTAAATCTGAATAAAAATGCCAGAATCTTTTCAAAGTGAACATAGGTTGGAAAGTTAACATATTGGTGATTATCTCAATGAAATATTACTACATAGAAATAATGACAGCATGAACTAAAGCATGGGATGTTATGATTTCTGGGCCCTTGGGCACGTTAGTAGACAGTTGTCAGTCTTCACTGAACATTGGTAATAGTTGCTTGTAAACTCTGACCTTAAGTGAAACTATATATAACAAAACCAGTTTTACCATAGGCTAATGGATATGGCATATTTTGGTCACAGAAACATCACCAAACATATAAACTAAGACCCAAAGCACTTCTAATGTTAAACTTTGAAATAAATGTGAGCTATACATAGACTTAAAGATTATTAAAAACAAGATAATTCAGTTCAGGGTCACAGGTGGCCAGGAACCTCATCTGGCAGGCAGCTCAGGGTGGGCACCATCTCTGGACAGGCTGCCATCCAATCACAGGGTGTGCTCACACACACCCACACCCACCCACAACATAGGAACAATGCAGACACGCCAATTCATCTGCTGTGCACAGCTCTGGGATGTGGGAGGAAGCCTGACTATTAGGAGAAAACCTACCATAGACGTGAGGAGAACATGCAGACTCCACCCAGACAGTGGCCCACATCTAGGAACTGATTTTTTTTTTCTTATCATCATTATAACAAAACAATGTTGAACATGATGATGTTATTCCAGGACCTGCTCCACCGGGCAAATGCAAAATTCAGGCATTTTTATAATGAGAATGTGTTCATCAGACCACAATAAAATCTCAGAATCTCATTTCCTTAAGGAAATAATAGAATCATCACTAGATATCATTAGAGAAGATGTAAAATTACTTGTTTCTATATATGTGTAGAAATATATTTTATTACATGTATCTTTACATAGATGACAAATATTTGATATATATTTTATATATATGTACCATGACTTTTCAATATATGCTATAATACAAAACTATTTTCACTTTATGTATTTACCATTTAATCCATTTAGTTTCTATACCCTGTGGCAGGGAATACTACAATGTGTGGGAATCTGGTCTTTCCATCTTCAGAGAAGGAGACCAGGTTCTCATGGATGGCATTGACTTCCGCAGGCTGCTTTGAAGCTGGATGTAGTTTGCAGTTTACACTCTGTCACTTCCACTTTATATCATTATCAGATGCCAAAAACCAATCCTTCTCGAAGTACAAGAGGAGCAGAGTTGGGGGAAGTAAGGGGGAAAATGAGACTTGACTTTTTTTTTCTTTTTTTGAGATGGAGTCTCGCTCTGTCACCCAGGCTCTAGTGCAGTGGAGCAATCTCAGCTCACTGCAACCTCTGCCTTCCGGGTTCAAGTGATTCTCCTGCCTCAGCCTCCCGAGTAGCTGGGATTACAGGTGCACGCCACCATGCCTGGCTAATTTTTGTATTTTTAGTAGAGACGGGGTTTCACCATGTTGGCCAGGCTGGAGAGACTTGACTTTTAGTAAGTAATGATGCTGAAAATTCACGTGCTAAATTAGCCACCATGAAGTTTAGTCAGCTTAATAAAAAGGTAAAAAGAAAAGGTATCTTAGAAGACATGAAAGAAGTATGAGATCCAAAAGTAAAAACAGAGTCGTGCATGTGAGGTATAGGAAAAAACTAAGAAACAGAGACTGGAAAGAAAGAACAAATAATAATCAGAAATGTTAGCAAGTAGGTTTGAGTTTCAGATCTTTCCCTAAGCGACACCCTTTAAGACTTTGATAAACTAATTTACAGTTATTTGATAATGAAAAGAACTTCCGAATGTCTAGTTATTTGAAGAGCTTTTTTAATTATAATAGGATAGAAATGCATGCTCCCCCCTTTTTCCATAAAGCATTCATTAACGTGTTAAAGGAAACGAAAGAATGATTAAAACCTAGATTTTCCTTGTGCGGCTTTTTCCTTTGATCCAGAAAAGAGCGGAAAACGTTGATGTTATTCATTTTCAAAGTCACGAACATGAACAAGTCATTCTGCATTGAATGATTTTTTCGTACTGTGTACAGTGCTAAAATCACATGCAGGTAAAATGTAAATACATGCCCACGAATGACCACATAACACCCACTCACAACTTCCACAGATATGCTGATAGCAGAATTGTCATTTAGATTGCCTACTGGATTTCCCAGAGAGGATGATCCCTTGCCTAAAGCTGTCATTTTACCTCCTCTACAGGAAATAAGCAGGATGTAGGGCCTGTTGGTTTTTGTTGGTAATGACCTCCCACAGCAACCTTTTCTGTTCTCGCAATGAGAAATCCACACAACAGCACAGAATAACGTTAAAGAGAGCCTGATGGAGGTTTGTGTGCTAGTTACTATTTGCAGCCAGTGTTAGGATCTGTGTTGTACTTAAGTCACAGGAATGTAATAAAGTTAACGTGTATCCAGTGCTTTCTATGTGCTAAGCGATGTTCAAATTGCTTCATGAGCATCCTCTCATTGAAATTTCACAGCAACACAATGGAGTCAATACCACTTTGTCCCCATTTGTTAGACGAGGAAACTGAGTGTAGCTCAGAGAAGAAATTTGCCCCAAGTCATATGCCTCGTAAGAAATGGAACCAGGATTTGAACCTGGACAACTTGCTCCAGGACTTTTCATCAGTCCTCTTTCCTGCTTCACAAGGACATGTGTGAAAATGCTCCTGAATCTATGCCACAGAGCAGTCATTCTGATTATGGACATAATGCTCCGCTTTTATAGCATTTCAGCCATTATATATTAATGGTATATTGGCTGTTCTTTTCATCTGAAAAACCTAAAACTTGACTATTGTGCTAGCTATCCTAGCTGAACAGTTTTTCATGTGTCATATTAGCAAATATGTTTTGTATTCTATCCAGGTATATCATACACTTACTTTGAAGTCTGGAATTGTGTGTTGAATACTCTGCATCTTTAGACATCTGTAGTCGTTTTTGGTTTGATTTTGCCAATATCAGATACTTCTAGGTATGAACTTATTTTCTCCATAAAGATGGATATGCCTTGTAGTTGCTATCTTGTAGGCAAGTGTCATCTGAGGCTTTCTAAAAGGCAGAGGTCCATGTGGATATCCTGGAGAGGGAATAAAATAAGCCTAGTGTGTAAACTATTACAAAATATTTAATACATAAATATATCTGAAGTTGTGATATCTGACATACAGAGTAGTCAGTAAGGAATGAACCCTGTGCTTGCAGACGGTGTGGAAATTTCAATGCTTTTTTAAAGGTCTGAGCATGTGGCCTACTATATCCATGTACATTAAGTCATTCTTAAGGGATTTTTGAGATTTCAATTTAGAGATCTAAGTTAATTGTATTCTTCAGATGCTTTTTACACCAGACCACACTATTTTCCAGAGAATAAAAATGTTCTGGCCGGGTGTGGTGGCTCACACTTTGGGAGGCCGAGGCGGGCAGATCACCTGAGGTTGGAATTCGAGACCAGCCTGGCCAACATGGTGAAACCTCGTCTCAACTAAAAATACAAAAAAATTAGCTGGGCGTGGTGGCGGACACCTGTAATCCCAGCTACTCGGGAGACTGAGGCAGGAGAATCGCTTAACCCGGGATGTGGAGGTTGCGGTGAGCCGAGATCACGCCATTGCACTCCAGCCTGGGCAACAAGAGCGAAACTCCATCTCAAAAAAAAAAAAGTGCCTACTTCTTAAGTGTTTTGAGTTATTCCAGTGTCCGTCGGTTATTTAATGATGAAAGCAATATATGAAATACCACGCGTTTCCTAATCCACCAGCACTTAGGTATGGAGTATCTGCTGTATTGGAGGAAAATACCATGTATTAGATATTGTAGGAAGAAGCTAAGAGCTTAGAGCCTGCTCTCAGCCAGTCCTTGGGTAGCTGAGGGACCAGACATACGTACGGCAAATATGGACTTATAATACTAGAGGGGCAGGTGAATCCCAAGCAAGTACCATTGTGTTTGGGGTGGCTTATTCCAGGGAAAGAAAGAAGGCATTATGTCGCAGAGTCTCATAGGAGGTGGGATTTTATCTCAAGTGTTGAAGGATTAAGTTGAACAAAATGATTGAAGGTAGAAATTCTAGCATGGGGAATGTGTGAACAGAACATTGGAATCAATATCTGTTTAGGACATGGGAAGGAGATGAACTTGACCAGAGCAGGGGTTTTCTCTAGGGAAAAATGGTATGAAATGGTATGTAAGATCTGCAGTACACATCAGAATCATGAATGTTTGTTGTTGAATATGGTTAAGGATAACTGGGGTCAGATTTTTTTTTTTTTTTTTTTTTGAGACGGAGTCTTGCTCTGTTGCCCAGGCTGGAGTGCAGTGGTGCGATCTCAGCTCACTGCAAGCTCCACCTCCTGGGTTCATGCCATTCTTCTGCCCCAGCCTCCTGAGTAGCTGGGACTACAGGTGCCCGCCACCACGGTCAGCTAATTTTTTTTGTATTTTTAGTAGAGGCGGGGGTTTCACCATGTTAGCCAGGATGGTCTTGATCTCCTGACCTCCTGATCCACCTGCCTCGGCCTCCCAAAGTGCTGGGATTACAGGCGTGAGCCACCGCGCCCGGCCAGGGTCAGATTGTTAAGTCTTGAATGGTAAGCACAGGGGTGTAGAGCAGCATTTCCTAAACTGTATTCTCTGTAGCCCAGTTAACCCACGAAGTGATTTGTGAAAATGCATTCTGTGATCACATGAGTGTAGGCAACATCATAGTCCACAAAGTGTACATGGACTTCTCACAGTCTTGAATTTGCTAATACATACTATGCATTCCCAAGGAGGTAGAATCATAGCATGCCACGTCTCTCACACTTTGAACACAGACTGCTTCCCAGAATACTCACGAACAGCTACCCTGCATGCTAGTTTTCTGTGTAATGCTGTTTGAAAAGCACTGGCTTCCATTGCTCCATGTAGGATGAAGCATTAAGAAACATTTTGGAAGAAGAGAACGATAAGAAGAAAGTATGATTATTATTGTTATTATTTTTTGAGACGAAGTCTCCCAGGCTGGAGTGCAGTGATGCGATCTCAGCTCACTGCAGCCTCCGCCTCCTGAGCTCAAGCGATTCCCCTGCCTCAGCCTCCCAAGTATCTGGGATTACAGGCGCCCACCACCACGCCCGGCTAATTTTTGTATTTTAAGTAGAGACGGGGTCTCACCATGGTGGCCAGGCTGGTTTTGAACTTCTGACCCCAAATGATCCGCCCATCTCGGCCTCCCAAAGTGCTGGGATTACAGGCATGAGCCGCTGCGCCTGGCCGGAAGTATGATTTAAGGAAAGTTTTATGTTGCTTAAATCTGCCTGCAGCTTTTTTTATTCCTGCAGGCATAGATCTAGGCCAGGGGTCCCCAACCCCTGGGCCATGGACCTGTACCAGTCTGTGGCCTGTTAGGAACCGGGACGCACAGCAGGAGATGAGGGGTGGGCGAGCATTACTGCCAGAGCTCCGCCTCCTGTCTGATCAAAGGCGGCATTAATTTCTCATAGAGCACCAACCCTATTGTGAACTGCACATGCCAGGGATCTAGGTTGCGCGCTTCTTATGATAATCTAACTAATGCCTGATGATCTGAGGTGGAACAGTTTCATTCCAAAAGCACCCCCTGACCCCCACCGCCATCCGTGGAAAAATTGTCTTTCATGAAACTGGTCCCTGGTGCCAAAAAGTTTGGGTCTGCTGATCTAAGTAGCTAAGATTTTAAAAGTACAGAGAAGTCCTAAAATTTCATGCCTTCCTAAAGCTACTGATGGGAACTAATTTCAAAGTTTGTTTTGTTGTTGTTTTGAATGCTGAGCTTCTGGCTCTTATTGTGCTCACTGACGCTGAGTTTGAAAGCCTCTTTGCAGTGGCCAGGCGCGGTGGCTCACGCCTATAATCCCGGCACTTCGGGAGGCTGAGGCGGCCAGATCACGAGGTCAGGAGATCGAGACCACCCTGGCCAACATGGTGAAACCCTGTCTCTACTAAAAATACAAAAATTAGCTAGGCGTGGTGGTGCGTGCCTGTAATCCCAGCTATTCGCAAGGCTGAGGCAGGAGAATCACTTGAACCCGGGAGTCGGAGGTTGCAGTGAGCCGAGATTGCGCCATTGCACTCCAGCCTGATGACAGAGCAAGACTCTGCCTTTAAAAAAAAAAAAATTTTTTTTTTTTGCTTGTTCATCTTAGGTATCTGTCTATATTAGGATGCTGCCCCACCTGGATGGTAATTGCTTTTGGGCATTAGCACTGTTAGAGGTGTGTGGCTGGGGAGAGAGCAATGTGGCCACCCATTTCATGCAACGCTCTCCACACCATCGTGGCATTGAACGAAGGATTCACTAGGAGCTATTGTAGCGATACACACGTGTTTGGGTTGAGGTGAGGTTCAGCCCCTCTGGCAGCTGTTGATAAAGGTTTTATTGCTGTTTCTAGCACCCTGCTCCTAAAACCCCTCTCTGACAATTTGGCCTGGTAGAACCCTTTGGACAGACCTGGTATTTGTGTTCTGTGTTGTCAGCCTCTGGATCATCACAGGATCATGGGAGATTGACTCCAAAAATTGTATCTTCCTCTACCCATATTTGAATGAGAATCATGTGGAAAGTATCGTATCTTCAAAAAATCCTTGATTGCTTTTTTCTCTGCCTTTCAATTGCTATGTTTAGGAGCATTTTCTTTAACTCTACGTTTTGAAATAAGGTGGCAAATAAATATGCCACCTTATAGATAAAATTAGACAAATAAGAACACTGGATCTAGAGAAATATTAGGAGAATCAATAATACAATTAACTGGATTCTTAGTTGTGAAGGTCTTCAATTAAAATCTGTTCTTCGCAAACACAGGTCGAACGTCAGGGTCGTGTGTTTGTGTGTGTGTGTGTGAGAGAGAGAGAGAGAGACAGACAGGCAGGCTCTCGTTCTGTCATTCAGCCTGGAGTACATTGGTGCAATCCTGGCTCACTGTAGCCTTGGTCTCTTGGGCTCAAGCAATCCTCCTACCCCAGCCTCTTGAGTAGTTGGAGCTACAGGCACACACTACCATGCCTGGTTAATTTATTTATTGTGGAGATGGAGTCTCCCCTTGCTACCCAGCGTGGTCTCAAACTCCTGGGCTTAAGCTATCCTTCTGTCTCAGCCTCCCAAAGTTCTCAGATAGCAGGTGTGAGCCACCACACCCAGCTGAAACATAAGTTTTTAATGAAAGTTGTCATGCTTACCAAGGATTAAGTGCCAAATCCCTGTGTAATTCTTTTCAACCCAGATTTAGACTAAAATTACAGAAAATGAGAGAAAAATTAGGATAGTAAGTACAAAATCCTGAAGTGATCATAATAAAAGCAAATCTGTATTTGGTTCAAATTCTAAGATAGATAAACATGAGTCTTTCAGGAGAATCGCTTAAAAAGAAAAGTTGTTCAGGAGCAGATGCTTCCAACTTTTTTTTAATACAGCTCATTTCATTTTTCTTTTGGTCACCCTAAAATGGTGAAAGGTTTCTTCATAGCCAAGTGGAATCTTTTTTATTTAAACTATTCTCAGAAAGTTTTCTGTGTATATACATGTTGCTACTCTCTTTGGACTTGTTTGTGTCTGGTCCTCTTGGAGATTTTTGAAATAATCAGAAACACTTATGTCATTGACAGTGTTTACTATCTTTGAACAATTGTTTACTTTTTTTTTTTTAACAGGTGGCATGTTGGAGCACGGGCCTGAGAAACAGTATAGCTAGGAGGGGAATTGAGTGTGAGACACTGGAATCAGGCTGCTTGGATTCTGGTCCTGGCTCCACTGTACACTAAGGCTGCAACCTTGGGTGACTTTGTCTCTCTGTGCCTTGGTTTCTCCTTAAGTAAAATGCAGTGAATAATAATAGTACCTGCTGCATAAGTTCTTTGTGAAGAGCTTAGAACAGTACCAGGTACATAATAAGTATTAAATAAGTGTTAGCCATCGTTGCTAAATAAATTAGTAACAAATAAATGTTAGCTATTGTTTTTAGATTGTATTGTTTGAAAAAGTGGCTTCTCACTTTTGGCGGGTTTTGGAAGAGGGAGAGAAAATGAGCCAGAAGGGAGGTGTAAATCTTTGTTTCTAATATGTTCACTGGAACATCTTCAACTGGAAGATAGGATTTGACTGTTATGTGTTTTCATATGTATGCAGAAGCCATGTTATTCCTCCCCTCCCCTGAGTCAATGCCAAGCTCCTGAACACTCTGTTTATGCAGCCTTGGAAACCTTCTAGCTTCATGTTCTCTACCAGAAGCTTGAAAACAACCAAAGAGAATATCGGGTTTACTCAAAACCTTGAGTGGCTCTTTGACACAGAAGCTTATAGTATTTAGCGTTCTAGGAAACCATACACGTGTATGTCAGTGTTGTTTTTTATGGTTGTCAGTGGAGGGCTAAAAATATCAGACCCTACATACATGTTGGTGACATTGGATTTTTTTTTGTCATGGTGTTAAGTGATTAAAATCAGGTTATTAGTGAACCATAATTTATTTATAGAGTCAAATTCAACAGAACTCTATTTAATGTCATTACTGACCATGAAATTGGCAGTTTGATATTTTAGGATGACTTTTGCTTGTTAGATGTTTGTCTTTGGAATGTTTTGAGAACTATGGCCCCCGTATAAGTCCGATCTTGTCTCTGAAGTATTTCCAAGTTCTTTGGTTTAGAATTTTTCCTGATGGTTTGCCACTAAAATCAAAAGCTGTGATGTGTGTTTGAGAAATTCCACAATCTTCTCAGCCCTTAGCCCCTGAATTCTTTCTCTAAATAGTTTCTCTAAACCTATATGACTTCAACTCCCATCCATAATGACTTCTAATCCATCTTCACTCTGGACTGCTCACATTTGCTCTGACCCCTCCAGAAGGTATCTCATCTGGGTTATAATACCATCCTCACCTCAAATTGAGGTGTCTTCAAAAGAGAATCCCCAAACTGGTTCTTCCTCCTTCCTCCTCAATGGCTCACTGGTGATATATTCTTATTCTTCTGCTTAGTGAGGTGTAATCCCTAGCTATTCTTCACTTTTTCCTCTCCTTTATCCTCCTTATCCCCACAGTCATTGAAACCTTTTAAATTCTTCAGTAGTACTCTTTCTCCCAACCATCTCCCTGGTCAAGAACTCATGGCTTCATGCCTATGTTAGCATAACAGCCTCCTAACCAGTCTGTATGATATGGTTATTTAGTCCCATATTCCCTTGGTAGCTTTCTGACTAACCTTCTAAAGCCTATATTTTATCTTTCACTCCTGATTCAAAACTTACAGTGGTTCTGAGGAAAGCCCAGATTCCTCCATCAGTTTGTCTTCATTTGGCCCTGCTCCTAATTTGTTCTCAGCATCTTCTACTCTGCAGCAGGAATTTCCTTTTTGTGTTTAGTGTCAAAACTACCATCACACCAGGCCCATTCTTCCTTTATTTGAATGCTTTAGAATCTCCTTCACTCTGTTTCCACTCAGGTATCTCTCTGCCATCCTTCAAGCTTCAGCTCAAGTCTTCCTGTTCTCCTTCATCTATACCTCTTCACTAGGAGACTCAGAACCTGCACTTTCTTTATCTCTCATTTCTTGCCTTGGGTGAACACATGTTACCTGTCCATTTTGATAACTCCCTAAGGGCAGGTATTATTAATATTAGGTTTCTGTGTCCCTCAGTATGATTTATATACCATAGTAGGTACTAAATAAGAGAATGTGGAGTAATCCTCTCCCAAAACTTGGGGAAGTCAACACATACACTGCTCTACTTGGGATCCAATGAGATGGCATATGAGGCAGCATTCATAGAAGGACTGTGCAAATGTAAGGCAGTGTCTTTCATTGCTGGGCACATTTGGGGTTTTTGATGATGCTGTCCTCTATTCCAGAATAGCAGTATGTGGTCAGGACTTCTCATGAGTTTCAAAGTTTAATTGGAGACAACCAAAATGTGTTTCCAATAATAGGTCATAAAAAATAAGGCTTCTATTTGCGCATATGTTTACTTGTTTATTTACATATTTTCCTAGGTCTTTTATTTCCTCACTGTGAATATATTTGTTTTTAAATGCAACAGCTGACTAGGATAAAGGTGCTGTTTTCTGGTCACCTCTGCATTGCCATGGTCTTTGTTATTGGGCCAAGAACCTTATTTATCTTAACACACACAATTGCTTAAGGATGGGGATTATATCATCATCCTTTGCATCATTGAATTACACTGTGCTGCCTTCCCACATTGTCATGCGTACCAACTATCTAATCCAGAATGTCACACGCTGCTCCCTCTAAGCCATTTCCATGTTTCAGCTAGTACCAGCCGTGAAAAATCGCAGGCAAGAGCGGGGAGCTGCCTGCATTCTCCAGTAGGGCACCACTCTACACCTAAGCTCTTTGGTAAAAGGGGATATAGAATCTATAGCTGTAAGCAAAAATGAGTCATTTTCACATCTGATTAACATACATTTTCTTCCCCAGATAAACCTGTATCTTCATTAATTTTTTTTTCCTTATCCTTTTTACCCAGGTAGTTCATATCAGTGAACATATTGGTCTTTTTTTCCTCTTTATAGGATCTGCATTTACTGCTCAACCACATCTAATTTGATGTCCTCTGCAGATTTAAAATGTGTGCCTTCTTTTCCGTCACCAAGTCATCCCTGGGTTACTACTGAACATCCTTCTCAATTCCCCCCGACCCATGGATGGCTGTTCTCCATTGTCTGTTTCACCAGATGTCCTCAAAACAAACAGACAGAAGAAGGAAGTGGCTAATGGTAAGAATTTTTTGTCCCTCTTAGAAAAATTTTAATGCATTTACTTTAAAGTGCTGGAGATGTGAGGTTTTTCTTGTAAGTAGGTAATATGAGTATAGTTCAAACATTTTGTTTTTAGGATATCAAAATTGTAGGAACCTTCATTGGGTCCTTTCATAGTGATGAATCAGAAAAAAGATGAAAGAGTACAGTACAGATAACTTTTTCAAACGTTCAAACATTTATGACATTCTTCTGGTTTCAGATCCCAATGCTCTCTACGTGTCACTCCTGGCATGACCCACCCACACACAAAACTCAATAGAGCCAGAGACAAACTCATTCTGTCTGTTTTAACACTTTTTCCTTTGAGTTTTGTGCTTCAAAGATCGTTGTTCTCATTTCTCTGCTGTCCCCTGCTCCCCAGTCACTCATTCCCTATTCAAGCAGTTTGCCATGCCTTCCAAATATTTCTCTAATTCACCCCCATTTCCCCATTCTCCTATTTGGCCCTGACCATCTCCGGCCCTGGCTGGTTCAGTCACCTTCTTACTGGGCTATCTAGTCTATCATGGACAGTCCCTACTGCTCCCACCCTTCTCAGGTGGATCTCCTTATGTTACTTTTGTTATTGACTGAAGAGTGTATTTCAAGATTTTCAGCATTTCATGCCCCATCTTTCTCTTTGCCATAATCTTCCCACACCTGTATTCCCTGATGTCTTTGATTTGGTGGTCTAGTTCTGGTCCAGTTTCTGAATCAGTGCTGATTGAGACATAGTACATGTAAACGTTTTCCATTCTCCCCTCATCTCTTCCCCTATCCAATGGGCACTTAAAATTAAAATGACTATCCTACCAGAAATTTGGTGGCCCAGTAATGACCTCTGGGTTGCTGTGTCTTTCCTGTTGTTCCCACTACTATTCAGACCCACTTTCCTTCCCCAACATGTTGTCATTTGGTGGCTTCTATTTATAGTTCTTCCAGCCACCTTGTATTAACCTAGTCTAGGATTATACCTGGGTTTCTGTTCCTAAATTTTGACTAGTTACTAAGGTTAATAATCTTGTCTTCCTCTAACGTGGCAGCTTAGACTTCAATTTATTCTTGAGAGTTGGAGTGCCTTCCATCTGAATTCTTCTTCTTTTTTTTTTTTTTTTAAGATGGGGTCTTGTTCTGTTGCCCAGGCTGGAGCACAGTGGTAAAATCATAGCTCACTGCAGGCTGGAACTCCTGGGCTCCAACAGTCCTCCTCCTTCAGCCTCCTAAGTAGCTGGGACTATAGGCGTGTACCACCATACCTGGCTAATTTTTATTTTTTGTTGAGATGAGGTCTCGCTTTGCTGCCCAAGGTGGTCTCAAACTCCTGGCCTCAAGCTACCCTCCCACCTTGGCCTCCCAAAGTGCTGGGATTATAGGCGTGAGTCACTGCCCTTGGTCTGAATGATTCTTATCAAGACTGGTGATGGTGGCATCTAAGAACAGCTGGGGGTGACTCTTTGTTCACTGTGTGTATTAATTTCCTCTGGCTGCTGTAGCAAATTACCACAAACTTGGCACCTTAAAACAACAGACATTTAGGTTTTGACAGGGCTGAGCTCCTGCCAGAGGCTCTGGGGGAGAATCTGTTCCTTCTCTCTTCCAGCTTCTGGAAACTGCTGACATCCCTTGGCTTGTGGCCTCATCACTCCAATATCTGCCCCCTCCACGGCCACATTGCCTTCCTGTCTTCCATCTGTAGTCAAATCTGCCTCTGCTTCCCTCTTAGAAGCATACATGTAATGACATTTAAGGCCCAACTAGATAATTCAAAATAATCCCCCCATCTCAAGATCTTTAATTTCATCACATCTGCAAAGTCTTTGCATAGAAGGTAACATTTACAGGTCCCAGAGATTAGGACCTGATATATTGGTGGCCATTATTCTGTGTACTACACTGTCCATCTAGGTTGGGCCTGCTACTTCTCCTGGAAGTCCCACTCTTGACCATTTCTGAGTCATGGTTCAGTGCACTATGCCTTCCTGCTTCTCTGCCTCTTTGTCTTCCTCACCTCTACCTACAGAACTGGCCTTAGCAATGCTGTCGGTTTCCCCAAGGTCTGTCTCAGGCCCAGGGGCCAGGGCTACCTCCTGTTCCTGCTGCTTCTCTTCCTGTACACTTGCCTCCTTCTCTTTTATTGAGTTGTAGAAAATACCAAGTCTCTTTTCAAAAATCTCGTCCTGTGATGCCTCCTTCCTCACAAAGACCTTGCAATCCAGGCCCTTCCGGGCTGTCTGCGTTGTGTGACACTTAACTCGGACATATGTAGACATGCCTTGAGATGTGGGCTGCCATTTATTTATCTAAAATGCCCCTTCCCCTTGCTCTATATTGGGTGAAATATTGTACATTTTGCAAGGTCTTGTTTAAGTGTCAAATTCTCTGAGACTTTCCTAAGCCCCTCCCCCTCCTCTTTTCCATACAGAATCAATTACATCTTCCCTCTGTTCTTCCTTAGCACTCTGTTTATACTTGACTCAAACCCTTCCCACATTGTGTTATACTTTATTTTGTCTCTGTCTCTCCTTGCTGGACTTTGAGGTTCATGAGAACCAGGAAAAGGATATTATTCATCTTTTTTAATTTTAACCTGACATGGAACTCACAATACATCCTTGATATAATAATAATATGTGTTTAATTAATTGATTAATTTGAATTTTAAACTTTTCATAATTCAGAATATCTTAGAATAGATGAACATTTAATACTTTTCTCCCAATTTCCTTATGGACCCAAGAGTAATTATTTTCCTTAGATGGCTATGTACAGTCAAGCATGGCTTTTGTTTCCAGTATAAATTAATTTAAAATACTGTAATTTATGCATTCTCTTCTTTACATTTTGTTCAGTGTGGGGGTTATTACCCTTACCCCTCTAGAGAGCCAATTTACTTATTTTATTTTATTTTTGAGACAGAGGCTTGCTCTGTCATCCAGGCTGGAGTGCAGTGGCTTGATCACAGCTCACTGCAGACTTGACCTCCTGCACTCAAGCAATCCTCCCACCTCAGCCTCCCGAGTAGCTGGCACCACAGGTGTGTGCCACCATGCTTGGCTAATTTTTAAAATTGTTATTGTTTGTAGAGATAGGGGTATCCTTGTGTTGCCCAGGCTGGTCTCAAACTGGGCTCAAGTGGTCCTCCCATCTCAGCTTCCCAAAGTGCTAGGATTACAGGCGTGAGCCACTCTACTTGGCCCAATTTACTTTAATATGAGATTTTTCTAAACCTTAAAGGCTACCAGTGTAATGTTGTCACTTGATTGTCTTCTTGTAGATCCAGACTTTTAAGCAGGAATTAGGAATGTTATCTGTGAAGATTGCTTCTTTTCACTTACTGGTGCTCTACTGAAACAATACTATTTTCCTCCCTTTTCCTGGGTGTTTTGTCTGAGTACATGTGAATGTCAGAGTTATTTTCCCTGCCTTGTCACTGGAATCTGCAGCCAGCCTCCCTGATTGTGAATGCATCCATGCTGTACAGCTGGCGTCTGTTTCCTATTTCTATAGCCGTGAGTCTCTCAGGGCTTTTGTAGAGAGTACGGGTGTTTTATTACATTGCATGTCTTATATGTATGAGAAACTTAAAGGGCTTTGAGGATTTTCTTTTTCGGTATCTAATCTTCTAACAGCTCTCTGAGGTAGGTAGCAGGAAGTGTTATCTCCATTTTGCAGACGTTATAACAGAGGCATAGCACAACTTGATGTAGGCCCCACAGCAAATCAAGGGCTGAGTGGAAAAGGTCTCCCTAGTCTTTCAACCTCCACTTCAATGCACTAGTTGCCAGACAAGTTAATTTTAATTTTTAAAACCTCCATCCATTTTGGTTTTGCATGAAATGTTATTGTCAGCATTCAGGTGGTAGCAGTGCTCCAGTTCTAGTACTACCTTTCCCATCTTCTGCATCCTTCTAGAATCCCTTCTTGCTTGTCACGGTCACACACACTCATAAGTGTGTCTCTCTTTTTATGTGTGTATGTATATATGTAAATAAAGAAAATAAAAATATATACTCTTTCTTTAAAAAGAGTTTCTGTACAACATTAGGTTCTGCAGAGGGGTTGTTTGGTCTGGGGACTATATGCAAATATGAGATTTCTGTATTAGCAGCATATCTGATACTTTCCAACTAGTTTTTTTTTTTTCTTGTCAATCAAACATACTATGTAGATATTAGCTGTAGGCAAGGAAAGATTTAAAAATATAACCGACATGGGCAATATAGTGAGACTCTGTCTCTACAAAAAAAATTAAAAAAATTAGCAGGGTGTGGTGGCACATGCCTGTGGTCTCAGCTACTTGGGAGGCTGATGTGGGAGGATTGCTTAAGCCTGGGAGTTGGAGGCTGCAGTGAGCTGTGATCTCACCACTGCACTCCAGCCTGGGCAACAGAACAAGACCCTGTCTCAAAATAAATTAAAAACATATATATATAACCTATGACAATGGGAAACATAAGAAGTACTATAAAACTGGATATCAGATACTATTAATAAGTGAAATAAATGTTTTTACTCAGGTAATTCCTCTATGTGACTTATGGTATCCTCAAAGTGAGCTCATACTGTAACTTTCACATAACTTTCCGTCAAATGTGAAGATTTTTTTCTTCTCTCAGGGGACAGTTAATGCCTTTTGGTAAATGTAAAACTGTACTGCGAATGTCAGTTCCTGATCAGATTTGCCTGAGTCTCTAAAGGGAACATGACAAGGGGCTTTGTGCCTGCTGTGTAGGGTGTGTGGTAAGGCGTCTTTCTTCCTTGTGGCTGAATTTGGAATGCCCCGCTCTTTCAGTAAGTGCCATTAATTACACTATTGCTCCTAGAGCACTGAACTGCTCAGCAGGGAATTTCTCCCCACTTTCTGGAGTCTCTGGGGCAGTTTCCATTCATTGCTGTGGGTGGTGGTGAGGCACAGGCTCTGCACCAGCCGCCTGGCTGGAATCCGCCTGGAGACCTCTTTGTGATTTCCCTGAGCTGGGAGAGGGGATTTGGAGCACCTGGTGGGGGGATGCAGCTTGCCACCCTCGTCTTCGTCAGCCTCTCCCCTCCACCCCCTGCACTTGGGAGCACCACCCGGCAGCAGTGTTTTTGTGCCTTGAAACCTTTTGGAGCCGCTGGAATGGAGGCCACCCAGAGCTTCTGTGAGCAGCTGTAGCTGCAGATCTCCTATTGGCCAGAGCAGAGAATGTTCTTACTTATCTCCATTGAGCATGGGTGGCCGTGATCCCTCAGGATAATGCAATTTCTCACTGTCTGGAGGTGGAAGCTATTGTCCTGCTCTCCAGCTTGTTGTTTGAAGTCTTTTTGTAAGGCTTCCGGCTTCTGCTGACTCACAGACACACACAGAAAAACTCCCTTACTGGCTTGCTCCCTCCCAAGGCTTTTGAAATGGCTAAGGAGATAACAAACCTCCCCCCTGCAAGGGGGTAATAGCTTAAATAGTAAGTAGAAAGAACTGTTTTGTACATGTCCACAAAGTCTGAGAAACTTCATCTTCCTCTTTCACTGCTCACTCCGTTTCCTTCCTTGTCCCTTACTCCCCTCTTCAAAAGTTTTGGGCTGAGCCACAGGCCTAAATGTGGTTTGCATATGATTTTTACAGAGGCACAATTCACATCTGGGGACTTTTTCAGATTAACAAGTTGAAGGATGCCATCTTTGTTTCCCCTATGGAAAATTGCCATTTCTAATGAACATTTTATGAAGAAGCCTTCTTCACTTACCTCTCCCACTTGTGATAAACTGTAATTAAAATGTATGAAGAACTTGATTCATGGTGTATGCACCTGGGCTCTTTGTGGAGTCTCTCTTAGCAATATGCCGTGAGAACAGACTGGCAGTTGATGGATTTCTAAAGCAGAAAATCAAGCTTATTCACAATAGAAGCTTATAGTTTTAAAAACCACATGGATAAGAGGACTGTAGTTTTGCAAGATTTGGCAATCATCGATGAACCCAGTAGCCACAGTGACCGAGACTGAAAATGTAGAAGGCTAGCTTTCCTTCTTAATTACTTTTAAACTACGTTAGCAAATTCTCAGGGTCAGTGTGATAGTGATAGTTTCAATGCTTGATTATAGTGATTTTTTTTCGCATAATAATTTTCTTATGTTCCCGTAGCGTAACATAGGTCTTTTTATTAATTAAGGAGAAAGAGAAAGATTGTGTAGAAAGCATTCTTATGTGGTAGCATGTGTGAACTTCTTATAATTAGCAACATGTCCTCATTGCGTACTTAGAAAAATCCAGTGATATAAATCCTCTATTTTGTGCAGTCACTATTTACCCAACTAAATCATTTAACTGATAACATTCACACCTTTCTCCATGATATTTTAGAATAATATCAATGTACAAAAATAATCTCTGTCCTTTCATTGTCATCAGTTTATGAAAATACTGCCAAAGAGTTGGAAAACAAAGTTTTCTCATGTTTTACAACACAGCTCCCCTGGGCCACTGGGCCTAATTTGTTCTTACTAATTTTCAAAAGAGACTCCATCCTTTAGCTCCCCAGAAATATACAGGCTGTCCTAAAGAAGCCGCAGCCTGATACAGAAACTCTGCCAACTTCTAGGAAATGGAAGGTTCTGGAAAGTAGATCATTTTTCCCTCTGGTAGGAACAATATAAGTTTTAGACGTGGGTGGGGGGGTGTTGTGTTTGTGTTAGACATATATGTATACAGCTGCTAGTGCAAAAATCACAAACCTTTCAGTTTCCCTAAGGCTTGTCTGCAGCCCTTGTGCCTTGAATGCAGATTGTAATAAATAGAGGCAGTCTCTGGCTGGAAATGCCGGACATCTCTGTTTGAGTTAGAGCTCTTGTTCCAGGCGTCAGGGGATTAAGACAGAGGGTTGTTTTCTAGCTTGCCCTAGAGCCCCTGGGCCTTTGCGGATTGGCGTAGTTGCCTTTCTGTGTGTGCAGAATCTTGCCTCCAGCCTCCCACAGTGTGGGGAGAGAGAATAGGGAGAAGTGAGGGAAGGGAGGTAAATTATTCAACTTCTGCAAAATGTCAGGCACTGTGCTGGGTACTGTACATATATTTCACTGAAAAGTAAGTCTTTTATAAATATGGCAATGTAGAGCTTCAGAGATGGGATTTTGGAGCCAGACCGCCGAAATCAATGATTTTGCCAGGATTCAAATGATAACTTGGCCACTTTCGAGGTATAGGACTACTTGGTGCCTCAGTTTCTCCATTTGTAAAGTGGGGATAATATCAGAACTAACCTCAATTGTTTGTTGTTGGGATTAAATTGTAAAGTACTTAGAAGCGTGCCTGGCATGCAGTGATAGATAAGTGTTACATGAAAGGAATGGAAAACAGAAGTTAATCCACTTGCCCAGTTCAACTAGCAAGTAGCTGGGGCAGGATTTGAATCTGGGTCTGTTGGCTTAAAAGAGATGATTTTTGCCTGGGGAACATGGTGAAACCTCATCTCTACAAAAAATACAAACATTATCCAGGCATAGTGATGCCCCCCTGTAGTTCCAGCAACTTGGGAGGCTGAGGTGGGAGGATGGCTTGAGGCTGGGAGGTGGAGCTTGCAGTGAGCTGTGATTGTGCCACTGCACTCTAGCCTGGGGTAACAGAGTGAGAACCTGTCTCAAAAAATAAAAATAGAGATACGATATTTTTACCTTACCATAGCACCATACTTTCTTTTCTTCCTAGCTACATTTGAGGTGGTACCTTGGAGTCAATTCTCTCCATTCCTCCCCACCTTACCTGATCAGGGGTGGTTGCTGTATCAGTCTAGTTTTCCCTTTTCCTTGCTCTTGTAGAGACATCGTAGGGCCAGGACTCAGAGCTTAAACATTTAACATCTTCTGTGCAGGCAGGTGATAATAGCTTCTTTCCCCCAAACCACTGTGGGGTTGAACTAACCATTTTAGTTGCATGGTCAATTTTTTGGGCTGGAATAAATGATCTTTTGTTCTTTCTTATAGTTATTTGATGTGTTGGTTCTTTTCTTTACTCAAAAATAGAAGCATCTAATGAGCAGCCTCGATGTCACACACTTCCTGTTGTACTCACCCAAGCAGTTGACTCTCTGCTGAGCACATTGGTAGCAGCTCATGGGCGTTTGAATGGAGGAAGAAGGCATCATATTAAATGGCTTTTCCCTGTTTTTGGACATAAAATGCCATGGGACAGCTTTTTTCTTTTTCGTGGCGGCAGGATCAAGAGTATAGAGTCTGGATTTGGAGATCTTTGACGTGTGCTTTGCTTCACCTGGCAATTTCTGCTGGGATTTCCAGTTGTAAGCCCATGTCCCTCTATCCTGCGATCCCTCTAAATGTCTGGAGTTGGCTTGAACCTGCATATCTTATGCCAACTTTCCTCTCTTAAGAAATGCTGCTAAAGAGGTAGAACATATTTACAAAGTCCTTAGCTGTGACGATGAAGAACATAACATTTGGTCTCCAGTAAGGAAAATAAAAAAGGGATTTGATTACTTTTGCCCCAGTCCCACCTAATTCACCTACACATGTCCAGTTTACTTTGGACAGGAGTTTTCATTAATGTTAAAATGTATGTAAACTGAAGTGGGGTTTTTGACTAAGGACACAGGGTCTCTAAGGCAAGACAACACTATTAATAGAATGTGGATGTGTGTGGTTTATTTTTGTTTTCAAAATGGAAATGTTTCTTCGGGGTTTTGGCATGCTCTTTGATATGTTGAAAGATGAGAAAACATCATTTGGGAAACTCAGCACTTCTACCATATTAGGAAATTTACAGTGCTTCAGATTTCACATTTAATGTTTTAATTGCCTGGTTTGGTAATAGAAAAATGTCAAGCTTCTCTCTTTCATTTGGAGTTACCACCACGTTTTTTTCCCTCTTTGCAGTGATGGGCTGTTGCCAGCTTCTACTTACTGCCCCAGTCCCAGCATGGACTGAGTATTTGCTCTGAGAAAGCAGTTCCTCACATGTCATCTGAAATGAGTATCAATGTGGACTTCTGACATACTGGTTTAGCCTTTTTTGTATGATATCACATATGCAGTTGTTTCCTGTGGTGCTTGTAAATATCCTAAATGTACAACTAAAATTGAATTGTCTTTTTGAAACTTTTAAATTGTTTTTGAACAGAGGGTGCTATTCTCAACATTACATAAAGTACAGAAGAAGTCAAAGAAAACACTGCTATTCTGATCTGAGAGCAATCTTTAGGAAAAGCCTGTACATTACAAGAGAGAGACAGACACACATGGAAACAGAGAAACACACACGCAGATCAAGGCAGAGAGAGGCAGACAGAAATGGAGACTGAGAAGGAGAGAGGAGGGTGGAGTTGTATATTCTGTGAAGTGTAGGCCTTTTGGAAAAATCAAGACCCAAAACAGAGTTGAAATTTACTCTTCTTATAAATATACCTTCCTACTGAGGAAACAATGATGAAAGAACTTCCAGAAGTAATTTTTTGCGGACAATAAAATGTGGAGGGAAAAATCCTGTACATCATCTTTACTGTCATACATTGTCACAGGATTTAGAGGGGAAATATGCTTTTATCTGGGGAATTAGGGCTCTATTGCTAAGCAGCTGAGTACAGGTATTTTCACTTTCCCTGCACAGTTATCTCCAAACAATATTTGCAAATAAAATAGTTATTTCATTTTTCAATATCCAAATATAATTTTTAACTATATAGTAAGTCATACTTAGTATAGAAAATTTGGAAAAATACAGAAAGACCTCCAGAAAAAAATAAAAATAACCTGCAATCATATAATCTAGAGGTAATTTGAATGTATTTCCTTTTAGAATGTGTTTCTATGTGCTTATGTCTATATGTATTTTTTATATAAGTGGAATCACACTGCACATACATTTTAGATTCTTCACTTCTCTCTATAACAATAAACATGTTATTTAATGGTTACATTGTAATTCTTGGTAGGACTCTATCACAATTCATTTTACCATTTCCCTATGGGTTTTCTTCTTCACTAATTACGTTGGTAGTGATCTATGGGTTAGGTTAAGAAATGCTGTAAAGAGGATCTTTGAGTGTGAATAGTTTTTCTGGATTCCTGATTATTTTATCAAGTTATG
Source organism: Homo sapiens (assembly GCF_000001405.40). Taxonomy (NCBI): domain Eukaryota; kingdom Metazoa; phylum Chordata; class Mammalia; order Primates; family Hominidae; genus Homo; species Homo sapiens. The sequence goes on from NC_000006.12 coordinate 22,030,635, forward strand.
TTTCTATATAAGAATTATTGTGTCTTTTTAAGGCCTCCTTTGCACATTGCTAAATCACTTCGCAGAAAAGTTGTATGCCTTGAACTCTAACATTTCAGATTGCTCATCTTTCTTACCTGAGACAATACTGACCCACTTTTAAGACCTCCTTCATCTAACATGAAAAATAATACTTTATTTGTTACTTTAACTTTCATTCTTTGTGAATTATTTGTTTTATTGGAACTTTTATTGTTATGTTTTATTGGTTGTTTACTTATTGGCTGCTGTAAATTCTCTACAAGCGCCTTTTCTGTATTTCTACTGGGATTTTAATGATGACTGTATAGATTAGTGTGACTTCTTATTTATTCAGGTTGTTAACTCTTGTTTGACTTACTTCCTTTTTTATACATACAGACATAAAATCTAATTTTTATCTAGTGATAAATGCTTTGTAACATCATTTTTCTTTCCTTTCCCTTATTTTTTTTTAATCTTCTCTTAATTTTTCTCCCTCTGAAATGCCCTTGAAATTTCTTTGCTTCTCAGTCTTATCTCTCCACTTCTCCACGGTCTTTTCCCCAGAATACTTTTCCAAGCTCACTTCCTGCCATGATCCCAACCAAGTCTTGCTTCATCTGGATTTCTCCACTTTTCCCCTTATGCACAGTTTTGCTTTCGGTGATTTCTATTACCTGCGGTCAACTGTGGTCTGAAAATACTAAATGGAAAATTTCAGAAATAGACAATTTGTAAGGATTAAATTGTGTGCCATCCTGAATAATGTGATGCAATCTCATGCCTTCCCATGCCGTTCCTGCTCTGGATGTGAATTATCCCTTTGCCAGAGTAGCCACTGTATACACTGCCTGTCCATTAGTCATTTGGTAGCCATCTAGCCATCAAATGGAAAAAACATAGTGCATATGGCATAGGGGTTGGTACTATGTTTCTGTTTCAGGCATTTACTGGGAGTCTTGGACCATATCCCCCGTGGATAAGGGAAGACAACTATACCTGGCAAATTCCACTTGCAGCTCTGTGTGTGTGTTTCCCTTGACATGTTATCGTGGATTCTTCTTTCTCTTTTAAGACAGAGCTGGTATGCCACCTCTTTCATACAACCTTCCTTCACTTCAGCATGTGGTGATCTGTCCTTGCTCTGTTTTCAGTGCTCATTTTGCACTTTTTGCACACTAATTTATATCTTTAGTTATACCTTCATGTGTGTATGTTTTGTCACCCTGTATAGGCTGCCAGGTCCTTGTAAGCACAGATGCTATCGCTCTCATTTCTCTGTAAGCCTTATCCTCACCTTGGGCACCGCCCAAAAATACTTAGGACAGTGCTCCATGTATGGGACAACTAGACACTTAGCAATATGTTGTTGACCGATCACTCTCGTGATACTTTACTTTTTCCATCTTATTTCTTTTTGCCTTCTGCCCCTCCCCTCCCCGCTTCCTTCTTCTTCTTTTTTTTTTTTTTTGACAGAATTTAACTCTTTTTGCCCAGGCTGGAGTGCAATGGCATGATCTTGGCTCACTGCGACCTCTGCTTCCTGGATTCAAATGATTCTCCTGCCTCAGCCTCATGAGTAGCTGGGATTATGCATGCACTACCACGCCTGGCTAATTTTGTATTTTTAGTAGAGACAGGGTTTCACCATGTTATCTAGGCTGGTCTGGAACTCCTGACCTCAGGTGATCCACCCACCTTGGCCTCCCAAAGTGCTGGGATTACAGGCATGAGCCACTGCACCTGGCCTTTTTTTTTTTTTTTTTTTTTTGGAGACAAGTTCTTGTTCTGTCACTCAGGCTAGAGTACAATGGCATGGTCATAGCTTACTACAGCCTCCATCTCCTCGGCTCAAGTGATCCTCCCACCTCAGCCTCCTTAGTAGCTGAGACTACAAGGCATGCATGACCACGCCCAGCTAATTTGTTTTCATTTTTAGTAGAGATGAGGTTTTGTTATCTTGCCCAGGCTCATCTCGAACTCCTGAGCTCATGTGATCCTCCTGCCTTGGCCTCCCAAAGTGCTGGGATTACAACATGAACCACTGTGTCCGGCCTATTGTTGGTTTTCTTACTCAGTATAAAGAATCACTTGGTACACTCACACTGGAAGCCATGTTCCCTACTTGCTCTCTTCCCTTTGAAACATTATCCTATGCCTTCTTTATAATATGCCATGTTCAACTACCAGAGAATCTTTTTTTTTTTTTTTTTAAATAATTTCAACTTTTATTTTAGATTCAGGAGGTACATGTGGAGGTTTGCTATATGGGTATATTGTGTGCTGCTGAGATTTGGGGTATGGACGATCCTGCCACCAGATAGTGAACACAGTACCTAATAGGTAGTTTTTTAGTCCGTGTCTCCTCACTCCTCCCACTCCCACCCCCACCACCAACTCTAGAAAGTCTGTGGTGTCTATTGTTCTCATCTTTATGTCCATGTATACTCAATGTTTAGCTCTCACTTATAAATGAGAACATGCAGTATTTGGTTTTCTGTTACTATGTTAATTTGATGATGATAATGGCCTCCAGCTGCATCCATACTGCTGCAAAGGATATGGTTTCATTCCTTTTTTTATGGCTGCATAGTATTCCATGGTATATATGTACCATATTTTCTTTATCCAATCCACTATTGACAGGCTCCTAGGTTGATTCCATGGCTTTACTATTGTGAACAGCACTGAGATGACCATATAAGTGCATGTGTCTTTTTGGTGAAATGATTTATGTTCCTTATTCCTTTGGGTCTATACCCAGTAATGGGACTGCTGGGTCAAATGGTAATTCTGTTTTAAATTCTTCGTGAAATCACCAAATTGCTGTCCATAGTGGCTGAATTAATTTACATTCTCACCATCAGTGTATTAGTGTTCCTTTTTCTCTGCAGCCTCACTAGCATTTCTTTTTTGTCTTTTTAATAATAGCCATTCTGACTGGTATAAGTTGGTATCTGATAGATTTGCATTTCTACGGAGAATCTTGATGTCATCAGAAACTGTTAGGCAGCTAATTTCCTCATTGTATATTTTTGTTTTCTTGGTGGCTTCATCAATGTTATTTGCTGACTTACACACTTCTTGCCTCTCACCTTCTCTGCCAAATCTCCATGCTTTATAACCCAGACTTACCCACGGTCGAGTTCTCTAGACTTGGCTCCTCTGATTGTGTGAGATCCTCCCACATTTAGGAAGGGGGAGCTGGTATTAAATATATGTGTGAAATACTTAAAGAATAAAGTGTGGAATAGTGAAATATGGGCCCTAATGCACTAGGAGATCAGAAGGAGACAGTGGGTATGAGCTGATTGACTCAAGGACAGCTTTATAGGTACAGAGGAGATTTATTATAGATATAGGAGGATGGGTAGGATCTAGATGGGGCATGAGGAAAGAGAGGGCACTTAACAATTGGAATGAGAGTAAACAAAAGCCCTAAAACCTTTATTATTAGTAATAATGCTTGGTAGAAATGAATGGGGTATATACATGGGAAATGGTATATAACAAGGATGTCTAGGTGGGCAAGAGGAGGACATAGTTATTTCTTAGAAGGAAGTCAATGGGTGCTATGCATGGCCACCGACCATGAATTTCTACAGCTGCTTGCTGGATCCTGCTGAGTGGTTTTCCTCAGGACTGCTGCTGCCCCTGTGGCAGCCATGCCAGCTTCTCTCTTCTCCCTCCTGTTTAGCCTCCCACTGGGAAGAGCTGCTATGTAGAGACTTATTAAAATTTTCTCAAAGAGTGGCAGGATGCAGTGGCTCATGCCTGTAATCCTGAGGTGGGCGGATCACCTGAGGTCAGGAGTTCGAGACCATTGTGGTCAACATGATGAAACCCCCATCTCTACTAAAAATACAAAAATTAGCCAGACATGGTGGTGCACACCTGTAGTCCCAGCTACTTGGGAGGCTGAGGCAGGAGAATCGCTTGAACCCGGGAGGCTGAGGTTGCACTGAGCCAAGATCTTTACTGCACTGTAGCCTGGGCGACAGAGTGAGACTGTGTCTCAAAAAAAAAAAAAATTTTTTTTTTCTCAAAGAATTTTTCAAACACTATCTCATTGGATGCATGTGATAATCTTGGGCTGTGCTGTTACACCAATTTGCAAGTAGGAATCTGAGGTTCTTTGAGGCTAAGGAACTTTCCTGAAGCCACAAAACTGGTAAGCAGCAGAACTGGACTGTGAGGCTCTGGCCCAGATGTGGTCGGCGCTCTTTGTGGTCAGCCAGGCCACACCAGAGGCCATTTGCCTGCTTTTCTGTTCATTCATTCATTTTTGGTAAATCTTGTCTGACCATCTACTAAGCGCTGGGTCCCAAGTTAAGACAAAGGTAAACAAGGCCCTTTTCTTGCTTTCTGTTCCAGTTGGATAGGGATCAGAAAGGCAAAGCCGGCAGTTGCAGTCTCATGTGGTAAGGGCTGTAGGGAGATGCCCAGGGTGCTATGGCTACCCCTAGGAAGGACTTTAAGGGTGAAATTGTGCCAGGGGCTAAGGCTTCCTAGAGGAAGTGATAGCAGAGCTGAGGTACCAGGAAAGATTTAAATGTTCTTTACAGAAATCTGTAACATAAAAGGCGAGGCAAGAGAGAGGAATGGTACATTTGGGGAATTAAAAGTAGTTGAATTTGCCTGGAATGCGAAGGGCAAGTTGGGGAATGGTGGAAGATGAAGCTAAGGACACCTTAGCTTAAATCTACCGAGGCCAGATCGTGTGTAGTTGTGGAAACCATGGTTAAGAGATCTTCACTGCCCAGAGCACAGTGAGGAACTGTTGGAAAGGTTGGGAGCCTGAGAGTGACTTGATCAAATTTGCAGCCTAGAAGAATTCCTCTGGTGCAGTGGGAAGGATGGGCTCACTGTTGCAACAGTTATTGCAGTCTGTTAAAGTAGAGACATTAGCTGATAGCATAAGGTGCAATAGCATAAGGTGCGATAGCGTAAGGTGCTTTTCTCTTCTTCAGTCTCTGCAGTAGCATTCTGGAGGAATCCAAAGGCCTCTTCCAGAGCAAAGCTAAAAATGGTGGAGAAGGGAGAAGCGGAATTTGCTGTCTTCCATGATTTGGTTCCAAATACACAAGCCTTGTTCTGGTTCTTTTTAACATCTGTGTGTCTCAAGTCAGGAAAATGGCTTGAAAAGCCATAATATCATCATAGCCCTAGCGTTCAGATTACCTTCTTTCAATTAGCTAACCAAGATAAACTTCGATTTCATGAAAGTTGTGTACTTTATCTCCAAGTCATGTGACTAAAAAAGCCAACTCTTTTAAAAACATACATGTTTCTACACGTTTAGAATAATTTTAAAGTATCTATCTATAGCAAATATAATTTTAAACATCCATAAAACAAAAATATAGCTCAGGATCTTTTCATTAGGGTCTGGGTTCTCAAAGAGCACGTTGCAAGGTAAAGCAAAGAACCTTAGAGAAAATGTTAAGTGCTTCTGTCAGACAGAGTTTTCTCAAGTGGCTGAATGTTTGGACTCACAGAGCTGCTTTTTTTCTACGTAAAGAAAACTCTTCTCTTGTAGACCCCTCTACATTTTTCTCATAAGCAATTCTCTTTAGAGATTACTTCTCTAATTTATCCCTCCCTTCCCCTCCAAAAAGAGAGATGAGAGATTATCTCAAGGAGCTGGCAGGACAGAATCAAAAGCAGGGGGGTGTGGGTGTGGAATAAGTCAGTGCAGACCCAGGTCCTTGCCGTCGCTGGAGATCTCTGAACTTTGCCGCCTCCCTCTTTGCTGAGGTCCCTCAGGTGGCCTCATTGTTTCTATTACCTTGGTAGAAAGCCTGTGTGAAGTCCCTGCCTGCCTGGCAGTCTCGTTGCCATGGAAACTTCCATTCCGCACACCTGATTCACACATCACGCTTGGCTAAGTCCAGACAGAGGTCACAGACTGGCATTTGCCCTTTGTTTCCCCTTCTTGTGTTTTCCAGGCACTTAAAAATGGATATAGAAAGATGAGAGGGTGGGCAGTGTTGTGTGTAAGAACGCTTTGTTGTCAACTGTAGAAGTGTGTGAGGAAAAAAAAAACCAAAAAAAAAAAAAAAAACCAAAAAAAAACCTTGTAAATGGAAGAGCAGAGCAAATGGCAAAGTGTGCATATAGTTCTAACCTTCTCGTAAGAAAGCAAAGTTTGAATCCTGTAATGTGTCTGAAAGTGACTTTTTTTCTGGATTTCTAGGTGAGATTGGAAATGGGTATAATAGATTCCAGAGTCTGCGGCTCCACAGGGAGTTTTCTGTCCCCTTTCACCAAGTTGCTCTTACACTCTAGGATTGCAATGTGGGTTCAGGTAAACCATCCCTGACAGCTGTATGTTAAGAATCAAATTCTCTGATGTTGCTTTCTATACTGCAGCTTTACTTTTACATAAAGTGTAATACTTTAGAAAGCATAAATACTTTTGAGGAAATTATCCTTCGTTAGAGGTCAATACATTTGCTGGAGTAATTTTCTGTTTACCCTCTGATTTTTTCTTCTTCCTGTGTAACTTCTTTAATATATAACTTAGAGAAAAGGACCATGTAGGAAGGCAGATTATTAAAGTTCTTGCCCAACCAGAATTTCTCTTTCTTAGGTTGAGTCGTTTTCTTTTGATTCTTGTTTATAAGGCTGAGATTTAGAGATTAAAAAAAAAAAAAAAGACTTTCCAAGGGACATGGGACACGGCATTCAGCCCTCCTAAAACATTAAGTTGGCCAGGCGCGGTGGCTCACGCCTGTAATCCCAGCACTTTGGGAGGCCGAAGCGGGTGGATCACGAGGTCAGGAGTTTAAGACCAGCCTGGCCAACATGGTGAAACCCCGTCTCTACTAAAAATACAAAAATTAGCTGGGCATGGTGGTGTGTGCCTGTAATCCCAGTTACTTGGCAGGCTAAGGCAGGAGAATCGCTTGAACCCAGGAGGTGGAGGTTGCAGTGAGCTGAGATCATGCCACTGCACTCCAGCCTGGGCTACAGAGTAGACTCTGTGTTAAAAAAAAAAAAACGCAAACAAACAAACAAAAAAACCCACATTAGGTTTCAGACATTATGTGCAGTGCAGTTATCATGTCTTGGCAGTCGGGTTAGCTCGTGAGTTTCTGTTTGCTCTTACCTCCATTGACGCTTCTGTTTCTTCTCATTTGTCAATATTCCTCCTGTTTAGATGGCCTTGATTTACAAAATATGCCCTTACTACCAGCAGTCAACCAGACCTGGGTTTCAAATCTCATCTACCTTATGTCCTTGGATAAAATTATTAGCCTCCATTGTCTCATCTGTGAAATGGCGTTAATAATACAAAACTGCTGTAAAAAAATTGTAATTTTTACAGTAGATTGCAAGATACCTGCCACACAATATCTATTGTTACTATTATCCTGTTAAATCAGTTTAGAAATAACATTTATAGCATGTGAAAGCATATGCTTGCTCTCAGTGTTACTAAGTTTGGTGTTGTTCTTGACTTTGGCCAAGGTAAGGACAGGTTGGGGCTAAGTATATGGATGGTGGATGGAAATAAATTATAATTTTTACAAAAAATAGAGCATGTACACACACATTCTCCTTGTCTTTTTTTCATTTGTGTACTCACCCTCAGTCTATTTTTTGAATCTCCCTACAAATTCAAGTGGCAAAATGAAAAGGTTGTACAAGTATTGGAAGATAAAATATTGTCATAGAGACATTTAGCGAGCAGTGGCTCTGCTCTGTCAGCATTTCCAGGCAGTCATAGAGGTACATGTGTGAATTCCCATTCTCATGACCCCAAGGCCATTCTAATCCCCCCATTCTAATCCCCTGGCTCCTCACCTCCTTCCCCTTCCTCTCACTGTTCTCACATTTTCTCCTCGTTTTTCCTCCTCTCCTCTCCTTCTCCTCCTTTTCTCCCCGTTTTCTGTTTCCTCCTCCCTCTCCCCCTCCTCCTTGTCTTTTTCTTCTTTCTTTAAAATTGTGGTAAAATATACCTGCTACAGAACTTACCATCTTAACTGTTTATACGTTTATGGTTCTGTGACATTACAAACTTCCACATTTTTTGCAACCATCACCATACTCCATCTCTTGAACTTTTGATCTTTCCAGACTGAAACGCTGTACCCATTGAACTCTGACTCCCCATGCCTGCCTCCCATCACAGCCACTGGAAACCACCATTCTACTTTCTGTCTCTATGAATTTGACTACTTTTGGTGTCTCGTATAAGTAGGGTCATATAGTATTTGTTCTTTTGTGACTGGCTCATTTCACTTAGCATAATTAGCCTTCAAGGATCATCCCTGTTGTAGCATGTATCAGAATTTCATTCCTTTTTAAGGCTGAATCATATTCAATTGTATGTATTAATATATACCACATTTTTGCTTATCCGTTTATCCATCGACAGACACTTGTGTGGCTTTCACATTTAGTATTTGTGAATAGTGCTGCTATGAACATGGGTGTACTCATATCCCTTCAAGAGCCTGCTTCAATTCTTTTGGGTACATACTCAGGAGTGGAACTACTGGATTATATGGTAATCGTATTTCTAATTTTTTGAGGAACTACCATACCGTTTTCCACAATGGCTGTACCATTTTACATTCCAACCAACAGTGCACAAGGGCTCCAGTTCTTCCACCTTTTCACCAACATTTATTTTCTGATTTTTCGATAGTAGTCATTCAAATGGGCGTGAGATGGTATCTCGAAGTTTTGATTGCATTTCCTTAGTGATTAGTGATGTTGAGCATCTTTTCATGTGCTTATTGGCCATTTGTATATCTTCTTTGGAGAAATATCTATTCAGTTCCCTTGCCTGTTTCTTAGGTTGTTTGTTTTGTTGTTGTTGAATTTTTAGGTGTTATTTGTGTATTCTGAATATGAATCCCTTATCAGAAATATGATTTGCAAATATTTTCTCCCATTCTGTGGGTGGCCTTTTTACTCTGTTGTCTTTTGATGTGCAAAATTTTAAAATTTTTAAATGAAGTCTAATTTATCTATTCTTTTCCTTTTGTTGCTTATGCCTTTGGCATCATATCCAAGAAATAACTGCCACATTCAATGACATGAAGCTTTTGTCCCATTTTCTCCTAGGAGATTTATAGATTTAGGTCTTATGCTTAGGTCTTTGTTCCATTTTGAGTTAATTTTTGTATATGGTGTTATGTAAAGTCTGACTTCATTCTTTCGCATGTGGACATTTCATTTTCCTGGCACCATTTGTTGAAAATGTTGCCCCTTCCCATTGAGTGGTCTCGGCATCCTTGTCAAAAATCATTTGACCATATATGTGAGGTTTTATTTCTGGGTTTTCTGTTCTGCTGGTGCATCTCTCTGTCTTTATGCTAGTATCACCATGTTTTGATCACTGTAGCTTTGTAGTAAGTTTTGAAGTCAGGAAGTGTGAATCCTTCAGCTTTGTTCTTTTTCAAGATTGTTTTTGGCTATTCAGGGTCCTTTGAGAGTCCCTATGGATTTTCGAATGGATTTTTCTATTTCTGCAAAAATTGTCATTGGGATTTTGATAGAGATTGCATTGAATCTACAGATTGCTTTGGGTGGTATTTATATCTTAACGGTATGAAGTTTTCTAATTCATGAACATGGTATGTGTTTTTATGTATTTATGTCTTTTTAAATTTCTTTCAGAAAGTTTTTATTGTACAAGTCTCTTAACTCCTTGATTAATTCCTAAGTATTTCATTGTTTTTGATGCTATTATAAATGGAACCATTTTTGTAATTTCCTTTTCAGATTGTTCATTGTTAGTATATATAAATGCAACTTACTTTTATATGTTGGCTTTGTATCCTGCTACTTTATTGAATTTATTATCTCTAACAATTTTTTGAGTGCGGGATCGGGGGATCTTTCGGAGATAAGATCAGATCATTTGCAAACAGAAATAGTTTTATTTTTCCTTTCCAATTTGGATGGCCTTTATTTCGTTTTCTTGCCTAATTGCTCTGGCTAGAGCTTCTTGTACCATGTTGAATAGAAGTGGTGAAAGCAGGCATCCTTGCCTTATTTCTGATCTTAGAGTAAATGCTTTTAGTCTTTCACCATTATGATGTTGGCTATGGGTTTTTTCATATATGGATTTTATTATATTGAGGTAGATTTCTTTCTAGTATGTTGAGTATTTTCAACATGAAAGGGTATTGAATTTTGTCAAGTCCTTTTTCTGAATCAACCACATTGAGATGATCATGTGGTTTTAGTCTTTCATTCTGTTAACATTATATATTATATCAATTTTTCTATGTTAAACCATCCTTGCATTTCGGGACTAAATCTCATTTGGTTGTGGTGTATAATTCTTTTAATATTCTGCTGAACTCAGATGGCTAGTATTTTGTTGACAGTTTTTACATCAGTGTTTATAAGGGATATTGGTCTATAGTTTTCTTTCTTTTTCTGGCTTTGCTATCACGGTAATACTGGCCTCATAGAATGAATTAAAAAGTGTTTTATCAGCCGGGTGCAGTGGCTCATGCCTGTAATCCCAGGACTTTGGAAGGCTGAGGTGGATGGATCACCTGAGGTCAGGAGTTCAAGACCAGCCTGGCCAACATGGTGAAACCCCATCTCTACTAAAAATACAAAAATCAGCTGGGCATGGTGGTGTGTATTGGTAGTCCCAGCTACTGAGGCAGGAGAATCACTCGAACCCAGGAGGCAGAAGCTGCAGTGAGCCAAGATTGCGCCACTGTACTCCAGCCTGGGCAACAGAGTAAGACTCAGTCTCAAAAAACAAACAAACAAACAAAACGTGTTTTATCTTCTTCAGTATTTTGAAAGAGTTTGAGAAAGATTGGTGTTAATTCTTTATTTTTATTTTTATTTTTTGAGACGGAGTTTCACTCTTGTTGTCCAGGCTGGAGTGCAATGGTGCAATCTCAGCTCATTGCAACCTCTGCCTCTCAGGTTCAAGTGATTCTCCTGCCTCAGCCTCCCAAGTAGCTGGGATTACAGGCATGTGCCACCATGCCCAGCTATTTTTTGTATTTTTTTTAGTAGAGACAGGGTTTCATCATGTTGGCCAGGCTGGTCTTAAACACCTGACCTCAGGTGATCCACCTGCCTCAGTTTCCCAAAGTGCTGGGATTATAGGTGTGAGCCACTGCGCCTGGCTTACTTCTTTAAATGTTTGGTGGAAGGTTGTGCATTTTTAAAAACAGTTTTAAAGAATATATTTAATCAGCTGAACTGAGGGAATTGTTACATTTAGGATAAAGAGAAGTTTGGAAAACTGTGGGGTTTCCAGATTCATTGTTTTATCTCCAAGTGACAATTCCCTTCTGCTCTCCCGAGTCTTTACCACAGGACTGAAGATTCAGTTTGGCCTCTGTGATGTGGCCTGGCCGACAGTCTGTTGCTCTCTCATCCTTTAGGAGTCCTGGATGATTAGTAAGCATTTTCTCACAGCAAATGATTCAGAATGAAATGTAGTTCCAGATACAAAAATTATTTCTGAAAATAACCTCACTTCTTTAAAACCATTTCTGTTATATGTTGATTTAAAAGCATTTATACTGATCTCCAGTCAACTTTCTCTTTCTCTTGGTGTTCCTTCTTCATCCCTCTCCCCACTCTCTTTCTCTCTCTTGCCTGCCCACCTGCCCGCCCCCCTCCCTTCCTCCCTCCCTCTCCTTCCCCCTCCTTCTTCCTTCCTTGCTTCCTTCCTTCCTCCCTCCCTCCCTCATGGAATACCCAGAACAATACTGTCTAATAGACATATAATATAAGCCACATGTGTAGCCATGCTAAAAAAAAAAAAATGAAGAGAATTAGGTGAAATTGATTTTAATAACACACTTTATTTAACCTAATATATCCAAAATATTATTTCAATATTTAATTAATATAAAAATTAATGAGCTATTTAACTGTATTTTTCATAGTAAGTCTGTGAAATCCACTGTTTTAAACTTGAGATACATCTCAGTTTGGACTGATCACATTTCAAGGACTCAAGAGCCACATGTGTCTAGTGACCACTGTATTAGACAGTGCAGACCTAGTGTATTTGGTACCAAGCACGTAAAGTCCAGAAAAGGGCAGCCCTCCACTTTGCTTCATGGACAGGACAGATCAATAAAGGATGAATGATGGCTGTGAGTACCTGGGGAGGAGCTGTGCATAGAGTATTAGGGAAGCCCAGAGGAGGGGGTCCAAAGGCAGACCTGTGAGCTGGGGCCTCCCTGCAACTTACTTGGCTTGTTCACTACCACTAGATCTCATTTCTTTGAACTAGTCCCCTGTGGGGAGGCAACTGAGCTGGAGTTTGGCATGGGCCCCAGTCCATCAGACATTAACTTTTTGCCTCATGTATTAAGAGAGCCACTGGCAAGTTCACATTTAATTACAGGCTCTGCTCTGGCCACAGGTTTGGGAGCTGGGATTTTGGAATCACAACCTCACTGCTTTCTGTTCTGGTCTGCCTTTCATTCCCACACACAGGATGGCTCATCTAGCTTCCTGGAGATTGCTCTCCGGCCAGGTGCACCTCCTTGCTTCTTTTTACTGCAGTGCCCAGAGGAAGATGTAAAGTATGACTGAGGGAAGGGAAGGAAGAAAACATTTTTATTTTCTTCTTTGTCTAGACACCTCCCCTACTCATCTCTGGGAGGCAGCACCAAGAGCTCTGGTTGTTAATGGAAAGGTCATCAGGTGGCCTTCTGTGGATCCACCTTGTCCCCACCCTGGCCACTGTGCCTGACCTGCTTCTCAGGGATTTAGAGAGGTAGCTAATGTGGATGGTGTGGCTCCAGCAGTTAGGCAAGTGTGTGTATATCCAGGCTCCCTGCTTGGGGAAGGGTGGTAGAGAGATGTTTACAGATATCCAGCCAGGAAGTGCAAGGGAAGAGGAGGAGCTGTTTCCACTTACCCTCCTACCTCCTTTTGGCTTTCTCTTCTGGCATTGCCTACGGCCAAAAAGGGATGGGAATTTGGCAAAGTAAAAGTATCTCATTGTACTTCCCCACCCCTCCGTCTCACCTCCCTTCTAAGACTTTTTTCTACCCAGGTCACTTAATACTCAAAGACTGCAAATTCCTTTCCTACTGCTGATGTGGAAGAAGCTTGGAAACATGTTCCTTTCCAGGAGATAAGTGATACGGCAGAAAGACGGGTCAGATGAGGCCAAGGGATTGGAGCCAGAGTCTTACCAAACTCGCAGGCAGCTTGTGACTGCGGGCATGCTGTGCTGATGGAGGAGGGGAGGCCTGGGGGCTCCATGCTGTCGGGATTCCTCCCTTGATAAACAGAGTCAAGGTGGGTAGGGGGACCTTGTGAGAGGTGTCCAGCCCTTTAGAAGATTCTATTAGCATGTGTTGGCTTGTTAAATGATCTACCCATTGAGATTGGTGGCCTGGTCCAAGGCTTTGCTTCTGATACCACTTAATCTCTTTTAATATTTGAACTCTATACTATTAACATAGATTTCTTTGGGAACTGTATGCATTTTCCACCACAGGGAATCAAATCCAGCATATAAAGATGGCAAGAATCTCAGTAATTACCTAAATTCATGAAGAAGCCAAAGTAAAAATATTTCTTCTCTTGGGAATAATAAAATAAAATAAAATAAAATAAAATAAAATAAAATAGATGAGAGCTGAATAGCTCTTCTCCTTACCCCACACTCACAAATCTCCTAAAACTCAAAATTAATGTTACAATACACATTAGCAGATAGCATTTTTATCGATAAGTGTTAAATTAAGGAGTTAACACTGAGAAATTGAAACTGATTAAGAAAATGGAAAAGGCCACAGTATTTGAATGTCACATATGCATACTTATATTGTACCGTAGATACTGAAATAAGATCATTGTTACTGGTGCAGCCTGTGGTCAAATGCATTTTTTTTCTTTTTTTTTTTTTTTAAGACAGGGTCTCTTTCTGTCGCCCACGTTGGAATGCTGAAGTACAGCAGTGCAATCATGGCTCACTGCAGCCTTGATCTCCCAGCTGCTCAAGTGATCCTCCCACTTCAGTTTCTTGAGTAGCTGGGACTACAGGCATGCAATACTGTGCCTGGCTAATTTTTTAAATCTATTTTTTTTGTAGAGACAGGTTCTCAGCTCAGGCTGGCCATATGCATTTTGACACCCCAAAATATTTTGAATTATTCTTAGTTTCAGTAGATGAGATGAGTGATCATTTGAGTTCCTTCAACAGGTCATTAGACCAGACCAGAAGCGAGCTGTGATGATAACACAGGCTGTGGGCAGGCAGGCACCATGAGGCACAGTGAGAGCACCAAGACTGTGGGCTTTGGGTTTGAATCCTGGCTCCACTACTAATCAGCCCTGTGCAAGTGACTCAGCCTCTCTTAACCTCATTTATTTTCTGTAAAAATGGGAATTGTAGATTTATATTTATGGAGATTATTAAGATAATCTGTGTAAAATACTTAGTCCACAGTACCTGACAAATATTAAATTCTGAGGAAATATTAATTGCTATTATTACTACTTCAGCTCTGAAAATGCTGTTTTCTTGACAGTAAATGGCTGTTTTGTTTATTTCTGCCAGTAGCAAAGTAATATATTGATTGTTTAATGCCTTCTTGGCCTCTTTGAAAATGTTTAAAATTATGTTTACCTTTTCTTTATATCATTGCAGGTTTTGTGTGTGTGTGTGTGTGTGTGTGTATGTGTGTGTGTGTGTGTGTGAGAGTGAGTGCGTTTTGGGAGGCCAGTAATTACCCTGTGCAGATGGAGCTGCCCAAACAGTCTTTCCCATGGCAACTGAAAAAATAAAAAATAAAAGCAAAAACTTTGAGGTTACATAATTGCCTTCAATAGACTAGGAGGAGTGTAGAGATCATGACTTTTTTTGTGGGTTTTGGTGTTCTTTTGGTGTAAGGTGTTGGGTGAAGGTACAGAGGTCCTACTGAGTAACTGAACAGGATGCTGTTGCTTGCTTTGAAGTGAATAAATTGGTCAAAAGTACAAGTGGGAGGGGAAGTTGAGGTTTAATGAAGGAGGGCCATTATTAATGTTTCCATGGTTTTAGCAGTTTAAAAGTTGGGAGTTTAAATAATGTTGTTAGTTGTGGGGAAAACAGCCCACAGACATTCAGACATAGTTGAAGTTTAGTCTTTCAGTCTTCATTTTAATCTGAAGGTAGGGAGCCGAGCCTTCTGAATCACACAGCAAAGGGATTGCTTCGTAATTTTAACAGTCTGAATTATTGCATGCTCATAATGGCATAAGATTTGCATAGCTCCACCACTCTCATCAAATCCCAATTATCTGAAGATTGTTTCTCTTGGGAGGCAAAAGAATATTATAATTTTTGGGTTTCTTTTAATCTTCCAAAATGATTTATATTCATCCCCTTAAAACCTGGGTGTAACCAAAGGCACTAGGGCCCAAAGAACAGGTGTTGTCTTTCCAGAACATCCATAAAAGGATCCCTGTATACATTCTCTTTGCACCTCTTGTGTAGGGGTTAACATGGAAGGCTTCATTATTTGACTGGAAAGTAGGTTTGACTTTCCCACTGGAGATTTGATACTCTTAGCTCCAGAACCAAGAAAGAGAAGACTATTAGACTTTCCTTGCCCACCACCCCCTCCCCAACCCTGCCAAATGTATGCTAAGCCTATATTTGTTTTATTTCCAACCAATTTGTTGGAAATAAATTGGTTATTTATTTCCTTATTGGTTTTTCTCTCCAGAGACCCAAAAGATCATATAATGCCAACTCTATGTTATTGATAATAATCTGGGCATAGGAAGAACACGGAGAGTTGAAATCCACAAATCCTCCTAAAACCCAACATTCAAAAACCTCTTCTGCTCAGCTCTTTACATGTGAGCAAAGGAAAGGAGAATGAGAGATAAGATATTAAATGAGTACACGTGGCTCAGGGCACTTGGTGTCAGAAACTCTGCGTTACAATCCAGCCTCTTCCAGTTACCTGGTGAGCACTGGGAAATTTTTGTAACTCCCTGAGTTCTCCCTTTATCATTTGTCACATGATGAAAGAACACTTTAGTCTTGTTGGTTGTTGTATTAGATGAGATACGATATATGTGACGATTTGTAAATTTTGGGGCACTCTCCATGTGGTGCTCACTACTTTGTGTCATCTGATAGAGAGGAGGAGGAAGCATATATAACTAGCAGCCTGAGTAAATATTGGTTATCGTTTACTTCCAAATTGCCAAGAATGGGCCGTAAACCAAC
Organism: Homo sapiens; assembly: GCF_000001405.40. Classification (NCBI taxonomy): domain Eukaryota; kingdom Metazoa; phylum Chordata; class Mammalia; order Primates; family Hominidae; genus Homo; species Homo sapiens. Next base: position 22,046,824 of record NC_000006.12, read on the forward strand.
AATCTGCCTTGTTTAACCTCCATCAGCTACAATTGCCTCAAGGCCCCCAAATTGCAATTGGTAAGACAAAAACAATAAATGCAAAATCCATATTTGTTTTCTTCTTCCTTAACTTTTTTCATTCATGGTGGTCAATTGAGGTTATTAACCTAACTGACCTGCAAGGATAAACAAATGAGTTTTTTTTTTTAATCCTTTCTGGGAATCCTAAATAACTAGTTTCAATTGTTGTAAGTTGTGGGAGCTGGGAATTTGTTTTCTCCCCAGTACTGGACTCTTTTACAGTGGCACACTGGGAAACCAAATTTGAAACTCAAAGGAGAAATGGAACGGTGACAGTTTCCTTTAACCTGAGCTCAGGGCTTTGGCAATAGCTCTGCTCCAGGTTTCTGTTCTATCTAGTTCTGCCTGGAACTTAGATAAAGGAAAGCTTTCTGTATCTTCCATCATCCTTGCCTTGTTCTAATGTAGCAGGAGTAAGTCTTTCCTAATAGTGTTGCTTCTTTTTTTTTTTTTTTTTGAGATGGAGTGTTGCTCTGTTGCCCAGGCTGGAATGCAGTGGCGCGATCTCGGCTCACTGCAACCTCCACCTCCCACGTTCAAGCATGTCTTCTGCCTCAGCCTCCTGAATAGCTGGGATTACAGGTACATGCCACCACACCCAGCTAATTTTTGTATTTTTAGTAGATATGGGGTTTCACCATGTTGGCAAACCATGGCTGATCACCAGTAATTCCTGACCTCGTGATCCACCCCCCTTGGCCTCCCAAAGTGCTGGGATTACAGGCGTAAGCCACTGCACCCGGCCGCTCTTTTTTTTTTTTTTTTTTTGCCTTCACTTTATTAAAGAATGAGAGTTTTCTTTTACATTTTTTCTCATTGCTCTCTCAGCTGTTTTTTGTTGAAACTAGTATGGAATGACTATTCCTTTCCTTAGTGTGTGCGCCCATGGTGCATTACACATGGCACTTCTCCCTGTAGGGGCCCCACTCTATCACAACAACCAGTGTCCTCATCTCTCCTAGGCCTTGCTCCTGGCCCAGCCCTGAGCACATACTCTGCAATATTCGAACCCTTGATCAATTCTGAAAGCAATTTATTAACTTCCAGCCGTGAGAAAGAAGTGAATTAGTGGTCAGGGTAAAAATTGTAGGCATAGTTTAAAAATTCATTCCAGTGACATAATGAAAAATTTCATCAGGAGTCAAGATTGGAGATCTCTTTTTGGCTTTGCAACTGAGTAAATGTGGTAAAGTTACTTGATGTCTATGTACTTCAGATTCTTATTTATAAAATTGGACTGAATTAACATGACTGAATTAACACAACAGCATCGTGATTCTGCGTCTTTCAGTCCCATACAACTGTCCATAGTTTAGTTGTCTGATTAGGGATTATAATATTTGCGTCTTTTGTAACCTAAAGAATATCTTATGTTATTCAAGACTGCTCATTTTCATTGACGTGCTCAATACCCAAAGCACATAGTTTTTCAAGACTGACTATTCTCCCCTCTCCTGTGAAGGAGAATGGTAAGGGCCAGTTTCCTCATGAAAGCAACTGAAGAAACTGAAGTAAACGTGTCTTTTTTTTTTTTTTTTGAGAGGGAGTCTTGCTCTGTTGCCCAGGCTGGAATACAGTGGTATGATCTCAGCTCACTGAAGCCTCTGCCTCCCACTTTCAAGCAATTCTCCTGCCTCAGCCTCCCGAGTAGCTGGGATTACAGGTGCCCGCCACCATGCCTGACTAATTTTTGTACTTTTAGTAGTAACTGGGTTTCATCATGTTGGCCAGGCTGGTCTCGAACTCCTGACCTCAGGTGATCCGCCCACCTCGGCCTCCCAAAGTGCTGGTATTACAGGTGTGAACCACCACACCTGGTCAAGACATGTCTTTTTATCATGTCTTTCATCCGATCTTTGGAAAGGAGACTCTGTAACAAACAAACAAAAAAATCTTCTAAGCTGAGTTCAAGAATAGATGTTGCTTTTGGACTCACTTCTTTTGGAAGCTTTAAAAATGGGATCATGAGATCAGAATGTATGTAGGTATTCTCTGAAGACAGAATTGTATTTGTCCTTCTAATACCCATCTCTCAAACTTAGCAAGTGTTTAGTTGCTTCTCTTTAACATAAGCCTCTGTTGGTAGTTTGTGTATTCTTTTCAGAAGAAATGTAGGAAAAAATATCTAGGGGCTTATGAAAGCCAACAAAACTATAGTTAGAAGGTAGATGTGTTCCCTTAGAAAGATTTATATGGAAACTTGTTTTCTAGAAAGATGAACAAACAATGAGCCAGACTGTCCTTGTTCTTGTTTTAAAATAAACATATTTGTAGACCTGTAACTGGCTCCTGATGAGCAATACATGAAGCCATTTAAGGCATGAAGCTTTGCATTGGTATGGAACCAACTGAATAAAACTTGTTTATAACCTTGTATACCTTTCCAACATAAACACCATTTCTGGAGTTAATCATTTTTATACTGCTTTATACCTAACATCATGTGACAGCTTTTTCTTTTACATTTTTTCTGACCTGGATTGCTAGCTAGGCATTTGTATTTTTTGATGGTGATGTTCTAGGTTATCCTTTTACATGCCAAATTGGCATAAGCCAGAATATTATATTTTATACTTGTCAAAGGACGGCACATATTATTACTATGTCATAACTAGGGCTCACTGTTTTTTTTTTTTTTTTTAAAAACTGCTTCAACTTTCCACCTATGTAGAAACAAGTATACTTTTTAAGTGAATGCTTGGATTGAGGAACCAGGAAGTGTTTTTTACTCATCAGTATTGCCTCCCACCTGAAATAGTTCATTTCCTTAGAGGATATTGTGGAGTTTAGTTATCCATGAATCTGTTTTTATGGATTGTATTGAAGAAGATGAGGAGTACCATGCATTTTTTTCTGAGAGTAAAATTGTAACTATCAGTATGATTATAGTTTACTTTTTTGGTGCATTTAGTGGGTTTCATTAAAACTGATCTTGGATTTTCACAGTATGGGAGAGTGGGTTTTTTTTTGTGGGAGATGATGTCTGCATACAGGAGATTGTATTATAAATATGATGTATCCTGGAAATTTTGGAAAGTTGGAAAGAGTGACTTGACAACTCTTACATTGAACAATGTATCTGAATCTATTAATCAAACAGATCACTATCTGACCAGAAACCCCTGTAAGAGGGAAAAAGTCTTCAGTTCTTTTCCTAAATTTTATCCGTCTATACAGATAATATTTCTGTTCCTGTTTGACATGTTATTTTCCTCATAAACAGTTTTAATGGTTCCGTGCGTCTACAGGCTAAAAAGCAGAGGCCCGGTGATCTCATCTCTACTAGTTGACTCCAATCTGTCTTTTCAATAATGGCCTCCACACCCAGTCCTTTGTCAGATGTGTACTCTGAGAGGAGGCATTCTATGAAGGGGAGGGGAGACACTAGATTTAGAAAACTCTGGGTTCAAATTCCGGTGCTTCATTTATTAGCAATGTGAATTTTGTCAAATCACATCATGCCTCTGAAACCTAGGCTCTTAAAGGGTAAAATGTGTATAAATATATTGACTTTTGTTTTCATCTGTGATACCATGTGATATCTTTTAGGGTCAGGAATGTAGTTCTATTTCTTGAACTAATTATGGTGGCTAATTTGAATTTGCAGCGTGTAAACAGGCTATTTGGAATTCAAGCATTTCTCCCTTTCCTTGTCATCTATTTAGATGGTGAATTCTTCTTTTCCTATTATTTATTATCGAAACACTTTGACCACAAGGATACTTTTTTTTTTTTTTTGAGACGGCTCGTTCTGTTGCCCAGGCTGGAGTGCAGTGGTGCGATCTTGGCTCACTGCAAGCTCTACCTCCTGGGTTCAAGTGATTTTCCTGCCTCAGCCTCCCGAGTAGCTGGGTCTACAGGCGCTTGCCACCACGCCTGGCTAATTTTTGTATTTTTAGTAGAGTCAGGGTTTCACCGTGTTGTCAGGATGTTCTCTATCTCCTGACCTTGTGATCTGCCTGCCTTGGCCTCCCAAAGTGCTGGAATTACAGGCGTGAGCCACTGTGTCTGGCCCATAAGGATACTTTTAAATATTTGGGATACAAATAAGCTATTTTAAATTTAACAAATAAAAAGGGCTACACACAAATTTTTGAGATTGGTGTCCATTCTTTAATTTTAATAAGTTGTTCAGGTATGAAGAGGAGAGAGAACATAAAATTGGATTTTTATTGGATTACTTTTATGCTCAATATAATGTTTTTTGGTCTTATCTAATCCTGTAGAAATATCTAGGAGGATGTATAATCCAGTGTTCATAGACATTGCTCACCATCTGTTTCCAAAGTGAAAAATCAGCATTCATATCGTACCTTTATTTCCCTTTGTGTGCTAAGTCCAAACTCAGGCAAAGAGGTCACTATTTGTTCTCTTTACAGCAAACTTGATCCTAACATTGCATATTCCATAATCTGTCATCTTTGTATAGTTTTGTGGTAATGATCTACTCTTACTCGGCCTCTTCACATACTTATTATGATAGATTTTCTTGATTTACCAAATAGAGAACTTATCCATTAGAAATGTTTGATTGGCTTTTTCAGAAACAAGAAGTTGTTTCGCTTTTTTAGTATTTTTTTTTTCCCCTTAGACCCAATCTAATCTAGGTGGGAGAGAAAGTAAAGAGAGTCTCTTGGAAAACTGAAGAGAGTCACAGCAAGCCCACAGAGTTACACAGGAATCAGGAGGAATAAAAATGTAAAGGTAACATGGATGAACCATCTATTAGGTGCTTTCGTACATACTGTCTCATTTTAGGTTTACCAATAGCATTAGGTATAGTGAAGATGATTGACATGGTTTGGCTGTGTCCTCACCCAAATCTTATCTTGAATTGTAGCTCCCATAATTCCCTTGTGTGGTGGGAAGGACCCACTGGGAAATAATTGAATCATGGAGGTGATTTCCCACATATTGTTCTCATGGTAGTGAATAAGTCTCACGAGATCTGATGGTTTTATAAGGGGTTTCCCCTTTCCCTTGGCTCTCATTCTCTCTTTGCCTACTGCCATGTAAGACATCCTTTGCTCTTCCTTCATCTTCTGCCATGATTGTGAGGCCTCCCCAGCCATGTGGAACTGTGAATCCATTAAACTTCTTTCTGTTATAAATTACCCAGTCTTGGGTATGTCTTTATTAGCAGTGTGAGAATGGACTAATTACAATGATTGTGATAATGACTATTGCCATTGGACAGATAAGGAAGCTGGCTCAGAGTGGCAAGTCACCTGGGCCCAAACATCTTGCTAATAAGCAGCATAGCACATTCCTTGATTACTCTGTTATATGTGGCTCTAAAAGGTTTTTTTTTGTGTGTGCATTCATATGGATGTCAGCAAAACCAATTTAAGTGTAGTTAACGGAATTATTATTTCTCATGCCTTCTATGATTTCTTGTCTGATTGGAACATAATACTCCAGGATCAGGTTTGTTATACTTCCTTCTACGACATGTGCCCCAAATGGCAGTGAGTTTATGGCAGAGATTGGCTCAGGAGAAGTATTTTCTCATCTTCTGGAATGTCCTACTAATGAAATAACTTAAAAGACAAGGACATATGAAGGTGATTCTGTAATATTAACTCTAACCATTATTAAATTCTTAATGCATGCCACATATGCTTCTATTTGCTTACCTGCATTGATTTTTCACTCTTCATAATACCGTTGTGAGGAAGGCACCTTTTTGTTTTTTTTTTTTTCATTTAAAGATGAAGAGGTTAAGGCACAAGAAGATTCATAACTTGCCAAGGTCCCAAAGCTGGTGTGGGTTCCAGTCCAGGTCCTCTGACTCCACAGCCACTCTCCAGTGCTGCTTTGGAGCCTGACACATTAGTAACTGGTGGCTCCCTAAGAGCCTTGACTTTGGCTTTAGTTGACTTAGAAAATATTTTTATGTGTGTGTATTTACTTCCAAGCCTCTCATATTTTCTCATTAATTATAAGTAGTCCACAATTTTCAAGACTGTAGTTGTAAAATATAACTCAAGGCATAGCGAGAAAGTAGATTTTAGTCATTTGGAATGGTTAGGACCAGCTCTCTGTGTACCTTTCCAGGAATTTAATGTTTCAGCTGAGCATAGTGACCCTAAATGTTTGGAGAAAGTGAGAGATTTTGTGTCTATATACATAGGTGTCCCTGTGTCATCTTTTTCTTTAGCTTGAAGCACTCAGGATGGAAAAACAAATCTTGGGAAAGATGAAAGAGTAGAACTAAAGGAAATACCACATAAGTTACAAAGGACTAGAGTTTTATGGCTGTAATTTATAATGTCCACTATCCTTGTGAAAATTACATGGGATAGTTTATCTTTTTCTATTTGGGAAGATATATTTTTTATATTTAAAAATATCTTGTCTTTAGAGTTCTTTTAAGTGTAATGATTGGAGGGCTGAGATATACAAACTAGATTATTTTCATTCTGGTCTTTTTCTTCTAGTATTTGGGGTAATTTAAATGCTTCTTCGTTCACTCACATGCTTATTCAACAGATATTTATTGAATGCCTACTATATACCAGACCCTCTGCTAGACCCTGAGGATAAAAGGTAGATAGGATGCTGAATCTGTCCTCCAAGCATTTGGATTCTGGTGGTAGAAACTGTTGTGTACCCAGTTAGCCACGGCAGTTTGAGAAGTGCTACACTAGCAGAATGAGAAGTTCTGTAAGGCCACAGAGGAGGGAGGGAGTAATTCCTCCTGTGGTTATGAACAGAAATTTGAGCTAAGTCTTTTAAAGGATGAATAATAAGGTTGGGTAGGCCAAGTGGGCAGGGAGGGCCCAAGAGACAAGGTGCTCAAATGCCTAGAATATGAAAAGGACAGAGTAACTATCATTATCTCACAGCTAGGAACACTGATCCCTGTAACTAGCTTGGCTTACCTGAGAAGGAAATGCCACCAACTCTGAGGGTTTCCCCCCGCCAGTCTTCATTTATTATTGTGTAAAATTAGAGGATGACAGCAGTGGTGGTGGTGGTGGTGGCGGCTGCTGCTGCTGCTGCTTTGTCTTCTTCCTTTTCCTGATTAGCTTGATAGATTTGGGTTAGATATAGGCATTTTCCACATCAGGCTGTAGTTCTTTATTTTTTCAACTTTTATTTGATTTTTTTTTCTTTTTTCTTTTTTTTTTTTTTTTTTGAGACAGAGTCTTGCTCTGTTGCCCAGGCTGGAGTGCATTGGTGTGATCTCGGCTCACTGCAACCTCTGCCTCCCGGGTTCAAGTGATTCTCCTGCTTCAGCCTCCCAAGTAGCTGGGATTACAGGCATGCACTACCATGCGCGGCTGATTTTTATATTTTTAGTAGAGATGGGGTTTCATCATGTTGGCTAGGCTGGTCTCCAACTCCAGACCTCAGATGATCCACCTGCCTTGGCCTCCTCCCAAAGTGCTGGGATTACAGGCGTGAGCCACTGTGCCTAGCTTCAAAAACTTTTATTTGAAATATGGGGGTACATGTGCAGATTTGTTGCATGGGAATATTGTGTGATGCTGAGGTTTGAAGTACAGATCCCATCACCCAGGTAGTGAGCATAGTAGCCAATAGGTAGTCTAACTTGTCCCATCCGTATCCAGGCTTTAACCATACTGAGAGAGTGGGAAAAAAACTGAGCTGCCTACTATGACCCAGTGGAATGGAAAGTTTTCTACCATTTTGGTTCTATGTCATTTTCATATTACTTTTTTAAGGAAATTCAATTTTTCTGCCATTCTACTAGACTGTATCTCTTTGATCACTACCTATGTGTCCAAATCACTGCTTCTCCCAACTTTTTTTGTGGGCCATCATCCATGAGCATGGTACATCCATGTGGTGACTTCCTCTGTTTGTTTAAATTTGCTCATTTAGAGTTTTATATTAGGACAGTAAAACACTCATGTCTAAATAATTTATAAGTCCTGGGAAACTCGTAAAAATGGCCTGACATGATGTTTTGTGCCTATAAGAAATCTTGCAGATGGCTAAGAGAAGAATGAAGATGTTTTGACTTACTGTCTCTTCAATTACATTATAAAAAATTCAGCGGACTTGTCCATGATCATTAGGAAAATGAATGATTTTCCTATTATAAATTACAAGTGCCACAAACTACATAAGGACTGTAATTGACAGGTATCAACTGGTAGCGTTTATTTACATTCTCCAAGGCAACCCACAGAAATGTAGTGCTCACCATATTTATTCAGAAAAATATGTTTTTAAGTAAATAAAACTTCCTTGACACTTGTTACTATAGTTAGGCAACTTAATTCCAATTGTTAACTTTCTTTAGTAAATGATAGATGAAACATGATTTTGTAAGATAAAAGAACATGGTGCCAAAACATTATATGAGCATGATGCCAAAAATACACACACACACACACACACACACACACACACACACACAACTGAATACATTGTTCATAGTGTTTTCTAATTCAGGGAAACTGGAAGATGATTTGAAAGTATTATGTTCAACTTTGTATTTATTCCAGGAAAATTTACATAAGGAGAAAATACATTAATCTTGGCATGTAATAAGAACCTACATTTTGTTATATAATTCATTTTGTGATTTACATTTCTATAATTTATTCAATAAGCCTAATAAATGTTAGGTAATGAATGAATTTAGTTTCATGAGTAAAAAATAGTACATGAATGATCTGTCATTGTACAAAACTGCTGAATTATGAATATGGTTTTTGTGAGTATTTTCTTCCCTTCCTCCTTGTCCCATCCCTATGTCCTTTCTTCTTAACCCTAACCTCCTACAACCAGAGGATAGCACGTTGAGGGAAGAAATCGTCAGAAGTTTTAATATAATTATATTCAGGATGAGAGTTCTGTTCAACACAACATCATTGGTTAATTTAGTAATTTCTAGAATGCTGCCCAGACTTGAAAATACTTTCAGTACTCATTGCTGAATATTGCTGTTCTCTGCATGTTTTTCTTCTGGGATTGAACTGGACAGGATTTTGGCTTTTTAACACATTCCAGTGGGTATAAGTATATTGGCTAGCAAAGATTCCCTTAATTGACCTGGTTTTAATAAAAAATCATCCAGTCCTCCTGCCACTAATTTTTCTCTTCTTTGAAACCACAGATTAATAACCTGGTGTTATCTCTATCACCGAGGTGAGAAATTCTGCCAAAAGTGGTTTACAAAAACAGCTTTGGGGTTGGATCTGGAGAGTGGCTATGATTTTACCAAAACTAGATCCCTGTTTTTCTTTTAAATTACATATGGACAGTTTCATCAATTAAGTTACCAAATTCATATTTTATATTCTGTTCACATATCAGGAAGCATTTAGCCCAAACAAAGTCTGTTCACATAAAAATTTCTTTTTGGATATTTTCTTCTACTCTGAGGACACATGCCTGCCTTTCCCCAGTATGTTCTCTCCTGCTCCCAGTACCTTGAGTATAGTGAGCATTCCATAAAGAGTCAGTGAATGAATCCCTTTTTCATTGTGTCTCCATTATGTAGAGTGGAAATCTGTGCTGGAACAATAGCTGGTAGATGATCTGCACCAGGGAGGCCTGGGCTAGACTTCAAAAGCTGTTTCCCCATCCCGGCAAGGCAAAACATGTTCTTTATAGGCTGGGAGGTCACAGCTCTATCCCCGTTCAAGACTGCACCTCCTTTTTTCTCTCTTCCTTCCCAGGAGCTGTGGAGTCCAAGTGTGACTGCCAAGAGGAATCCAGCAAAGCCAAAAAGCCCAAGCATGTAGCCCTGCCCGAAGCACGCCACACGCATGGAAAACCCAGAGGAAATGAGTGAGGATCAATGGGAAGAAGAGAGCCAGCCAGGTGAGCAAGCTCATCAGTCTGGAGGCTAGCGCCACTGGAAAGAGTCCCGGGCGGTTCTGTTTATTTGGCAAGTTCGGGCCATGACCTGAGCTTACACTAAATTACCTCAGAGCAAATTATTTTTTACCAAGCCACGTAAATGTTAGGTCGTCTCCCTAGAGCTTTTGGGCTGAAGACAGATGACTACATCAAAGGCTGCTCTTGAGTTTCCAGGTGTGGCTGGGGGAATTGTCTGTCTTCTTTCAGGAAAGGGTTAATTTCTAACTCTTCCCCTTTCCCTTCCTCAGGTGAATTATTTTGTTTCATGCCAATTTAAGTGTTACCTAGAGACCTTTTACGTAGAGCCAATTAATTAATTTATTTATTTTTATTTTTATTTTTTGAGACGGAGCCTCCCTCTGTCGCCCAGGCTGGAATGCGGTGGCGCAATCTCGGCTCACTGCAAGCTCCGCCTCCTGGGTTCATGCCATTCTCCTGCCTCAGCCTCCCGAGTAGCTGGGACTACAGGCGCCCGCCACCACGCCTGGCTAATTTTTTTGTATTTTTAGTAGAGATGGGGTTTCACCGTGGTCTCGATCTCCTGACCTCGTGATCTGCCCGCCTCGGCCCCCCAAAGTGCTGGGATTACAGGCGTGAGCCACCGTGCCGGGCCAAATAGAGCCAATTTAATTGAACATAGAGTCCTCTGGTTTTGGTATGAGTGGGTGTGCCTCTGTGCCTGTCTTCATAAGAGGAGGCCAAGGCTGTGTTTCTTCTTTATAAATACAAATTTCACATTACGGTCTTGTGTGGATATATTCTGAAGCATCCTCCTAGGTAAATTGAATTGGACTATGGTGAATTTTTTTTTTTTTTTTTTTGGCAGGGGGAAGGATTTTAATAATTAAATCACTGGTTGAAGGCTTGTGCAAAGTTTGGTGCTATATTAGGATTTACCAGGGTTCCACTGTGATTCTAAGTTCATTTTAAATTTCTGCCCCCTGCCTTCCTTTCCATTTATGTTAAGTGTTATTACCATGTGGAGAGAAGGTATTTTAATAACAGAATTTTACTTAAAAATGCTTCCAGCCAGGCATGGTGGCTCATGCCTGTAATCCCAGCACTGAGGCAGGAGGATGGCTTGAGCCCAGGAGTTTGAGACCAGGCTGACCACCATGGTAAAACCCTGTCTCTACAAAAAATACAGAAATTAGCCAGGCATGGTGGCATGTACCTGTAGTCTCAGCTACTCAGGAGGCTGAGGTGAGAGAATTGCTTGAGCCCAGGGAGGTTGAGGCTGCAGTGAGCTGTGCTCAAAACAAAACAAAACAAAACAAAACAGCTCCCGTTCTACCACTCCTAAAATCCATATCATATATCAAAAAAGGAAGTTTGATACCTGAAATGACTCTTGGCAGGGCTTCTCAACCTCTGTTCCCTGGTATTTGGGGCTGTATCATTCAGTGTTGTGGGGAGCTGTCCAGTGCATTGCAGAATATATAGTAGCACCCCTGGCCTCTACCCAGTAGATTCCAGTAGCATGATTCCTCTCCCCAGCTGTGGCAACCAGAAATGTTCTGTGGGGGACCAATTTGCCCCCAGTTGAAAACCATTGTTTTGGGGATTGATTCAACAAAGGAAAAGAAGGTAAAGAAAATGGTAAAGATGTCACGTATGGAGCTTTGTTTTTGTTGTTTGTTAATTTTGTCATATTACCCTGTGAATTTCCAAAGAAAGTAAATCGTAAGACAATGAGGTCTGCCACTAGAACTCCCATTTAGCCACCAGTTCTCTCTCCATTGTTGACTGGAATTTAGTTTGGATTAATACAACAATTGCAACTCACAACAAGTATTGACTTTGATGCTGTCATTATCAACTGAGGAACTCCAGGTTTTATATTAAACACGCAGAACTTTCTATGAAGTGGCCATTTTGATCACTGGGTGTTTTCACAGGGCTGGCTTATTGGGGGAAAAAGAGGGAGTGGTTGGAGAAAAAGACTCAAATAAGGCTAATGCAAGACTTTAATAACTGAATGTATGAGTTGAATGAAGAAACACGCCTACTCTACACTGTAATTCAGCAGTTTTATGAATGGGAGGTCAGATACATGATTTAAATACAGGTTTCATTGAATGCAGTATCTTTTACGGTACTAAAAAAGGTCTGGAATCCTGCATTCTTCCTGTATAGGATTGTAATTCATTCTCTCTGCTCTCACTCTCCTTCCAAATTTACTTCTACCTCTGTCATAGAATGTTTGAGCTGCCAGACAAGTAGGATCATGTCACTGCTGTGACTTAACATTAAATGTCCTGGTGTCTTTATTTCAGATGTTCTGTTTTTCCTCTATTTTCTGCTCACATGAACATACACACTTGCCAGGCACATTCTGGCTTTTCTTATTTCTCTTTCTGATTTTGCCTCCTTCCTGCCCCTGTTTTCTTCCCTTTTCTCTGGCTATAGAAACTGTCAGGTGGCCTTGCTGGCATCATCCTACCTCTTTTGAACTGTGTTACCCAGGAACTTCCATTTATTATGCCTCGAGCACTCTCTTTCTTTAATACTGTATCTCTCTGAGGGATAGTTAATGATCTTTGCAGCAAATGAAGGTGAACTGTAGCCACATTATTGTTAGAATACAGCCAACTATATGGAACAGATTGGGCTGAGCTTTGAACAGCTGGGGCTGGCAGAGTGAGTCTTGACTTCTCTCGGAAGAGTTCCAGAACTGCCAAATCATCAAACTTGAAGGGGAAAGAGGGACGAGAAAGGTTATGGGGATAGTGGTTCCTGCAGGTGCTTTTTGCTCTTGTGATCTACCTTTTTTGAAATGTTTACTAGTTTGTGGATCTGGCAAAGCATGGGCTAATTGAACCCAAGAGCTGCTGTCATTGCCACAGACTAGACCTGCTTAGTGGCCGTGGTGGTGTTTTATTGTTCATTTGCAGGTACTGAACATGGGATAAGATGGATGCTTTTGTTGTGAAAGCTTGTGGCTCTCTTCAGGCAACTAACTGAAACTATGTGTAGGTTTGAGGAGAATTTTGATCTGCAATGTGCATCGAACCCTAATATAAATTTAATAATGGCTCCATTGGAACTTTTGGACTATAATGTGGCTTCCTGGTGGATATAATAAATGAAAAATAGGCGAGGTAGGACAGATATCATAAACTGGGGGACCAGAGAGCTTAATCACTCCTTCAAAAATGTTGTGTTTGCCCTTATGAGGAGTTGTGTGTGTGTATGCACATGCATGGGTGCATGTGTGTTTAAATGACTTGCTGCCAATATTTTAAAAATGTTTATATAAACATTTGGTCAATTTTTCCAAAGAAGCCAGAATCTGACTTCACTGGTCTCCCACGGTCAATATCAGCTGTGGCTGAATAACAAGTACTCCATACCTCTCCTGGGTGGGCAGGGCAGGGACTTTCCAATTAACTAGAGTTTTCACCCTCTACTCCCACTGTTACTGCAGAGATTGGCCTTTGCAAGAAAAGTTCAGGAAAGAAAAGAGACAAGCCTTGGGATTGGGAAATAATGGGTTTGAATCTCAGCTTCATAGGCAGCTTTCTCAATTGGGGAAATTATTAAACTTTCTGAGCCTTAGTTTCCTCCTGAGTAGAGTGGGAATATACTCTGCACCTCTAATGGTTGCTGGAAGGAATATTAAGTAAAACAGCGTATTTAAAGTTTCTAAAACAACTATGTACATACACAGGAGGATTGCTGTACACATTTGCTGTTATTGTAGTTTTCAGTTGCTGTGTATCATAGGTGAGTTGATACCAACCCTTTAGTGTCCCATTGACCATGTTACAAAATTTAATAAACACTTGTGTTACTCAGAACAAAGGAGGAAACTTGTGCCTTGTCTTCCCATATTTTGGGCTTTGTTCTACAATATAAAATATATAGTTTTTCTACGGAAAAAAATCCAATAGAAACTGATTTCTTAAAGGTAGCACAATTTGAAGAGAGAAAAATCTTATAGTTTAGTTCATATTAGGTGGACTCTTCGTTTCCTTTTGACCGGGTCAAGGCTTTGTATTTTTGCATCTATACTTCTGAAGTTTCTGCCCCGCACCCCATCCCAATCACATTCAAAATCAGGCTGACAGTAATCCTGTACGTGGAACATGTGCTGAATCCTCATGGAAGGAAAGGTAAAGAAATGAAAGCCCTGTAGAAATTAATATATTTCCTTAGAGGTGGGCATGGAATGTAGCTTTTGTTAGGCTTACAATGCTGCGTTGAAGGTTTGTCAGCATTTTGTGCACACAGATTCTTTAAAACTTTTAAGGATTTTTTCCCTACATTATTGCATTCAGTTGGCATCATTTCTTTCTCTAATGTGTGACCTTTGACATCTATCAGAAAGTTTCAGTACATCTTTGGATGCCACACCAGCTGGGGGCAGGGACTACCCCGTTATTATAGTCATGGTTCAGAAATACAGGTTCTTCCCCCTATTTTTATACTTCCTGCATAGATGGGTTTCCTTTAGATGTGGATATTTCTCTTAAATGCATACTCTTGTCTCAAAATGGTGAAGGATACCAGTGTAGTAGTTTCTTCTTCTACTTCTGACAGTTACTGGGAAACTTGTGTCTTTCAATAAAATGCTTTCTAGAAGAAGGCAAGGTGGCTAGAAAATGTTAAGGCAGCTCAGGGACCAGTGGGAGAAAATAGATGTTAAAGGTAAAAAGTGACTTGTGATTAGTTCAGTTACGGAGTCCAAAAATCCAACCAGGTTTGTAGGTAACCAGTTACGTTTCAAATGTGATCTTAAGCCCACCCCGAGTGAGTGAACCTCAACATGAGAGTAGAAGACTCTGGAAGGGAAGATGTGAGAAGATAAAATACTGTTTTCAGAGCCCTAGGTTTTTGTTTGTTTGTTTGTTTGTTTGTTTGACATTTTTATGAGTGGAGGAATAGGACTACCTCTGGAACCTAAAATTGGGCTGAAATCCAGGTCCAGTTCTAGGTGATTGCTCAGGGTCCCTTCCCATTCCTTCCTCCATCTGCTCCTGCCCACTTGAGTGAAGGAGGTGAATAATAAAAGAGGAAAGAATGTGGATGAAAAGGAGAAGATGCAGAGAATGAAGATTCTCTGTCCTTTGTAAACCTTTTGTCCTAATCACCAAAAGTATTGTGGCATGTGTAAGTCTGAGAAAATATTTAGGTGAATCCCTTGAAATTGTCAGTATTTCAAGGGTTAAAAAAAGACAGTTTCACATAGTTCAAATGAAAGCAACAATTAGGTTTTTGCTAGAACTTCTCTGGGTCCACCAATGGGATGTATGGAGTGGTTTTAAAAAACCACACAAGGCTGGGCGCGGTGGCTCACGCCTGTAATCCCAGCACTTTAGGAGGCTGAGGCAGGCAGATCACCTGAGGTCAGGAGTTTGAGACCAGCCTGGCCAATGTGGGGAAACCCTGTCCCTACTAAAAATACAAAAATTAGCTGGGTGTGGTGGCACACACCTGTGATCCCAGCTACTCGGGAGGTTAAGGCGGGAGAATCGCTTGAACCCAGGAGGTGGACTTTGCAGTGAGCTGAGATGGTGCCACTGCCCTCCAGCCTGGGCAACAGAGTGAGGCTCTGTCTCAAAAATGAATAAATAAATAAAAATTTTAAAAACCACACAAGTTTTGGCATCCAACTGGATTTTTTTCCTTTTGCATATGCTTTTCTAACATATGCAGATATTTTCTTTGATTTTTCTTATAATCAGGCTTTCTTACTTTTTCTAAAATTGTAGTTATTGCCTCGAATCTCATAGCAGAGGAGTAGAGGCAACAAAAAGGAGAGCCAAGTGTGGGAGCAATTGAAGACCGTGGAGTTTTTTCAGATCATTCGCCTGGGAACTTGCATGGCAGTTGTGGGGTTCCAAAGATCCAAAATCAGGTGTTGTAACTTAGCTGACTTGAATATTTACTTTGAAAATAAGAAATGAATGTTAAAAAGTTGAAAAGTTATACACATGGGCACAATTTATTGAAACCTTTTCTTAGGGTAGATTGAACCTTGTTGAAAGTTGTGAAATTTGCTCAAATAGTCATTTTTTCTCTTTTTTTCTAGGTCTGAATGATTTCATGAATATTGTGGTAGTTTGGGCAAAGAACAAATTTGCTTAGTCAAGAAACATTAAAAGCCTCTACGAAGGCCTAGAGGTGGTGAAATCAGTGGTCCTCTGGTGGGCATGGTGTGTGTGTGTGTGCGCGCACACGCGTGTGACTCATCTGGGGTTGGCTCAGAGTGAAAGAGACAGATGCTTCCTTCGCCTGCTTGTTTCCTGGTTTTCAAAGCCCCTATTTCATTGTTGTTTTATTTTAAGGTTCGATGCCTTCTCCATCCGTCAGTGAGGGTGTGGAGAGCCTGCAGGCGTGTGCCTCCCTCTGTAACTTGCTATTCCTTGTGTAATGTCAAGTGGAAGTGTGAAGCACCACAAACTGCTCTGAGCAGAGCCCACTTCCCTTCACCCACGGAGAGCGTGAAGCAGTTACACCAACATCAATCAAGGAAAACCCACAGGCTGAGCTCACACGGTTGAAGCAGGTGCGTGAGCGAGCGTTCTGTGACAGGCACACGTGATTGAGGTGTACCTCGGCGTCTTGCCCACAGATGTCGGTTGCGATGACTGTGTGGGGCTGTGCCCATTCCCTGCAGAGCCGAGCCTGTCATGCTTGTGGGACACAGTGGGTGCAGCTCTTGGCAGCTCAGTGGGGTGAGCAGGTCAGGTAGTTCTGAAGTAGGCTTCTTTGCTGTTTACTCACTTGTTTAATGGTGAGGAGAAGAATCCAGGAGAAATAGTGTTTTATTTTCTTTCAGTGGTGTTTTGCAGTGAGAACACCCCTGGGATTACTCCTTTAAAACAGTAAACAAGAGGCCGGGTGTGGTGGCTCAGGTCTATAATACCAGCTCTTTGAGAGGCCGAAGCAGGAAGATTGTTTGAGCCCAGGAGTTCAAGATCAGCCTGGGCAACATCTCTAAAAGACACCATCTCTAAAAGAATTTTTTATTTTTTAATTTGCCTTGTGTGGTGGTGTCCCCTTGTTCTCCCAGCTACTTGGAGGCAGAGGTGGAAGGATCCCTTAAGCCTGGGAGGTCGAAACTGCAGTGAGCCATGGTTGCGCCACTGCACTCCAGCCTGGGCAACAGAGCGAGACCCTGTCTCAGAAATAAATAAATAAATGAAATAAAATAGTAAACAAGAAAACATTAGTATTAATTGATTTGCTAAGCCTAAGGGGGAAAATGTAAGGTCTTGAATCTCTGTATGTATGCATATGTGTGTATACATATCTATCAATATCTATCAAATGTGTATGTATGGAGTGGTTTTAAAAAACCACACAAGGCTGGGCGTGGTGGCTCACGCCTGTAATCCCAGCACTTTAGGAGGCTGAGGCAGGCGGATCACCTGAGGTCAGGAGTTTGAGACCAGCCTGGCCAATGTGGGGAAACTCTGTCCCTACTAAAAATACAAAAATTAGCTGGGTGTGGTGGCACACGCCTGTAATCCCAGCTACTCGGGAGGCTAAGGCAGGAGAATCGCTTGAACCCAGGAGGTGGAGTTTGCATATGTAGAGTAGACGTTTGTGTACACACATATATGTATATGTAAATATGTGTGTGCATGCATCAACACAGGCACCAATTTAAAGCAAAACTCAAGTGGGCCATGAGATAAAGAGAGAATGTCAATATCTAGACATTTAAAAATATCTGCTGACAAGGTGAAGGGGCTAGTAAAAAAATGCATATCTCATCCTAAGTCGAACCATCTTGATATGTATTGAGCTTTAGAAAATTTTCACAAAAGTTTTGAGCAATCTTAATTTTAAAAATACAGAGGCAGTTAATACTAAGACTTCAATATATATTGTGCTTTGTAAAAAGTGGCCAGTCTCTCAAGGCTGCTAATACCTGCTATTGGTTATGAGTATCTACTTTGAGCTGACACTTCAAAATGTTATACATATTATTTGCATTTACATATGTGAAACAATCACCCTTTCTTTAAGCAATGTAAAGTAAAACAAGACATATTTTTAAACTACTAAACTGACTCAGTTGGAGAATAATGATAAAAACCAGTATTACTATGGGTAAGGAAAAAAACCTGCCATTTTGGGGGAAATTTTTTGTATACTCTCTAAAGGTGATTTCACGATATGTAAAATCAAAAGCCACAAAATATTCTTACAGTTTCAGCAGTTCAGCTTCTAGGCAAATTTTTTCTCAGACTGTGATCAAATGTGTAAAAAATTTAGCTATAAGAATGCTTGATCGCAAACTTATTTATTTTTGATACATTTTGCTAGAAATGTCTAAATAATATTACAGTGGTCAAATAAATTATAGTAGAAATATGCAATAAAATACCAAGTGAGGCATTAAGCAGTGGTGTAGATTTCTCTAAGACCCTGTTTTTTTAAAAAACTAACAAATCAGTGTTTCATGCATTCAGTATGTGCAGATATATTATAAGCAGTTTGTGAGATTTATATAAATCTAAAAGTTGTTACAGCTGTGTGATTAGAGAATAATTAAATGGCTTTATTTTGCCTGTTGTTATAATTTTCTAATATTCAAGTGTATTACCTGCACATTAAATACAGAAAATGGCAAACATGGAAATAGCATATTGGGAGTATACTTGTAAGTTACCTAGAGATATTTGTGAAGACGAGGAAGGGAAAGAGGTTTCTTTCTTTTCTTTTCTTCTTTTTTTTCCTAGATGATGTCTTAGCAGAAAGTGTTAAAGACTAGTGATTGATTAATTAGTTCAACAAATATTTGTGTGCCTCTATGTGCCAGGTACTGGACAAGACTCTGGTCACATTGCTATGTACTTTTCACAGGAAAAATTGCTGAATCTGTTCTGTTTGATATTCTGCATCAATGTAGCTTTACCAGTAGAGAGTCAATAATATGAATATGAAAGTAATATGGGCATGTAAAATTATGATGTCACGGCCCAGCATGGTGGCTCATGCCTGTAATCTCAGCACTGTGGGAGGCCGAGGCAGGTGGATCACCTGAGGTTAGGAGTTCGAGACCAGCCTGACCAACATGGTGAAACGCTGTCTCTACTAAAAATATAAAAATTAGGTGGGTATGGTGGTGGGCGCCTGTAATCCTAGCTACTTGGGAGGCGGAGGCAGGAGAACTGCTTGAACCCGGGAGGCAGAGGTTTCAGTGAGCCAATATTGTGCCGTTGCACTCTAGCCTGGGTAACAAGAGTGAAACTCCATCTCAAAAAAAAAAAAAATTATGATGTCAGACTGACGTTTTGCTTCGTATTTTTACATATGCGTTTTATCTGCTTTATGCTGTTTCACATATTAAATGTGTGAAACTTTTTCTGTACTGTAGATAGTTGACACCATGAATTGTCTGGAAAGTCAAAAGCAAAAATTGAGAAGACTTGTTATAATTAATGAAAACTTTAAAGGACATTAAAAAGCTTATTTGCAAGTGCTTTGAAAAATCTGACTTTTCCATATTTTGTGAGGTTTTGGCTTTGATACTCAATCTTGGTTTAATGTTCTGCAGGTGTCCTTTGGGGAGTTAGAACAGGGTTTGCAGGGATGGGGAGATTGAGTGTGATGACTCTAGTGTCCACTCACTTGGAATGTTGAGACTCTGAGGCCTTAAATAGGAGGTTTAGATTTGGGATGTCTGACTGAAAGAGGGTTAGGATTCAGGCTGATGTGGAGATGCTCATTGAGGAGTTCAAATTCTTCTCTGAGCCCTTAAGAATCTACCCAAAGGACAGTCTTCTGATGTTCAGTCTCTTTCTCATGAAAATGATCTTAGAAGTTTAATCCTTCAAATGACCTCTTAACATGACTTCTCATACTGGTGTGAGATTAGAAAAAAAAAATTCCAGCCTGAACCATCAAGGGCTCCAAAATGAAGATTTTTTTTGAGTTTTAAAACTCTGAAAAAGTTTTTCATAAGTTATAAAAACAGAAAGGTTCTTGAGAGGAAGGGTTTGTTTTGGGTCAGTGCCAATGTGCCACAGTTGCTTTCCTTGTGTGTGTTTGTGTGTTTGTCTTTGTCTTCTGTCTGCCTGTCTGCGGGGATGATTATGGATTCTTGAACTTGGTTCTTTCTTTCCTATTGATTGGTGAAGGGAAGAAGTTAAACTTTGGATTTGGCTCTATTTCCATTGTCCATTGAATCGGGAGAGTTAGCCCATTGGTTATTCTATTGCTCTTTTGCTATGATTTTGTGGGAAAATTGTCATTTTCACTTCCCCCTTCTTCTCTCCATCCTTTCCTCTCGTTAAAACAGACATGATGCCTTTAACGAATTGCCTTGGGATAGTTTGAAGTATAAAGGGAGGAAAAAGAGATTTAGCTCTTCCTGAGACAAGCCCTGAGTAGTAAAATCAATAATTCAAGAAATCACTTGCCCTTTAAAAAACAAACAAAAAAAGACTTGTAAATAGAACAAGATTGAGAAAAACATGTCTTTAGGCAGGCTAATCTAATCACACACAGAAGGCAGCCTGTTTTCTTACTTGCTGGATCGCTTCCACTTTATATTCTCACAGGGAACAATATATTAAGTACAGTATTTAGAAATATTTGTTGAATCCTACTGTCTGATTTTGGCAAGTCCCAAGGAAAAAAAGAATATGTCTTGGACTGCTTGAGCCTTCCTGGGAGGATATTGGAGTTTTCCCAGAGAGGCTGGCTTCACACTGTGGGAAACACTGGTTTGGTAGATAACACTGTTAGAATTTATATTTCAGAGGGCATTTAGTTGTCTTCAGAGTTTTAGAGCAGCCACAGCTGATCTTCTATGTCTCAGGATCTGAAGAAACTCAAAGTATAAGCTAGGCTTTCTTTATACTGATGTAGTCATTCTCTTTTGAGGGGCACCCTAACTTGTAACTCACTGATCCTGTGTTATGGCAGCAGGCTGAGTTCACCAGCACCAAAATATCCAGTTAGTGTATCAGAAGAGAAAATGTGGGTGTCACAAATAAGAGTAGCTAAAAGATAGGACATTATAGGGTGAAAGGTCCATTGGCTGATGCCGCCTTCTCTCAGGGAATGTTAAAGTGTCAACATTTTGGCAAAATCCTAAGCTAATTTTGTTTAAATGTGATCATCACATAGCATTGACTGAGTAATTGAAATTTGTGATGGGAAATAAGGATGAAATATTTAGAAAGTATGTTATGGCCCCTTTGCTTAAGAGTATATGCTAAAATAAAAGTATCTCATTACGAGGAATGTAAGTGAAATAAATTCTTTCAGTTTAATTTTCTCAGCATGTATCTGGCATTAAGTAGTTTTTATAAATCTTATGCAAGGGCCTATCCCACAGCTCTATTCCATTGGTGGCTTAAATGTGAAGTAGGCATATCTGAAGGGTTCTTTTGCTCTGTATTATAATGTTGAGAAGTTAGTTATTGAACCTATAGCTTTTCATCTCTAGAATGGAGATAAGAGAATCATCCTCAGAGTTTAAAAAAAAAACTTTTAATTTTTAAGTAGTTTTAGATTTACAGAAATGTAGCAAAAAAAGGAAGAGTGTAGTCTTACATCCCTTGCCTGGTTCCTTTTCTTGTTACCTTATTATGTATGCTTGTCAAAAAAAATTCAACATTGGGACTTGCCTATTAAATGACTCCACAGTTTGGGTTTTTTTTTTTTTATCTTTATATTTCACTGGTTCTTCCCTAATATCCTTTTCTGTTCCAGGGTCATACTGGATACGACATTGCATTTAGTAGTCATGTCTCTTTAGATTCCTCTGAACTATGAGGGTTTTTCAGCCTTTCCTTGTTTTAATGAGCTTAACAGTTTTGAGGCGTGCTGGTCAGATATTTTGTAGAATGTCCTTCAACTGAAATTCATCTCATGATTGGACTTGGTTATGGGTTTTTTCAGAGGAAGACCACAGAGGTGAAGCACCATTCTCCACCATCATATCAAGAGTACCTATGATCACCATGACGTATCACTATAGATGTTGATCTTGATAACCTGGCTGAGGTCATGGTGCCAAGTCTCTTCACTGCAAATTTGCCTTCCCCCGACTTTTTCCCATACTGCACTCTTTGGAATGAAATTACTAAGCACATGTCATAGGGTTATTTTAAGGTTTAAGTGAGATGATGAAGCTTGTGGTATAAAACCCAGTGCTTTAGAAAACACTCATGAATGTCAGTTGCTACTGTAGTTGCTGCCTTTACACTAGTCCCTTTCAATACATGAAAGCTAGTATTCTTTAGAGCTGCTTTCTCATAATTATACAGTTCTCAGCCATTTGCTGATATTGATCAGAAAGTAAAAATAACAAAAAAGAGTGCTCACACACCTTTCAAACGAGATGCCTGTATACAAAGTCACTCTAGGATGGAAGGATACGAATTCTCTCAAAGTTTACCATGGAGAGACTCTACTAAACTGGGATTATCAGCCTCTGGTCCTGTTTCATGTGATGGAGTCAGTCATTGATGACAGAGCTGGTGGGTTCTGGTTGGTCTTGGGCATGAGAGGGAGAAAGAAAGTTTAATTTAGGAGCTGAGCCTGAAAAATTGGTGAGGTTTTTTTTTTTCTTCCTCTGGTGATAGCTTTTGGGTAGAATTTTGAGTTCTTACTGGAATAAACGATCTTCAGCACTTCTCTGTGAAATGAAGGGCTTGTTCTGGGACCTGAAATGCTTCAAACCCTGTGCAGTTGTTGCCAGAGTGGCTGTCTGAGCCTGGATAATAGAGCCTGGAGTCCTATGTAACCATGTCTGTTGGAATAAATAAGAACAGCTGGTCGCTTGTACAGATACTGTTGGCATGAATTTTTTATTTAAGTCTCTCCATGTATCTAGTAAACAGTAAGCAGTATTCTAACATTACTAAAAGCCTCCTAAGTCTCCCACCAATAAATTTCCTTCACTCTTCCCCATTAAAAGTTCAGGGAGTAGGGCAAGGTTAATGTACCAGAGAAGGAATGGTAGGGAAGTATTTCTGAGCTGGAGAAAATAAGGTTCTTCTTCTGTGTCTCTTTTCCCATTTGACCTTCTAGTTTCTCTCTCAGATAACACATTTTTTTTTTTGGACTATTTCTTGGGAAAGCAAGATTTATACGATATTCTTTTGCTGTTTCTTATGTATAAGAGAGACTTATTCGTGTTAAAATGGAATACTCTGTCCCTGAGCGCTTAATGGGAAAAAAAATTTGCATTTGTGTTAAGGGGTAGGTGAGTGGTAAAATATTCTTTTGGTTTCTTTTAAATGTCTAGCAAGGAAACTCTTCCATGTATCTTTATGAATTTTTGTCTCAGAAAGCTTACTAGAGACTAAACACTCCTTCACTGTCCTATAGAGAACCAGAGATGTACTTAAAGAACATAGATGATGTCACGCATTCATTTTTTCTGTTTTTTTTTTTTCTTTCTTTTTGTTTTTGTTTTGAGACAGAGTCTTGCTCTGTCACCCAGGCTGGAGTGCAGTGGCACGATCTCAGCTCACCGCAACCTCTGCCTCCTGGGTTCAAGCGATTCTCCTGCCTCTGCCTCCCAAGTAGCTGGGACTACAGGTGTGTGACACCATGCCCAGCTAATTTTTGTATTTTTAGTAGAGACAAGGTTTTGCCAGGCTGGTCTCAAACTCCTGGCCTCAAGTGATCCGCCGGCCTTGGCCTCCCAGAGTGCTGGGATTATAGGCCTGAGCCACCACACCCAGCCTGTTGTTATCGTTGTTTTTAAAAGCAGAAAGAAATTTCCAGCTTAACCTGCCATATTAACCCTGGGGTGCTAAGAAGTGAGACCTATCAGAGACAATTGGCCCCATTGCTCTGTTATTTCTTTCGTCAAGGAGACATTGAGTTCCCTGCACTGGGTGCTAGGAATGTAAGTAAGAAGAAGATGGGATCTGTGTACCTTAGGAATCAAATGATAGTCTTTATGTGCTCTGGTACAGGTCTGTGTGTGTGTGTGTGTGTGTGTGTGTGTTTCTTTCAAGCCTTTGTGAGACTCCTATGGCAATTAGGAAGGCTCACAGATATTCTGATGGCCTTCCTTGGGCACACTCAGCACAGTTGTACTTTCTTGCCTCCTTTAAGTCTAGGCATGACTATGAAAGTGGCTTGCCATGAAATGTGGCAGAAGTCACATGTGTCACTTCCCAGATGAAGCTTTAAGAGTTGCCATGTGATTTGCTTCATCCCCTTCCCCTTACATTGGTTGAAGCACAGGCCACGAGAGAGCCTACACAGTCTGGTCATGTGATGAGGGGCTATGATGGAAAGACCTCCCGACCGAGGTTGAACATGTCATGTAAGCAAGAATTAAGCTTCAGTTACTACAAGTCATGGGGATTTAGGTAGAGGTGGTGTGTTCCTGCAGCATTATCCAGCCTGTCCTAAGTAATGCAGTCAGCATTCTTATCTCTTTAGAGTTATAGGAATTAAGGCCTCAATGTTGGGCTGTGGAGGGGATGTTCACAGTTGTGATGGTGGCAGCAGTGGTGGAAAATCTGTACATGTGGTAGTTATTGATGCACAAAAATTGGGCATCAGTTTTTAGAGGTGTGACCTACATTT
Source organism: Homo sapiens (assembly GCF_000001405.40). NCBI lineage: Eukaryota > Metazoa > Chordata > Mammalia > Primates > Hominidae > Homo > Homo sapiens. The sequence continues at coordinate 22,071,250 of NC_000006.12, forward strand.
CAGTATCGTTGTTAAATATCTGTAGGGAGATTACATCCCTTCTGACACTGTATGTCTAATTGTCAGTGAATATCTTTATATAATGAAACATAATTCTAAAGAAGGAAAAAACTCAAAGTATGTACACACACGCACATGCACACACACACACACACACACACGCACACACACACCCTCTAGTTTATTCTCCCAAGAATTATATGAGAGATTTTAATGTTGTTCTACTGGTTGAGTGCCAGGAAGAATTTCTTGGGTGGATATAATGCTTAATTTATATTTGGGGAATTTCCACTGCTAAATCAGTGCTTGTAAAGTTTAAAAAGAAAAGAGGGGGAGGGTTGGAGAAGGGGACCAAAAAAAAAAAAAGCCCAGGGATGTGGTTGACAATATTCCTTTTAATTTAAAGCCACCTGAAGGCTTCAGCTGAATAATAAAGTAATTCCCATATGGTTTCCGTTCTTTCAGTGTTAGAACCTCTGAAATGCAGTCTACTTTTAGCCTTGGCTTCTGCATGCCTCTTTGTCAGGCTGAAATGCTTCCCGTCTGCTTGCTCTGGTAGGAAATGGAACCAAAGCCGACTGCTCTGGGGGACGAGTTCCCAGGCTTTGCTTTCTATTTGGCAAACGTGGCTCATGTGATGGGAGGCACTTCTCCTCCAGGGCACTCTTGACTCTCTGACAGACAGGACCAGCTCTGAAGGTGGCTGCAAGTTTTCATTAATGCCAGAGCTCGCTATAGGCACTTTTCTCCCTCCCTTACAATTCTGTTTACAATAAACTTTCCCTCAAAGGAAAAACCCAGGATTCATATGAGTTTCGTTGTTTTCCCTGGAAAGAAGTTTTTGTAACCCTCAGACTCTTTAGAAGGGAAAACATCCAGTAAATCCTGAAATCTGACTGCAGAGTTATTTTTCATTATTTGTACTTTCATTAATTCAAATTCCACCAAAAAACTTTTCTCTTTTTCCTGCCCTGTGTAAGTTTACTTTCCCCCCTGTGTTCATATGAGTTCATGAAATACTTAGGAAGTATATGAAAAATGTTTCAGAAACACAGTTGTGTTATATGATGCTTACCCAAATCCTGCTGAAGTAAGTGAAAAGACATTCCCTCTCCCTACCCCTTCTTTTTCTCCCCTTCTCTCTCCTAACTTTCTGTGTTCAGAGTCAATGCAAAGGGCCTTCATTTTTAATGTTAATTTTAAAAATAACTAGTTTTCTTTTGAGGTAAACTTAGGGAAAGCATATGTGTTTGGAGATATATATCTCCATATATAAATATTTACATTTACATTTACATTTGGAGCTCAAGTTTTTCATTTTATTTTTCAAACATGTTGAATTAAACTAGCTAAGGACTGGAAACCCACCATGACTATTTGCTGTGGGTTGTATGATCACTATTCTGGCTTGAATTTTTGAACTTCTACAGCAACATCTTTAAAGTGCCATGAGATAACTTTGCTGTTGCTCAAAAAGAAGCTCTTTAGGAAGTCGGAAAACAGGAATTCTGGTGCTACTTTATGGTGATAATGTCACTAACTTTGTACCTTTTTGTCCATTTAAAAAATGAGATCAATGGTGCTGGCCTTTCCACTTTTCATGTAGTTGCAAAATCATTTCTTCATGCAAGGACAATCAAAATATATGAATAACGTGGCCTGAATATTTGGAAGAAAAGTCCTGCAAAAGTGTAGGCTGATGGAAGCAGAGGAAGAACATTTTATATTGAAGAACAAAGGAATTTCAAAAGAAATGGTGTTACCAGCTCTTTCAGTTGACCAGACAAGTACCAAGTGTTTGGGACTTGTTCCCATCCCAACAAAGCCAGCATTTTGAGGAGGCCTCTCTGGCAGGGTCATTACATCAGCCAGTTTCCTCTCCATTTGAAATGAGAAAGTACATGTTAAGCACAGAGGCACTCTAAAGATGAACTCATGCCAAAATATGCCTTCATAAGCCTCCAAAGTCACTTGTGGGGTACAATGTCAGAATGAACATGATCTTATCTGGCCTATAAATTAAATGACACATTTTCTGTTTCTTGCACAATGTGTCCCTAAGTGGTGCTTCATGTGAGTTTCTAGAAATGCCTTCTGTAAACTAGACTAATATGCACATGTGCTTTTTCTTGATCTTTAATTGTTCATTACTAATATACGGACTTTGCATCAAATGTAAAGCAATCTCAACAACAGTCTCAATCAAGAGGAATGTCTCTGTGTCTTATAATTTTCCTCAACAGAAATTTTTAATGATACTACTTTTTAAAAAGCTCTCCTTCTGGTTTTCTTGGGTAATTTTACGTGGTATATTTAAAAATCTACTTCATGAGCTGAAGATACAGGCACTGTATTCTTTTCTTTAGCTCTCTGCACCATTCTACTTTCCAACATATATAAACTGTATATTTACTTCCTATTTCTAAGGTTGTTAGCAATGCTGTTCTGTAACCATTATGAAATCTCTCATGGTTCCTGTTCAGCTTGATACTAAAAATTGAAAGCCAGTAAGCAGTGTTTATGCTATATATGCAAATACTTTTCAACAAAGGGCCAGTTGGGATGCTCTGATTACATACTTTTCCAATTTCTTGACCCCTGTATCTCTCTATGAAAGGGGTCAAATGCAAGAGGCCAAATGAAGATTCTTTATTTAATTTTATCGCTGATTGAAACCATACAACAGTTAGTTTGCTTCAAACTTGACCTTCTTGCACAATTTGTTAACTCTCAAGTTTTTGATCTTTGTTTTTTCTTGCTGGGAGAAGAAATACAAGCCTTAAAAAAAGGAATTCTCTGTCTAGAGTCAATGTTGTTTTCTGTCATTAAACTTTTAGGATTGCTTTTAATCTCGGTGTTCTCAGATTTCATAATGATGTTTGGGTCTTATTAATCCTGATTGGTACTTAGAGAAATCTGGAAACTACGCCTCCCTTTGGCCCTGAGACATTTTCTCGCATTGTTTTGATATGTTTTCCCAAGGTTTTCTCTGGTCTTTCTTAATGGGACTCCTATCAGTCAGATGTTGCGTCCTCTGATTTGAGCCTCTGCGTCTCTTCTCTGTCCTTCATATTTTTCATCTTCCTGTCTTTGTCCTTATGATCTGGAAGATTTTGACTCTATCTTCTAATCCTTTCACTAATATTTTTCAGCAATCGAAATTTTGATTTCTTACCATTTGAGCTGGGAAACTCACTAGTGGGTATATATACAAAGGAATAGAAATCATTCTATTATGAAAATACATACATGTGTATGTTCATTGCACCACTGTTCACAATAGCAAAGACATGGAATCAACCCAAATGCCCATCAATGATAGACTGGATAAAGAAAATGTGGACACATACACCGTGGAATACTATGCAGCCGTAAAAAGGAATGAGATCATGTCCTTTGCAGGGACATGGATAGAGCTGGAAGCCATTATCCTCAGCAAACTAATGCAAGAACAGAAAATGAAACACCGTATGTTCTCAATTGTAAGTGAGAGCTGAACAATGAAAACACATGGACACAGGGAGGCGAACAACACACGCTGGGGTCTGTCAGGGTGGGGATGGGGGGAGTTAGAACATCAGGAAAAATAGCTAGTGCATGCTGGGCTTAATACCTAGGTGATGGGTTGATAGGTGCAGTAAACCACCATGGCACACATTTACCAGTGTAAGAAACCTGCACATCCTGCTCATGTATCCCAGAACTGAAAATAATTTTTATTTCTAAGAGCTCATTCTTGATTCCCTTATTTTTTTGACATGTGTGCTGAAGTACATTAAAACACTGGTATAAAACACTAGCACATTGCCAGGAATTGATCTGTTATAAAGATCTACATTGTAAATTCAAAATTCCTATGGGTATTTGAAGAGACAGCTAGAATTACCCTGCAGTGTCATAATTTGACCACTTAGGAAAACTATCTCAGTTGCTGATTGGCTATCTGATTTGACTTATACATTACAAATAATGAGTACCGACCAGCAGCAAGACACAGAGAGATGAAAAACATGCAGTTGTGGCCCTCAAGGAGTTTACGGTCTAGTTGTAAAAAAAAGACAACATCAGAAAATAAGAATAAAACATGTCAAATTATGCAATATGGAGTCTTACGCCAAAGAATATATGTTGTTGTTGTTGTTAGTTGAGACAGACTTTTTTTACAATATCTTTTTTCCATATTTTGGATTTTTTATTTATGAAGAGATATAGAGAGTCAAATTGTTGGATGAAGACTATTTGCTGTGGAGATATATGTCTATATTCCTTTTAGAGTGCCATTCACCATCAAGCACAAGACCAAATTTACCAAAATTTAACTCACAATAAGAAAAAATAAAACCACTGAGTAGCTTATTTGTAAAAAGTAGAATTTCATCATTTTAGTTTGGATTATTTAATTATGATTATGTTGCTTTTTATCATTCATTGCTATTGATATAAAAATCATAATATACTTATGTGCAAAAGATATTGTTTGTTTTCTCCTTCTGCTCTTCTTCCTTTCCCTCTTCTCCTTCTCCAACTTCTTCAGTCTGATTGTCCAATACTACAGGTATATAAATATAACAAGTCCAACTTGTGTCTGAATATTTTCTATACATTTTCTGCTCAGTTCTATGACCACATGGGATTGTTTCCTGGAGTGTAGTTCGATGTATATTATATATACATCATTATATATTGTCTAGAGGCAAGGTGGTATTGGTTTTATTATTTAATTAATAAATTAATTAAGGCCACCTGTTCTTAGATGGTAAGAAATCTAAATGTGGCTTTTGTTGGGTTAGGACTTGAATTGGAAAGCAGAGTGCAGTTGTTTATACTATTAAACTTTTTTTCCTGAGTGCTAATTTCTATGACTTGTTTAAAGGCTATCTGGATGTGGAACGGGAGAACCATGTATTCTTTGGATTCTTAACCTGGCGTCAGAGCAGGCCTTAATTGAGTTGACTGGTCACAGCACTACTTCTGTTTTGAAAGCTCTCTACAAAAATATACAAAGTTTAACAACTTCATTCAAAGGGAACAATAATTGGCCCTACTTACTATATCTGTTTTCATCCTAAAATTCTTCTTCAATTTTGAAATGTGGCTGTCAGTATATTTTGGCTCAAGAAAATTCATGAAGAAATATTGTACCACTGAGAATTATATCGGTCAGTTTCTCATCAATGAAAAGTTTTATTTCTTGTGTGAACTAGTCCTGAAAATGTAAATGTGTATTACTTGATATTTAGAATAAAGCTATCTGAATAGTGTTTCCAGGGTTAGAAATGAGGCTGCAGAGTGAGCCGAGATCGCGCCACTGCACTCCAGCCTGGGCAAAAAAGCGAGACTCCATCTCAAAAAAAAAAAAAAAAAAAAAAAAGAAATGAGGCTGTAGATAGAGTAGTAGCAGGACAAAGACTCCATTGTGGCTGAGTATTTATAGTTGGCCTGTTATGCTATAATATTTATATTTTTATCATATTTAAAATGTACACTTTTGGGTTTTTTTTTGAGGCAGAGTCTCGCTGTATTGCCTAGGCCCAAGTGCAGCGGCATGATCTCAGCTCACTGCAACCTCCGTCTCCCGGGCCCAAGCTATCCTCCTACCTCAGGGAAGCAAGTAGATGGGACTACAGGCATGCACCACTACTCCCAGATAATTTTGGGGTTTTTTTTTGTAGAGGTGGGGTTTTGCCATGTTGCCCAGGCTCCTGGGCTGATGTGATCCACCTGCCTCAGTCTCCCAAAAGTGCTAGGATTACAGGTGTGAGCCACTGCGCCTAACCTTAAAATGTATACTTAAGAGAGAAAAATAACTTTATCTATTTGATCCAGTAAAATTACCCTAAGCTTTCAGGTAATTAATCTTTAAACACTTTGCTGATGTCAAAGCCCAAGGTGAAGGTATTTTCTTGAATATTATGGTATTGCCTCTGGTGGTTAAGAGTCGTTTGTTGCAGACAGTAAGAGGCACGGAGACAAATTTAATTTTAGTTTTACTTTTTAGAAAAAGAAAAATAGAAGTATTTGTTCAGGTACAGTATAAATGTAGAATATATATATGTGTATATATTCACACAAACATACACACATGAAATATTTCTTTGTTTAAAGCAATCAATACAACGTAAGACTCCAACACTTTGTGTAAACATGTTCCTGTACTACATGAAAGTTCCTATCTCAGTATTTATAGTATGATGTTGATAAATTGCATGATTTTTTTTTTCTGATTGGTGGTAATAAATGACAGTGATTTATCACTTAACTTTTCAGGTGAGTTCAAACAGTTGCCTAGGCTGATAAGCAACTAAAATATTTAACAGAAAAGCAGACCTTTCTGTTTTCCCAGAAGCATATGTCCAGATATTAGCAATAGGATATGAAGAAGGGGAAAGAAAATTGTAAAAGGGTTGTTCTGAGAGCAGTCCGTACAGTCAGAGCTGCAATAAGAGCTCGTTTTCATGCCCAGCTGTGTGTCTGCTCTGTCAGCAGCGTTAGAGTCTTGATCTTTATCAGGTTACTGCTGCTGATGTCTACATTTTCATTTACCTTGGCTGCCATTTAATAATAATAATAATAATAATAATAATAATAATACGACAAATGATTAAGGCAGAGCTAGGAGTGGACCCGAGAACGCATGTCTCGTTATATGTCTATTACATCTCCTGTGACATCTATGATGGGGCATAGTCTTAATTTTACCAAGCCAGATTCCTATTTTTTGGTTTTCTAAGTTTTTCTAGCTTTTAATAAGTTTTTGGAATTATGAAAACGATGAAAACTCTGAAGTCTCATTTCTAGAAATTGTTCATTTTCAAACTGTGTTCTAAGGAGTGTTAAGGACACAGTTGCCTCTGATGCCATGGAGAACAGGGGTCAGAGAAGGGGAAGTTAACATCTCTCTGGGTTCCTCAGGAAAAGAAGACTTTATCAAAGACTTCTATTTATATATTGGAGTTCGATAAGATTTCTTATAGAAAAAATAGCTTTTGAATAAAGTTTGAAGACCAATGGTCTAAGCCATCATAACTGCGGAAATGTCTTTCTTCAGTATCCCTGCTTGGACAGTGGTTTTGCCCCCATTGTGCACAACACTTTTCCAAAAAGCCTTTCAACATTAATTATGGCTGGAGCTGACTGCTTTCCTCAGACCATCATGCTTCTCCTAATACAATAAATGTTTCTCTTGCTGGGCAGGTGGATGATTGGATTGATGAATGGATGCATAGGGATGGGCAGGAAGGAAGGGAGAGAGGGCATGCATTTATCTCCATGTGTCTGATCTTCTATGTCCAGACATTTTTTTAAAATTATTTGATTATATTTCTTATCACTTAGGGTAGGAACCATATCTTGCCTGCATTTTTTCTAGCTCATATGCGGTTAGAGAAACAGTGAACTGCCTACTCACTCTTTCATGTATTTTGGGGGCCAGATATCCTTCTAGGTGCTAAGGATACAGCAGCAAGCAAAACAGACAAAAATGCCTGTTCTGGTGGAGTTTAGTTGGAGGAAAAAGAGTAAACAGAGAAGTGAATTTTATGGTAGGCCAGTTACTGATCAGTGCTACAGAGAAATACAAAGCAGCAAAGGGGAGGAGGCAGCTATTTTGTATACAGCAATCACTGATACTTGCACAAGGACCTGAAGGAGGTGAAGGAGGGGACCTGGGAGCCATAAGGAGAAAGACTTTGAAGTACGTGCTTGTTTGGCATATTCTAGGACCAGCAAGGAGACCCCCTGGGGCAGGGCAGGAAGCGCCAGAAGCTGATTGCTATGAGGTCTGACTGTTTTTCCTTGTTCACTCTAAGCTGGGAAGACAGTCACGAAGTTTGAGCAGAGCAAAGACGTGATCCGACTTAAAAGAACCACTCTTACTTTAGTGTTAACCATGGACCAGGCATCAGAAACCTTTTTATGTAAAGGTCCAGATAGTAAATATTTTAGGCTTTACAGGCTATATGATCTCTTTCACAACTACTCAACTCTGCTATTTTAGTACAGAAGCAGCCATAGACAATATGGAAGTGAAAGGCTACGGCTGTGTTCCAATAAAACTTTATTTTTTATAAAACAGGTGTCAGGCTGGATTTGGTTCCCATGCCACAGTTTGCCAACCACTAAACTAGACCATTTGCCAAGTGGTTTTGAATTGTGGCTATGAGTGCGTAATTATTTTGTCTGTATCACTTGTCAGCCAAAACACACCCCAAACAGTCTACCATCTATTGATAATTTTTATGTGTAATGCCCTATTTACACAATTCATCTGTTACCACCTCAAAGCCGTAGATGTAATTTAATAAGTTGATGCTTTTAAAAGACTTGTCTATTAGAAAGAAAGTTAGCCATTCATAGTTTCTTCATATCAAAGTTCCCATATCACTTTGAGGAATGGAATATCCAGGACAAGGACTGTGTTCCCTGTAATGATTGTTGTGAGTTCTGCTTACTCTTCTCTACTTTTTTCTCTGACTGGGCTAGCCCAGTGCAGTCCAAGAGAAATGTAACATGGGTCTCAAGTGCAAACCATATCAAGAAGTTTAAAACTTCTAGGAGCCACATAAAAAATGCAAAAAGAAACAAGGGAAATTAATTTTAATAATGTTTCGTTTAAACCAAAATATTTCAGTACGTCATCAATATAAAATTACCGAGATATTTTACATTCCATATCTTGTACGAAGTCTGAATTCTGGTGTGTATTTTGCAATGTAGACTAGTCACATGTCAAACCCTCACTCCGTGGCCACATGTGGCTCTTGGCAGAGATCTACAGGATTGGAGAAGGCTCAGAATTTGGCCTTCCCTGATGAATGGCCTTTTGTAAAAACAGTAGCAACACTAATAACCCAGCAATAATCTTTAAGCTAATTTGTGAAACTAATTTACTTTTTCTTTGAAAGAGATTACAGGTATGGACCACTTTACAAGCACTGAGATTATTATTATTGCTGTCTTCCAGTTACTCAACAATGATGAACAGCAAAGTATGATATAAGGAGGACTTCTAATATTCAATAGAGTTTTCTTTTCTTGTCTTTGTTTAAGTTTCTTTTTTTTTTTTTTTTTTTTTTTGAGATGGAGTTTCACTCTGCCACCCAGGCTGGAGTGCAATGGTATGATCTTGGCTCACTGCAACCTCCACCTCCTGGGTTCAAGCAATTTTCCTGCCTCAGCTTCCCAAGGAGCTGGGATTACAGGTGCCCACCATGCCCGGCTAATTTTTTTGTATTTTTAGTAGAGACGGGGTTTCACCATGTTGGCCAAGCTGATCTCAAACTTGTGACCTCAGGTGATCCACCTGCCTCGGCCTCCCAAAGTGCTGGGATTATAGGCGTGAGCTACCGTGCCTGGCCTAAATTTCTCATGTGCTTACTAGGTAACTGGTTACAAATATAAAAATTGCAAAATCAGCTCACTAGTGATTCTCTCACCCTCACCCCCAGCTCAATAACTGGCTCTAGAGTCATTTGGCAAGACTTTAGAACTGCACGGATTGCACCTTCTCCCCCTTCAGGGAGAATCTTCTGTGTGCTCTATCGGTTGTTTTCAATGTGAAACAGGACTCAGAGGTGGTGGCCACTGAAGGCCCAACCTGCAAATAAAGCTTAGTAATATTCATTTTGCACAATTTAAATACATATGTGTACATTTACTAATCTATAACTGATCCCCCCAATACAGAATTATCTGGAATTTGCATAAGAAACTGTTTATATAAACTGCAAAACACCTATATGTTAAATGATTTTTAATAGAATTGAAATTCTAAGAAATTAAATTCTTTTTTCTATTCTTTGAGAAAGGTTCTTGCTCTGTCACCCAGGTTGGAGTGCAGTGGCACGATCATGTCTCACTGCCACCTAGACTTCCTGGGCTCAGGCAATCCTCCCGTCAAGGCTCACAAGTAGCCCAGACTACAGGCACATGCCACCATGCCCAAATAATTTTTTTAAAAATTAATTTTTTCTGTGGAGACAGGGTCTCATAATGTTACCCAGGCTGGTCTGGAACTCCTGGGCTCAAGTGATCCTCCCACCTCAGCCTCCCAAAATGCTGGGACTACTGGCATGAGCCACCATGCCCAGTCTCTACAAAAAAACTTTTTAAAAAAATTAGCCAGGCGTGGTGGCATGTGCCTGTAATCCTAGCTACATGGGAGGCTGAGGTGGGAGGATAGCTTGAGCCTTGGAGGTCGAGGCTGCAGTGAGCCATGATCATACCGCTGTACTCCAGCCTGGGTGACAGAGTGAGAACCTGTCTCCAAAAAAAAAAAAAAAAAAAAAAAAAAAGGAAAAAGAAATTAAAATATAAGACAACATAGAGTTTGAGAGTTGGCAAACAGCAGGGCATAAATAAAATAAATAAAATGCTACAGAGCCATTTGACTAAAATTTTTGAGAAACTTGTAGCACTACAGCAGGGCTACTCCAACGGCCTGTAACAGCAGTAAAAGCAGCAGCACCTTTCCTCACTTTGCCAGACACTGCCGTTTTGGCTTTATCACCCGGAGGGGGTCCCATGCCATTGTGGGAGTGTCCAGTGGTGTTCACGGGGACCCTGACACAGAAAACTGGCCATAGGATCTAATGAAGGAGGCGATGATCAGAGCTGGGAAAATTTGAGTTACCACAGTTTCTCTAACTACATCTGATTCCACCACAGGATCAGTCATGGGTATCTTTGAGGTACACACATACTCAAATCTTGCTCAGTTAATTACTTTCAGGCACAACCAGGCCATTAAAATAGTAATTGAGTTATAAGTTACTATTTTATAAATCCCTTTCTAAGTCTTTGTAGATTTATAGATTCAGTCTTCATTAAATTTGACCATAAGCCAAGTAATTTCAATTTCTTTAAGAAGAGAGTTTGGCAGATGTTAAAATAGAAGGGAAAACCTGATTTTATGGAATTTCTTGAAAGAGAACATTTTGAATCCAGTGAAAAGGGAAAAAAAGTCAGTATTATTTATAGTCACATAGTATAACAGCAACAAGAAGTAATTCCTCTGGCTAGACGTGACCTCCTCTGGCTAGGGCACTTTTAAAAATGCTTTATGTAGAACTTATTTAATTCTTACAATCATATGAGATAGGTATTGCTCTTTTCCTCATTGTGCAGTGAAAGAAACTGATTCCAAAAAGGTTTCATAACTTGCCCAAGGTTATACAGCCAGTAACTGGTAAAGCTGGGATTTGAGCCCAAACAGCCTGACTCTGGAGTTCCTCCCTTTAATCACCACACTAAGTAAATATCCATGTGCATGATGAATGGATAACCTGAAAAGCATTTTACAGATCAAGTCGTATTAAGCACCTAATGGGTTTAAAACATAATGCGATCCCCTAGTGAGTCCTTGTGGCATCAGTGGGACATTATTAGCTTAAAATTCAGCAGTTTTAAAAATGTAGATTTTAAAAAATCAGATTCACCTAAAACGGAGATCATTTATAGAAAGAAAAAAACACAAAGGTCTTCTGTTGAACTGTTCAGTAAGTGTGTACTGATACAATAATATGGCAGGATATTGGGTTTCCAACTCAGAGTTGATAGTTCAGAATTAAATTTTGGCCTATGTCTTGCTTTTTAGCTTTTTAAGCCATTCTGACGCTACCATAGACATGCCCATCTGGTAGATGAGAAATTCAGGTGTAGAAAGACTTGCAGAAATCTTATGAGATGCTCTTTCTTTGTTCCTGTTCTCTTTCTCTGAACCAGCTCCTAACTTACATCTTTGTAGTCCCACCATTAATCCTACCTTTGACCTTCCGGGCTCAATTTTTACAGTTAGTCTTACCAGTGTTTCACACTTAGTTTTCCCTAAGTAACTCTTGCTGTCTGGGTAGGACAGCATGAGTCCTGTCCCATAAGACCCAACCTGCATCTGCTTTCTCGGACATGTTTTTTTAAAAGCAAATATGCTAGTGGAGTGTGTTATTTACAATGCCTTTTTCTTAGAGATTTCTCTGGAGGTTTATATGGGCTAATGGCTCCCCACCCACTTGACTTTTTGCCCATTACATTATATGTTTCTTCCAAGGAACAAAAATATAACTCTCTTTCTCTGACAGCATGAGGGACATTCTCTTGCTGTTGCTCTCCAGGAAAAATCTCATAATCTAACTAGACAAACCCTTGCTGAAAAATTAGACCAAATGGCATTTGTAAACTCCAAGGAAAGCATTTTTCTTCTGTGAAGTGTTCCCTAGCTGGAAGTGTTAGAAACTTTACATATACTGATACCAATTAGGTTTATGGAAAAAATGAAAAGCTATAAACAGCTGGATACACTGTCAAAACTGAACCCTGTCAACTTAATTTTTTCCCTAGCTCTGTATTCTAAGAACCTGGAAACAATCTTTATTCACACTGTTAAGACGATTGAGAAAAATGGATGGATAGAGTTTATTTGCTAAGAGAAAAACTGAGTGACTACCTAGCTACCTCACTCCTTTTTGCTCTATTGGTAAGTTCAAATGAAGGAAATAGCATTAGAAAACATATGTTGGGATTATGTGCCTTTATCCTCTTTCTCACACTGTATTCATACATAACAGTCAATGCACAGATTGTCCATATGCCTGATATGATTGGTGTTTATTTTATTTTTGACTCATGATCTAAACCCATTACACAATGAAATATTTCATCTCGAGAAATACATATGATTTGCCTCTTTTGGCTTACCAGGGAACCATAAAGATCTATGTTGTTTACTTGTTTTCAGCATCAGATAAAATAAAAATGTTACATCTTTTTTGGGTAATTATGCTGCACCAATGTGACTTGCTTTATAGGGTTCTTTTATTTGTTAATTGGCACTCCACTATCTAATTTATTTGAAGAAACTTCTCATGCCTTGTATATGATGAAGAACTACTAGTGAAGAAATAAGCATAGCCTGTAACTTATTTAACATACTTGTAGGTTCTTAGTAAACACAGTTACATAAATGTTGAAACAAAAATGGGCTGGAGTGAAGGAGTCCTGATCTATGGTTGATATTAAATGTAACTAACTTCACTATCTAATGTGCCTTCTTCTTTTTAAGAATGAGATTGGTGGCATGTCTAAAGTTGGATTTTGGTTCTAATACATTAAAAAAATAACTTTCTTATCTTGAAAAAGCAACTAGTGAACAGTAGAGATGCTTGCTCACTTTATGAGTGCCATGTATTAAGGGAGTTTTGAAGTGATATTTATCTGTACAACTTCAAATCTACCATGGCATTCTGTGGTAGAGTAAAAACTTTAGAGCTAAACATACCTGATGTTTATACATGACATATAGCTGCATGTCCTTGGGTAAGTTATTTAATTTCTCTCAACCCTAAATTTTGACTGTTTAAAGTAGGTTTTATAGGTTTTATGTAATTTGAAGTGTTGTTGTAAATAATAACGATAATAAAATATCTTACACAGTTCTTGGTTTGCAAGATTGTTAAAAGGTACTTGTGGCCTAATTGGTTTCACTAGTAAATTCTAGCAAACATTTAAGGAAGAAACAACACTAATATGCAAAGTCTTTCAGAAAATAGAGGAGGTAAGAACATGTCATTTTATGTAGCCATCATAAACTTGATTAAAAAAATAAGTTTTAAAAATAGATATCTTAAGAAAATATGAAATGGAATGTAGCAATGCATAAAATTGGGATTTATCCCTGGAATGCAAATGGAATGCAAATCTTTAAATGCTTAAAGATTAACCTGTGTAATTCACCAGAACCACACAATAGAGGAGACAAAATATAGGATAGTTTAAATAATATAGAAAAATTATTTGACAAAAGGGAACATCTATTTATAATAAAAACTTGAAGCAAAGGTGCAATGGTAAGGAATTTCAATCTGTTAAGTGAATATATGGAAAATCTACAACTAACATTACACTTAATAGGGAAATACTGGATGTTTTCTCCCTAAGATTTATAACTAGACAAGGATGCCCACTCTCAGCTCTTTTAATTATCATTGTGTTGGAGGTCATAGCTAGCGCAATAGGAGAAGAAAATGAAATAAAAGAAATATAGATCGAAAAAGAAGCAATAAAACTGTCTGCTTGCCGATGATATGGTTGATTGCACAGTATGTCCTAATGACTCTACAAAACACCTATGAGGAATACTAAATGAATTTGGCAAGAATGCAGGATATATTGTTGATATGCAAATTCAAATGTATTTTTAGATGCTAGTACAAAGAAGTGGAAAAATAATTTTTAAACTTCCACTTACAATGTCACGATGAAACACAAAATACTTAGGAATACCTTTAACAAAATGCATGCAAAGATGTGAGGGTGACCTGGCTGTGACATCTGTCACCCCATTGATCACCAAGGTTGATTTGGCTGATCTGGATGGCCAGGCGGGTGTCCCCTACCTCCCTTACTGCTTCGTGTGTATCCTTCCTGAAGCTGCATGCTTGGTCGAAGAGGACAACCACCCCTGATATAGAGGAGGAACTATCTTCAGTGAAGAGTATATGAGTAGCTGTGCTCCCCTGCTAGAACCTCCAAACAAGCTCTCAAAATGCATGCAAAACCTCTACGCCAAGCACTATAACACATTGCTGAAACTAATGAAAGACAAGCTAAATATCTAGAAAGAGATGCCATGCTTATTGATTAGAAATTTCTCAATAATGTTGAGATGTCTGTTGTTTCCAGATTGATCTATAAAGTCAGTGTAATCCCTTATAAAGCCCACCAGGCTGTTTTATTTATTCTGCAAGAAGACATCCTAATTCTAAAAATTTATTTTAAATGAGCTAGAGCTAGGATATCTTCAGCAACCTTGAAAAAGAAGAACAGTGTTGAAGGAATTATACTATCTGGCTTCATAACTTACTACAAAACTACAGCAATCAAAACTTTGTGACCCCTTCATAAGGAGACAAGCAGATCAATGGAACAGGATTGAGAGCCTGGCAATAGACCCACACTTACACAATGGACTGATTTCCAATATATGTGCCAAAGCAGCCCAATAGAGAGAGGAAAATATTTGTAGAAAATGGTGCTGGAATAACTGAAGCATCAACCCCTACCTCACACCATTCACAAAAACTATTTTGAGATGGTTCACAAACCTAAAAATAAAAGCCAAAATTATAATGCATCTGAAAGAAAACATAGGAGAATATCTTTGCAATGTAGTGGGTAGGTGAAAGTGTCTTAGGTCACAGAAAGTGATAAAAATTGATAAACTAGGTCAGGCACAATGGCTCATGCCTGTAATCGCAGCACTTTGGGAGGCCTAGGCAGGTGGATCTCTTTAGCCCTGGAGTTCAAGACCAGCCTGAGCAACATGACTGAAACCCACATCTCTACCAAAAATACAAAAAATTAGCTGGGCGTGGTGGTGTATACCTGTAGTCCCAGCTACTCAGGAGGCTGAGGTGGGAGGATCACTTGAGCCCATGAGATTGAGGCTGCAGCGAGCCGTGATCATATCACTGCACTCTAGCCTGGGTGATAGAATGATAGCTGTCAAAAAAAAAAAAAAAAAAAACCAAAACCTAATAAACTAGACTTAAAGTTGAACTTGAGCTAATCAGAAGGCATTGTTAAGAAATTTACAGAATATACATATATGACAAAGGGTTAGTATCCAGAATATATAGCACTCTAAATCTCAATAACAAAAAGACAATTCAATAAAAAAGAGGCCAAAGACTGTCAAGTACTTTGCAAAGGAAGATAAACAAAAAATGCTCAATATTATTAATTATCAAGGGAATGCAAATTAAACCAAGATGAGAGACATCCACTAGAATGGCTAAATTTAAAAAGACCAGCAGCAAATATTGGTCAGGATGTGGAGCAACTGGAACTTTTAAATTTTTAGTGAGTGTGTACAATTGTGCAGCCACTATGGATAAAAGCCTGGAAATTTCTTATAAAGCTAAATATAAACCTACTCTGGAACCTACAATTTTACTTCTAGATATTTTCCAAAGAGAAATAAAAAAATACATCTACAAAAGTCTTATAGGAGTATTTACAACAGCTTTATTTAAACTAGCCAAAAGTGAGAGTGGATGAACTATGGGATTCCTAAGTGGAATACTTGCCAGCTATGCCAAAGAACAAACTACACATTCATGCAACAACATAGATGAATCCCCCAAACTTTTATGCTGCATAAAAACCCTTATACAAACAAATACCTACTGTATGTTTCCATTTCTATGAAGTTCTTGAACAGGTAAAACCAATTTATGATGAAAATATATCAGAACAGAAGGGATTGCAGCAGGGATTTACCAGGAAGGGGCATGAAATTTTGGAGTTGATAGTAATGTTCAGTATCTTGATGGAGGTACTTGTTATACAGGTGTATGTATTTGCTAGAGCTTATTGAGTGGTATACATTTTCTGTATTTCACAGTATGTAAATTTTGCATATAAAATACTGTAAAGCATTGCAGCATTTAGGGGTAAAGTGTACTGATGGTTGCAACTGACTTCGAAATGGATCAGAAAGTAAAATAGATTGATTAAGAGAGGGATGGGAAGATGCATAGGTATATATAACCAAACATCAATGACAGAATTTAGGTGGAGGGAAAAATGGGCTTACATTGCATAATTATTTCAACTTTTCTGTGTGTGTGAAAATTTTTATAATAAAATATTGTGATAAGCAATTATTTTTATGTTCTAACCTTTAAGGGTAGAAATGATCTTGCTTACAGGTGAAGAAGGCATTGAAATTCAATCCCTCAAAATCCAAAGTTGTCAAATAACAGAGCTAGTATTAAACTTCATTGTAGGCTCTAATCCTACAATCCATATCCTTGCTGTGTTGATGCACAAATTTCTAAATCTAAACACCCAGCGACCTTTGGTTAAAATAGGAAGTGAACATGAAACCTCAGCTTTGCTTTGAACCCCAGTGACGACTCTCCAGTTTCTTAATCAACTGACCTTTCCTTAAACAAAAATTATTCTCGAGGGAAGAAATGCTAGTAGTCAGGTTGTTGAGCACACATTTACTAAATACCCATAAAAGGAGATAAATACTGAGATGAAATAAATTATAAGTCAATTTCTGAAAGAATTATTTTTCTTCCTAAGCTCAGGTGCTGAGAATTCTAGATGCAAAAATAAAAGGCCAAGTGTCTTAGAATGATATGCTCATGCCTATGTCTATTTTTTTCTTCGCCTTTCAAAGCAGAAATTCATCAAAGTCGTGCAGATGATAAGTGCGTATTCTGTTCCTAAGATCACTACAGGGCAGGCTTAGAGCAGTGTGTGGCAGTGGAAAGAGTTTGGGGCTGGCTGTGTGAGACCGGGCCTCTCATTGCAGGTCCTGTGACTTTGTACGACTCCTTTAACCTCTGTCAGCATCATTCTTCAATCCTGCTTTCCTTATTAGTGTGAGGATAAAAATAAAGCAAATTTCGAAGTTGAAAGAGAGCTAAAAGATAATCAAGCCCAACCTCCTCATTTTATCAGTGAGAAAATGAACCTCGCTCAAGGCAACTGAGCCCGATAGAAGCAAAAAGTGTTTACCTGATTTAGAGGTTAGTTTAACTGCTTCATCAAAATGATCTCTAGTCAATAGCTATGGAAATACTTCAAGGATATAGGTACTATAGGAATGCAAAGTGTTGATATTTCTTTATTAGATTGTGTAAATATTGTATGCACATTTTTACTTAGAAAGTATGTCTTTTGAATTATGCATATTAAGATTTTATATTGAATCTGTAACTGTATAATCACGTATATATAACAATCTATGTGTAGGGACATGGTCCTTTTTGTAAAATTCATCACTTTTTTAAATACTCTGACCACTTGACAATATGCTTGACCTTTTTACAGATTATTCTTTAGTGTAATATTCAATATATATAATAAATTACAAGAGTCAGTATTTCAATTGTAGATATTTCACTGGGACCCGGTTGAGGAAAAGTATATAAAACACATTACACAGCATTGCATTTTGAAATAATAAAACTTTTGCAACACTGTAACTAAATATAATGACATCTTGTCAAATATAGTATTTTCTTTTTATCTTTAAAAAGCCAAAAGCCATTTTGAGGCAAAACAGGCTAAATGAGATTTCTTTAAACCAAATGTGCATTGGCAGCTTTTTAAATTTTGGGTTGTGTTTGTGTTTTGTCAACTTTATATTACATATATATTTTTAAACAACTTTATTGAGGTATAATTGAAGTACAATATTCTGTACATATTTAAATACAATTTTATCAGTTTTGACATGTTTACACACTGGTGAAACCATCACCACAATCAAGATAAAGAACATTTCTGTTATCCTCAAAACATTCCTCAGAGCCCCTTTGCCATCTTCTCTCCTTCCAACCCCGTCCCCAGGAAACCACTGACTTGTCTTTTCTCACTATAAATTAGTTTGCATCTCTAGAGTTTTATATAAATAGAATCATAAGCATACACAGTTTTTTGGCCTGGCTTCTTCACTGAGTATATTTTTGCAATTCATCTGTGTCATTGTGTGTATGAAAATTTTGTTCTTTTTTCTTTCCCTTCGCTCAGTAGGCATTATGTGGATAACGATGCCATCCTTTGCTTATCCATTCACCCATTTGTTGGACACTTGCATTGTTTCCACTTAATGGCTATTACAAATAAAGCTGCCATGATCATTTGTATACAAATCCTTGTGTGGAAATATCTTTTCCTTTCTTTTGGGTAAATATCTAGGCCTGGAATAATTGGATTATATGGTATGCTTAATTATTTATGATGCTGCCAACGTGTTTTCCAAAATGATTATACCATGTTACATTCCCACCAGCAGTGAATAAGAGTTCTGGTTGCCCAAAGTCATTGTCGGTGTTTGGTATGGTCAGTCTTTTTAACCAATCTGCATAACCAATCTAATGGATATGCAGTATCACTTAATATTTTATTTGCTTTCCTATAGGCACGAATGATGCCTGTATGTTTTATGCACTTTTGTCCATTTGCTTATCTTTTGCGAAGTGTCCGTTCAAATATTTTGTCCATTTTTCTAAACACTTCAGTTGTGTCTTATTATTTAACTGCAAAAGTTCTTTATAATAATTTTGAATACAAGTCCTTCATCTGATATTTGTTTGGAGAAAATTTTCTTCCACAATATAGCTTGCCTTTTCATTTTTTCGTGATTTTTTAAGAACAAAAGTTTTAGATTTTGATGAAGTCTGATTTATCAGTTTTAGCTTGTAAGTTTTGTATTTTTTGTGTGTTTTATTTAATAAAACTTTGCCTATCATAAGGTTACAGCTGTTTTCTCTAATGTTTTCTTTTAGAAGTTTTATAGTTTTAGGCTGTACATTTAGGTCTATGATTATTTTTACTCAAATTTTGTTTCGAGTGCGAGGTAAGGATCGTTGTACTTGTTTTTTTCAGTTTTGATTTCCAGTTGACCCAGCATCATTTGTTGAAATGACTTTCTTTTCTCTGTTGAATTTTCTTGACACCGCTGTCAAAATTCAAGTTATCATATATGCATGGGTCTCTTTCTAAACATTCTATTTTGTTCCATAGATCTATGTCTCTATTTTTTTTTTTGCCAATAATCCACATTCTTGATTACTATAGCTTTATTGTATATCTTGAAGGTTAAGTGAATTCTCTACCTTTTCACTGTCTAGATCCTTTGCATTTCCATATCAGTTTTAGAAACAAGTTGTCAATTTCTAAAAGAAAAAAAGAAGAAAATCTTGGTATATTTTGTTTGGAATTACATTGAATCTATAGGTCAGTTTTTGGAGAATTGCCCTTCATGAACATGCCATTTATTTATATATTCTCTAATTTATTATAGCAATTTTTTGTAGTTTTTAGGCGAGAGGTATTGGGTATATTTACTTAGATTTATTACTAGGTATTCTTCTCTTCTCTCTGCCCAACTACTGTAATAGGAATTTGAAAGAAAATCATTTTCATTTTTTTTGCTATGAATACATAATTACAGGATACTTTTTATATTAACATTTATCCTGCACATGGCTTAATTCTTTCATGCTTTATGTAAGTTTTGGGGAGTTCCTTGCTATTTTCTGTACAAACAATATATGATATGACAATATTGACAGATCTGTTTCTTCCTTTTTGGTTATTATCTGTTTGTTTCTTCTTTTGTTGGGATCAATCATACCCCAAACCTCAGCATCACGCAATATACCAGTGTAACAAACCTGCACGTGATTATATGGTTTCCTCCTTTACTAGGTTACTGTTTTAAATGACATTGATTTCTGCATGTTTAACCAACTTTGCATTTCTAGGAAAAGCCTACTTTTGTTATGATGTATTTTTTTATATACAGCCGTGTCATTTAATGACAGGGTTACGTTCTGAGAAGTGTGTCATGAGTCAATTTTGTCATCGTGCAAACATCATAGAGTGTACTTTCACAAACCTGGATAGTAGAGCTTACCAGGCTACATGGCAGGGCCTATTGCTCCCAGGCTACAAACCTGTACAGCATGGTACTGTACTGAATACTGTGAGGGAATTGTAACACAATTGTATTTGTGTATTTAAACATGTCTAAACATATAAAAAAGGTAATGTGTTGAGCTAGGACATTCTGACAGCTACAATGTCACGTCACTGACAGGCTACCATGTCACTAGGCAACAGGAATTTTTCAGCTCTGTTATAGTTTTATGGGACTATTGTCATATATGTGGTTTATTGTTGACTGAAACATCATTATGCAGCACATGACTGTATATAGGGAATTATATTTGATAACATTTTGTATCTTTACATCTATATGAAGTACATTGGAATTTTTTAAAAATAATATTTTTGTTTCATTTTTATGTTAGTCTTATGCTGGCCTTACAAAACCAAGTTGGGCAGTGATACCAACTTCTTTATCTTCTGAAAATATTTATGTTAGATAAGTGTTATTTATTCCTTGAAACTTTGCCAGAATTTACTACTGAAAGCATTTTACCCTGGAGTTTTCTTTTAGGAAAGATATTGGATAATTTAATTATATATAATTATACATTATTAATTGTCTGCATATAATTAATTATATATAGTTGTATATAGTATGTATTATATATATTTGGGCTTATGGGTTGCTGAATTAAATATATATTTGTTATTAAATACATATATTGTAACTTTGTTTTTCTTGTGTCAATTTTGGTTAGTGTATTTTTTAAGAAAATTGTCAATTTTATGTAATTGTTGCATATTTTGCTGTAATATTGTATTGTTACCCCCTTTAAAGTCTATTGGTTCTGTGTCATTCCTGACATTAGTGATTTGTGTCCTTTCTCTCTTTTTCTTATACATTCCAGCTAGGACTTTTTAAATTTTATTGATTCTTTTTTCAAGAAACTAGATGGCATAGTCTAGTATACACCTAGGGTATATGGTAGATCCTATTGCTCCTATGTTACAAACCTGTACAGTACGTTACTATGCTGAATACTGTAGGCAATTATAACATATGCCCTAGGTGTATAGTAGACTATGCCATCAAGAAACTAGCTATTAGATTTTTGTCTATCTGTTTTATCTTTCATTGATTTTTGTTTTTTGCTATTTTCTTCCTTCTACATTGAGTCTTTAGACCATGGTTGAATTTAAGTCCAAGATTAAATTACATATTTTCTGTAATTTTTTTTATTTACAGAAATAAAATTTTTTTCTTCTATTTCTATTTTTTCTATTTCTTTCTATTTCTATTTTTTTATCTTCATTAGTCTTTTATTCCTGCCATGTTTTAGTTTATTTGAATATCTTTTCAAATTCCATTTTTATTTATCTAATGTATTTTGGCTAAATCTCTTTTTGTGTGTGTGTTTTCTGTAGAAATTTTATTATACATACCAGCCCTTTCAGAGTTTATTTAGAGTTAATATTATGCCATTTCACATAAAAAGTAGAAAAATTTTGGGGCTGGGTGCAGTGGCTCACACCTGTAATCACAGCACTTTGGGAGGCCAAGACAGGAGGATCACTTGAGCCCAGAAGTTTGAGACCAGCTTGGGCAACACACAAAACCTTGCCTACAAAAATAAAAAAGAATAATTTAAAAACAGTAGACAAATTGCAATAATATAAATGATCCTCCACTGACCCTTATGTTGTAATTTTTGTATGTATTGTACATATATACATAAAAAAATCCCAACAGATAATAAAATACTGTTTGTTTCAACTAGTTATATGTATTTTAAAGAACTTCAAAAGGAAAAATAATCTTTTGTATTTACCCAGAAATTTACCATTTCTGTTGCTATTTCTTCATTCCTAAAGATCCACGGTCCTCTCTAGTATTATTTTCATTCAGTGTGGAGAACTTGCATTAGCAATCTTATATTCAGCTCTCCTAGTGATGAATTATCTTACTTTTCCTTTATCTAAAAATGCGTTTATTTTGCTTGCATTTCTGAAGAACGTTTTCACTAGGTATAGAGTTTGGGGTTGACAATTCTTTTCTTTCAGCCTGTAAAGAAGTTGTCTGCCATCAGGCCTCCATGATTTCTGATGAGAAATCTTCAGTATTTCCACCCATTCCTGTCTGTGTAATGAGGCATATATTTCTAGCTGTTTTCAATTATTTTTTCTTTATATTTGGTTTTCACCAGTTTAACTGTGATGTGTTTAGGTGTGATTTTCTTTGGGCTTGTGTATTGCTGAGCTTCTTGAATCTGTACATTTATGGATTTGATTAAATGTGGAAAGCTTTCCAGCATTGTATCTTCAAACAATTTTCCTTCTCAATCTCTCCTGTCCTTCTGGTACTCCAACCACATTATTTTTGATCTTCGGAAATTTTCCTACAGGTCCCTGAGGTTCTATTCACTTATTCTTTATTCTCCACTTTCATTCTCTGTTCTTCATATTAGATTATTTCTATCGAGCTATTTCCAAGTGTTAAATTGAGTTTAGCCTAAAGCAGCCTCCTTACAAATTTTAAGTTCAGCCTAAAGGTTTCTCTGTAAATCGTGAACTAAATGGAGTTGTATACAGACTGCAGTCTACTCTTGTGCCAATCACTGAATGTTGGCCAGTCCAAGGTGGCCAACTGTCCAAACCATGTTCACATAAGGCAAATGCCAAGCTATAAACAATCCAGCTGCTTCTGAACCTCACTTCTGTTTTCTGTAGGTCACTTTCCTTCTTCCTATACATAAATCTTCTTCCAGTGCATGGCTATGCTGGAGTCTCTGAGCCTTCTTTGGCTCAGGAGGCTGCCCAATTTGCAAATCGTTCTTTGCTCAATTAAGCTCTGTTAAACTTAATTCGGCTAAAGTGTTTCTTTTAACACACATTTGCTGATTCTTTTCTGCATTGTTTTTACACTGCTTTCAAGTTCACCTAGCGTTTTAGTCCGTTTTCATACTGCTGATAAAGACATACTCGCGACTGGGTAATTTGTAAAGAAAAAGAGGTTTAATGGACTCAGAGTTTCATGCGACTGAGGAGGCCACACGATCATGGTAGAAGGCGAAAAGCACGTCTTACATGACAGCAAGGAAGAGACAGAATGAGAGCCAAGCAAAAGGGGTTTCTCCTTATAACACCATCAGATCTTGTGAGACTTATTCACTACCATGAGAACAGTATGGGGGAGACCACCCCCACGATTCAATTTTCTCCCACTGCGTCCCTGCCACAACATGTGGGAATCATGGGAGCTACAATTCAAGATGAGATTTGGGTGGCGACACAGCCAAACCGTATCACCTAGTGAGTTTTTCATTTTAAATGCAGTAACGTGCTGCATTACAATGTTTTGGTCAACAACAGAATGTATATATGACACTGGTCTCAAGATTATAATGGAGCTGAAAAGTTTCTATTACCTAGTGATGGCATAGCCATTGTAATGTCATAGCACAATACATTACCTTTTCTATGTTTAGACACACAAATACATAGCATTGTGTTATAATTGCCTACAGTATTCAGCATAGTAACATACTGTACAGGTTTGTAACATAGGAGCAATAGGATCTACCATATACCCTAGGTGTATTGTAGACTATGCCATCTGGGTTTGTGTAAGTATGATGTTCCCACAATGATGAAATTGTCGAATGACACATTTTTCAGAATGTATCCCCATCAAGTGACACGTGACTGTACTGTATATTTCACTTCCCAGCAATTTAATTTTTTTATTGTTTATTCTCTATTGAGAATTTTTGTTTTCATTCATTTGAAGAGTGTTCTTACTTATAAAGCATAGTCGTAAGAGCTGCTTAAACTTTCTTAAACTAGCTAGATCATCAGGTAACTTGAGAGGTTTTTGGTTTTTTTGTCATGAGAATTGGTCTTTTTTTGGTCTACTGAGTAATTTTGGATGGTATGGATATTGTGAATCTCTGTTGAATACAGTCTGTTAGAACATTCCTAATATACTTATTTTAGCAAGCAATCAGGCCACTTAAATTCAGACTGTAAGTTGTGTGTCATCTTCTATGAGAGGTAGTTCAAATCTCAGTTGAGTTTTTAAATTCTTGGCTTTATCGGGTTTGTGTCCCTCCTATGCATTTGCAATTCAGGGGTTAGAATAAGACTTGTGCAGACAGCTCAAATCTCTGTTTGGCTTCCAAAGCATTTGTGATCTTTATTTGGGACTGTCTCATGTGTGCTTATTTCAGGAATTATGCTGATAGTTTTGTGAGGTTCATTCACAAATTAAAGGATTCCCTTCGCTTTCTGTTTTATCTGTGGGATTCTCCTTAAACTCTCAGGCTTGCAGGAGTCTTTCTTTTTGGTTTCTTTTGCCAGAGAAACAGGATTTATCTCAGAGTTTATCTGCTTCTGCAGCTGCCATTTCCTCACCATTTTGCAACTGAGGTCTACCCTTGAGATCATATTGCACAAGAAAGAAGCAACATGGAAAACTCACCACTGTGCAGTTCACTTTTTCAACTTTTGCCTCTCTTCTATGCTTGCTTTTGAGAGGTGGTTGTTTTCTTAAATGTATTTTATTCAGTTTTTAGTTGTGATTAGAATGAGGAATGGGCTGCCATGATTGAACTAGAATGTTTATTAATTTTTTTTGCCAGAAAAAATACTGATTATATGTCAAGGTATAGAACCTGTCTTTTAAAATTAACCAAACCAAGCCGGGCACAGTGGCTCATGCCTTTTGAGAGGCCCAGGTGGGAGGATTGCTTGATCCCCGGAGTTTGAGACCAGCCTGAGCAATATAGTGAGACCCTGTCTCCACAAAAAAAAATTTTTAATTTAAAAATTAGCTGGATGTGGTGGCTTGCACCTGTAAGTTCCAGCTACTCCAGAGGGTAGTAGTTGAGCATGGTAATATGGTAGTACTGAGATGGGAGGATCACTGGAGGTCAAGGCTTCAGTGAACCATGATCGTGCCATTGTACTCTAACCTGGGTGACAGAACAAGACCCTGTCTCAAAAAAAAAAAAAAAAAAATTAACCAAACCATTGTGATAGATGAAGTTCTGTCTTCATGAGTCAGTTGTGTAGAAAAGAGCAAAAGTGATTGTTAAATTGTGACTATTACACACACATGCACACACACACAATTTAATAAAATAGCTGCTTGTGATACTTTAGATTTCACATTCCACCTATTCTGTGTACTTAGTATTATTGTCAGTGAGTAAAAGACAACACTGTGTTTTCCTTCTCCACTGGGTTATTAAAGATAAAACCAATTGTATATTTGAAGTGCTTGGTGCTATCAGAATCAAGATGTATGTAAATTAAAGTGGTATTATTTTTCTAATGCATAACTAATTCTTAGATATTGTTAAATCTCTTTACGACTGATTCTTTGAGATGATTTACATATAAGGCTTAGTTAAAAATCAAGTTTAAAATTAACATTGGTGACAGTGTTTCTTGTTGTCAAGTTCAAATAGTAGGTCAGTGACAACTTCCTTATGAAGTCGAGTTTACATAGTGATACAATATAAAAATCAAAGGATAAATTACTGTGTTTGATGCACATTTTGGATGTAGTATCGTTTTCTTTTCTTTTTTCCCTCAGAATAATCAAGGGCTAATGTGAATCCTGTATTATGTATTTCTACTTTTTTGATGGTGATTAGTGACTTTTAAGGAAATGAAAGAATGAGGGCAGCAAGGCCATTTTATGTAGCATTGAAGTTAAATTGTTCTTTAAAAAAATAAAGGATGTATGGGCATATGATAAACCATAAGATTTTCCATATGCTTATGATACCCTTCTGACCCTGAATTGGATCAAATTATTTAAATATGGCTCAGATAAGAAGCACATTGCAGTTCAGATGAAAGAGTATCCTAATGGACACTTTCCAAACATTTATTATTCTTGTTTGCCTTTTGAAATTGTGGGCATAGAAATAGCAAGTCTCTGAATTTATGTTATTATTTGTGAAATGATGAACTATTTAGACATTTTGTTATATGATTATGAGAATTTAAAAAATACTTATCTGATTAATCTCTAATTTATTGTATCACATGACCTCAGTATTTTACAGTTTTCAAAGTTGAGATATAATTGGCACTCGGTAAAATGCACAGATCTTAAATGTAAAATTCAATGAATTTTCACATAAAGTCTATACAGTTTTTACATATATTACCCAGATCAAGATATAAAACATTTCTGTCATTCCTGAAATTTTTATTGTACCCTTTTCCTTTCAATAGCTCCCACCCTGCAACTAGAGTCAGTCACACCTTTGTCAGCATAGATTAGTTACCTGCTCTTCAGGTGCATATATATATATAGCAGCATACAGTGTGCACTCTTTTGCATAATGTTTTCAAGATTCATGCATGTGTTGTGTTTTCATCCATGTGTTGTGTGTTATTTCATTTATATATTTGGGGAATATTCAGTTGTATCAATATTCCCCAGTTTCATTGTTCATTTTTCTCTTGCTGGACTTTTGACTCACCTCCATTTTTGAGCTATCATGAGTAAAGCCACTTAGGACATTCTGTATGTCTTTTTGTGAGACAGTTCTCATTTTTTACATTAGATAATAAATTTATTATGAATTCATATGTAAATTTGCCTAGTTGGATTTCTGTTTCATGTCAACTTTTAGAATATAATTTGCTATGAAAAGTGGTTCCAAAAGGTGAAAGTTACACTAAAAAATTCTAACATTATTTGAAAGATTATTCTTCCTTTTTTAAAACATGGATTATCCATATTTGATTCTCCTGTGTAAACTGCAAGGAAAATTAAACTTTATAAATCTGTAAAAAGCATATGAAAATTAAAACACTACACACATGGCATTCTTACTTTTTCCAAACAACTGATGTGACCATTTCTCCCTTCAAGGGCCAGCCACATGGCTCCATATCCTTTCTCCACCATGCTATTTTACTATATTATGGTAAGCAGTGTATTCACCCATCTCCCCATGAGACTGTAAGCTCCCTGGAGACAAAGACCATCTGTGTCTTTTCTTTTTATCCCTAGCTTCTAGTGCTTTGCCTGGTACATGGTAGGTACACATTCTATGTTGAATGAACTGAACAACTGCCTTTTGTCTAGGGTATATATTTGCTTTGCAAAAGTTGCTTTTGCTATGGAAACACAACATACACTTAGCTTTAGCTCAAGAATTTACTATTCCCTTTATGTCTTAAGGCTTTTGTTTAATACATGAGCTGACTTATCCTAGTTTCCTGTTTATGTAAAGTATGCTTCTGATGAAAATATACACTACTAGAAACTTATAAAGGGTTGCTGTTTTATTAGTTTAATAACATTGTTAAAATTTACTGATGTGTCATTGAGAAAAAACAACTTCAAGTGAGGACAACACACACACACACACACACATCTTTAACTGATTTTTTTCTTCGAGAGTATATTGTACTTAGCACACTATATACTTAGTGCATGGAATATAAACATCACTTTGCTTATTTTTATTGTTGGCAAAAGATACAATATCTGTTTTACACAATTAAAAGACCTTGAAATTATGCATGATTTTTATTACTACTGGGATTTCCATGTTGGATCAAAGGTCATCATTCCAATCGTCTCAGGCTCCCTTTTTTTCTTCTAATTGATCATTGCAGTGCCCATCTGTCTGTGGCTCACGGTATAACCTTTTTTGATAGGGGCAGGGTGGCAGATGGACAGCAGATGGGAGTTTTGCCCTGCCTCGTGGTTCAGATCTTGGCCCAGGCACGAACTGTCAGAGACTGTCAGTTTGTCGTCTCGGCTTGTGGGCTCCAGTGCTGTGTTTGGCACCTCAGCCATGGGTCTGAATTGATGCCAAGCTGGACCAGCTATTTGTCATTGTGACTAGTTAATGACCAACATTAAGGGTGGGAGCACCTAGTGAGTGTGTAAGATAACCTAGTAGAATTGTGCTTTCTACTGTGAGCTGGATCCCCAGGACCCGAGAGTCAGCTCATTCTCGGGATAGAAGTTACAGAATTAGAAACATGTAGGTGTCTTATAGGTATTTACCCACTTTAAAAAGAACACAATTTCCCCAAAGATTTCCTTTCTATACAAAACCACATGAGGACATGAGTGAAAAGTAGAGGTAGATAGACAGTGGCTTGTGTTTTTGTCTAATTGTTGGACAGTTGTCATCTTCTGGAATTCCTAGGGGTGCTGCATGATTGAAACTTTGACTATTGATAACATTTTGAATGCAATAACTGTGACTGCTTCTGCCATCACATTAAAAGACAGTTCCTAAGATTGCTAGTCTTTTCAAAAGGAAAGAAGAAAGCCTTTAAAAAAATTTATTCTGAACTATCAGCACACTCTTTTTTTTTTTTAATGTGTGCATGAATTTACTGCTTTACAAGTGACTCTTTTCATTTCAATAGAAACCATATTGAAGTAGACAGACGAGGCTGGGTGAAGTCTCCTAATGGAGGGTAAACCTTGGCAGTGACCGTGAATAAAAGGCAATAATGAGTCAGAGTGGATGCTGAGTTCTGTGCTTTTCCTTATTTATTTAATTTCTTTAGACTTAGAGCTCCACGGAGATCATATCGTGCCATTCTTTAGCTGAGCTGAATCCCAATTTTGATGAATGACACGAGAGTTTATATAATGAACATGTGCCCACAGATCTCTAAATAAATGTCCACAATAAGTATGGAAAACTGTCCCACTGTCTCTACCAGGGCCATCAGTAACTTCTCACCCAGTTGTGGAGATCTTTAGAATACTCCATTTCTTTCCTGTCCTCTGAACTAAATCAAAATATTATGTCCTGATGGTTAATAGTATCTCTGTTCATACAATAGGTACATGATGACATTATTAGACAGTTTATTAATATGAATTGTCCACATTTGAATATTTTCTTGTATTCTGGGAGTCAGAGGTTGCTCCTACATATTTGTAATGAATTATGCTGCTCCAAATTATATGAACAACATTGGATTGTTATGCTCAAATAAATTATGTTTTCATTCACTCCAGATATTCTCTCAGTTTGATTTAGATATCTGCAGTGTTGACCACCACAAGGCACTTTAAAATCTACATTATAACAGATGGCTAGACAATCGTTTACTTAAACCTTGAGTAACCCCCGTATTATAAAATAAATATACATTTTATTCCATATTCCATCAGATATTCTTTTATCTCTTCAATTTTCTTCTTTCATAATTGAATATATTTAAAAATTGTAAAACTGTGCTTATATCCTCAGGTAAGATAGTGTGTGTATGCATTTGTCTGCTTATCTTTGTAATTATTGTTCAATTTATATATCTGACAGGTGACCAAGGTGCTTGTATTTTGGAATCTTGGCATTGTATCTGTGGCTTCCTTGAGACCAACTCATTTATTCTTTCCTTTTAAAGGAATCTTGAAATAGAAAAAAAAAAATCTTATTACAGTGCTACTCAGGATGGCCTAAAGGACTGTGTTATACCCCGGCTAGCTATTAATGTACTTTAACTTGGATCTTGCTAACATGATTTCAGGTGAGGTGTGGACAGGATCTAATTAGTTATAAATCTGTAAATGCTTGAACAGAGGCTAGCTTGATATTCTCCATCTGACTGATGCTGCTGTAATACTCTAATCCCAGAAAGCTGTCTAAAATGAATTTCCATTAGCCATGGAGTTAAGGGAAAGTCATGAACTTGAGGAAATTAAGCAATGTCTGTGACTTAGCCAGTTAGATAGAAGCTTTGCTTTGCCAGTACGCTATCTGCTTCCCCCTAGTCTTGTTCTTGCTTTGGGATGGCAGTTCTTAAATTACAACCACCATGAGCTGTTCTACAGAAATGTTTAAGCTATCTAACACCGAACGTCTTCTATAAATAGCTAATTTCTTGTGTTTAATCATCCTTTAGGTTATATAGTACTTATGGATTACAAAGTGTTTCACTCCTGCTTTGTCTGATTTTTTAAACCCCCCATTAGGCAAGCAAAGAAGAAACCTACATAACCAAGAAAACAAATCAAAGTTCAGCATCCAGCTATATTAATTATTGCCTTTTATTCATAGTCATTGCTATTGGATATAGAACGGCAAACAAGAAAAAAAGTCTTCACCTTCAAGAAGCTTACATTCTGATAAGGCCGGCAGTAAATAGAAAAGCAAATACTAGAACATCAGATCTAAAGAAGTGCTATGACAAAGACTAAGGCTAACGTGTCAGAAAATGAGGGAGAGGGAGGTGAAATTTTATGTAGGGTGGTCATAGAGAGCCCATCTCTAATTGTGTGTGTGTGTGTGTGTATTTACAGATTGACAGGTTGTGAATCGCACAAATCTTAAGCACGCACACACACACACATTGATATAACCTGTACCTCCGTCAATATATAGAACATTTTTTCTTTTCTTTCTTTCTTTTTTTTTTTTTTTGAGACAGGGTCTCACTCTGTCACCCAGGCTGGTATGCAGTTACATAATCGTGGCTCACTGTAGCCTCGACCTCTCACCTCAGCCTCCTGAGTGCCACCACAGCTGGCTAATTTTTGTATTTTTTTTGTGGAGACAGGGTCTCCCCATGTTGTCTAGGCTGGTCTTAAACTGGGCTCAATCGATCCTCCTGCCTTAGCCTCCCACAGTGTTGGGATTACAGGCGTGCACCACTGTGCCCAGCCTATGTAGAACATTTCTATAAAATATAAAGATTATAAAATATAAAGGTTATAAAATATAAAGCTTGCTCCTGCACTTTTCTCCCCCATTGCCCCCAAGGGGCACACTGTTCTGATTCTTTCTTCATAGATGACTTTTGCCTGTTCTGGAATCACACAATATGCACTCTGTTGTGGATGGATTCTTTTGCTCCTCTTAAGATTTTTGGTGTGTACCTATGTTATTGCTCCATTGGGATCGTTTCTTTTTATTGTGTTCTGTTGTCTGGATATACCACAATTTGTTTATCCATTCACCTGCTGAAGAACATTTGGATGTTTTCGGTGTTTGTCCATTGTAAATAAAGTTGTTAGGAACCTTTTTATACCACATTTTTTATGCGTATGTACTTACATTTCTTTGGGGTAAATACCAAAGGGTAGATGGTTAACTTTAAAAGAAAGTTCCATACTGGTTACTAAAGAGGTTGTACCATTTTACGCTCCCACCAGCAATGTAGGAGAGTTCTGTTTTTTCATATCCTCTTTGACATTTGGCATCATCAGTCTGTTAAATTTTAGCCATGTGAGTGGGCGTAGGGTGATTTCTCATGTGGTTTTGATTTGCATTTCCATAATGACTAATGATGGTGAACATTATTTCATGTGCTTTTTGGTTATTCATATATATTTCTTTGTGAAGTGCCTATTCAGGTCTTTTGCCCATATTATAAATTGCATTGTCTTTTTATTATTGAGTTGTAGGAGTTAGAAGTCCTTTGTCAGATATATATATTGTGAATATTTTCTCCTAGTTGGTAGCATTAACCACTTATTTTCCTTATGGTGTCTTTTCTTTTCTTTTTTCTTTTTGAGACAGAGTCTCACCCTGTCACCCAGGCTGGAGTGCAATGGCGTGATCTTGGCTCACTGCAACCTCTGCCTCCCAGGCTGAAGCAATTCTCCCACCTCAGCCTCCTGAGTAGCTGGGATTACAGGCATGCGCCACCATGCCTGGCTAATTTTTGTGTTTTTAGTAGAGACAGGGTTTCACCACGTTGGCCAGACTGCTGTTGAACTCCTGACCTCAAGTGATTCGCCCTTCTCGGCCTCCCAAAGTGCTGGGATTACAGGCATGAGCCACTGCGCCTGGCCTCCTTATGGTGTCTTTCAAAGATCAAACATTTTAATTTTGATGAAATCCATTTGTATATTTTTTCTGTTATTTTAAATGTTTTCTTATGCTAAGATGTTCGTCTTTCCCAAGATCGTAAAGATACTCTTCTATGTTTTCCTTCAGAAGGCTTATAGTCTTATGTTTATGTTAAGATCTATAATCTAGGATACAGTTTTGTATATGATCTGAGATATGGGGTATTTCCCCAAATAAATAGCCAGTTGTTTCAGTATAACTGGTTGAAAAGAGATTTTCCTTTATCTATTGAAGTACTTTGGGGCCTTGGTTGAAAAATCAAGATTTGGGGCATCCAATTAGGATGTAGAAAGCTGAAAAAAGAATATTTCCACCCTTACAAAACAACAAAATAGCAGAAAATTTGCAAATACATGCTGTTCTTGAACCTATGAGAGAGCCGAGGTCTCAGGGAAACCAGCTACAACTTAAAATTCAAGGAGGGACAAGTGTCTCTCAGGAGAGATGAGGGGCTAGCCCTTGCATACCTGGAGCAGATGCCTAGGATACTGGTAAGAAGAATTCCACTAAAATGTTTAACAAGTTGATAAAGGCCAATATTAAGCTAGTTAGAGCAACTAAAACCCCTGGGGACTGCAGACACAGGGAGATTTGCACTCCTTGGCAGGTTCTTCTTCACTGATGTGCAGGATATGCATAAAAAGGATAGGGCAAGAGTCCAAAAAAAAAATTTCCCTCATGCAGACCTGAGAGGGTGTTCAGGGGAGGGCATGAAGACCCACCTGTATCGCTTTCCCCTCTCTCTCCTACGGAACAAAAGCCTTAAACTTCATGGGGAAGAGCAACAAACCCTGTTGTCCTTAGGGAACTGGGGAAAACTTACTGCAGCTGAAGGGAGGTACAGAAAAATCTCTCTTCCCCTGGGATGAGGCAGGAATACATCTTAGGCCCAGACCTATAGATGGGGGAGGAGCAGGAACCAAAGGATAGCCCTACCTTCAAGACCCAGGACTCACTGTCTGCCCAGTTAATCATTGCAACAGAGAACGTCTCCCATCCCCATCACCTGGCCGACAAGTGACAAGTGGCTATACCAGGATGATCCCCAGGTTGCAAATGGAAAACTAAGAACAGGGAATTAAATGGGTTGCCCAAAGTCTCACAGCCGGTAAATGGAAAAACAGATTTGAACCCAGATAGTCTGGTGCCAAAGTCCCCATAACCACCATGCAGTATTGCAGAGGCAAGAGAATGGGGACTTGGAGGGAATGAGGCAAATCAGAAGAGTGACTCTCCTGGAACGGACAGAAGTGGCCAACAGAGCATGTGGTTTTAGGAAAGAGGATGCAATTGACAAGACCAAATTTAACAGAGCTGTTGAAACAGGTGAGAAATGAAAAGTGTCCATTGGATTTAGCAATGTAGAAGATTTTGTTTAACTTTTAACAGTAAGCCGTTTTACTATAATTGTGAAGATTCAAACCAGAATTCACTGGATTCAGAAATGAATATAGAGTGATGAAGATGAGTTAGTAAAAATAGCCCACTTTCACCAAAAGTTTGGAGAGGACGAGGAGTTGGAGCACAGGTATGGAGTGACATGCAAAGAGGAGTGGTTTTTAAAGATAAAAGTGGGCCGGGTGTGGTAGCTCACTCCTGTAATCCCAGCACTTTGGGAGGCCGAGGTGAGTGGATCACCTGAGGTCAGGAGTTCAAGACTAGCCTGGCCAACATGGTGAAACCCCATCTCTACTAAAAATGCAAAAATTAGCTGGGTGTGGTGATGTGCCTGTAGTCCCAGCTACTTGGGAGACTGAGGTAGGAGAATTGCTTGAACCTGGGAGGCAGAGGTTGCAGTGAGTCAAGATCATACCACTGCACTCCAGCCTCGGCAACAGAGCAAGACCCCATCTCAAAAAAAAAAAAAAAAAAAAAAAGATAGAAGCGATTTGGGCTTGCTTACGAGACAGGGTGACAAAGCCAGTAGGATGAGAAGGTTTGTCCTCACAAGAAAGAAGAGTAAACAGAGTACAACGTAGTTGGTAATAGTTTATAAAATAGGCATAAAGAGGTTTGTTGATTTATCTGGGGTATGTTTTGTGGCAGTTTTCTGAGTGTACAAACACCCTTACTTTTTTTTAGCTTCTTGTAGTATTATTTTAAGTGATATATAATTTGCTCAATTTCAGTATATTCCTTATGTGAGCTAAGTTTTTATCCAAACTTAAATACATATGTGAATTTCACATACCTCTTGTGTAAATTTTTTTTGAGTAGGAAAAAGTTGTTTCATCTTTGCTGCTGTGTGTTGATATGCATTCTGTCAGAATACAGCTTTTTGGTAATGCTGCAATAAACTGTCACTCTAATGTAATAGATACATGTAATAGATACAATAACTCAATCATTCCATATTACTTGACATAATAAAAAAAATGGCTTGAAAAACACAGCCTAAAGAACAAGGTTGAAACTCTAGTTAGCACAGGTGTTAGGCTTTCTACTGTTGTAGTCAATACTTTCGGAGCTGATACCTTTGGAGGCAAGGACTGTGAAAACGTTCATGTCTTTATCACCATTGCCTAGAATGGTGGATGCCTGAAAATGTCAGAGGTATGGGAAAAGAGGATACATTTATTTAGGTTTATTATCAATATTTTAAAGCATATGGCTATTTTAAATGATTTAATCCCGTGTTTGACAAATAGTAGAACCTCCAGAAGCCCTGGAATTTCAACTACCTCCATGAAGTTTCAGCTGACTTTAGAGATTTAGTTTGATGGCCAATTACTGTGGGCAACCTAAAAGGCGTTGCACCTGGCAGAAGCACTGGACACATCCTTTCCTTATGCTTCTAAACCTTGAGATGATATCATCAGGTCCAGTTCCATAGTATCCATCTTATTCTCAATATTCACTCTCTCCACTGATACAAGTGTAGCACATCTGTTAATTTTTTAAAATGCATTAGTTTTTACTTCAAACATGAGATGGTTTTGTTTACACCAGTATCTCAACTATTAACACGTATTAAGGAAAAAATTAAAAGTTTACCTTTGGAAATTGAATTGACATTGGGAACTTTAGGTTAACTATCACAGTGGGTCACAGGAAAGAATCTGGCCAAATTTGTCAACCATATTTGGCCTAGTTTTCTGCATATGTTTGCCAGGTGCAACAGCCAGCTTATTGCTGGAGGGCACAAAAATCTGGAGGAAAGGCTTGGCACTTGTGCTGTTTAACCCATTGAGGGGTCTTATTTTTGCTGAGATTTTGCCTACAGAGATCTGATTATACAATAGCGTATGAATGGGAAAGTGAGGCTTCTCTTTGCCTTCCGTAAACGAGAGATTTATAGAATGCACCTGTCAAGCATTTTTGGGAACACAGTCGCAAAAAAAAAAAGAAGATTAAAAATGTTATCTGTATTGGGAAGAATACAGTTCTAGGTGTGAATGGTCAGGCAAATGGGCCAATTAACAAACATGTACTCTTTATTAGGGGGCTCTCAATTTCCCGGAAAGTTATCACTTAAAATGGGAAGCATGAATATATATATATTTTTATAAAGTTAGCCTGATATGTAAAAGAATTTCAGAATTTTTGACAAATCGTATAATTAGAGGTTATATATTTATAGCTGATTCAAATCCCAAAATGAATAGAGATGTCAAAGCCTTGAGCATATTGAACGTTTACACATGAATAAGCAAGATGGCAGAAACTGTTTTCAAGCAGACCTATTTTTTTGCCTTTGTATGTTTTTGGTGGTTCTTCAACTTGCAATTTCCATATAATATTTTTTCATGTTTACATTAGCATGTAATTAGCATACATATAATTCCATAGTGGGATATGTAAATGCTCCCCACTCCCCAAATAGGTCAAATGGCTGTGAATTTTTATTTTGTTTAATACTATACTTCTAGACTATTTGTTATTTAGACAGTAATTGTATTTTCTTTCTTTTTAATTATTAGTTTGAGTCATGTGGCAGCTTATTAAGTCCCATTTTTAAGTCAAAGACATTAATGTTTCAGGACAGGTGTTTGAGTTTCAGAATTTGGAGGAATAGAATTGAACACATTTATATTACTTTTCCCTTTCACCACACTTAGTATTTGAAGACTACAGTCACTCTTTAACTATCAAATTTTTTTCCATTATTTTCATAAAACCTTCATACAACCAGGCACCTAAATACTATCTCAAAGTCATAACTTACTTCTGGAGGTAGTCTCTCTGTAACTCTTCTCAGATCACTGGGAAATATCTGGGAAATGTTTGAGGAAAATATTTTAATGAAGTTTACCAAATTTATTTTTAATGCTCTGTGTGTGTATATACGTGTTGAGTGAAAAAGAGACACACACTATAGAGAATGTATTTCAATGATTAAAACACGCAGAGAATAAACCAGTTGAAGTATCATTTATTTGGACATCTTATCTTTCACCTAATACAGATGTATGAGGATTATGAGTAAAGTTATACATCTTTATATATATGTGTGTATATATATGTATGTATGTATATATATGTATATTTATATATGTAAGTATATGCATATATATTTATATCCAAAGACCTCTGACACAGGTGCGTGCATGTATACACACACACACACACACACACACACACACACACACACACACGCCTTTGCATTTCTTTTTCTTTTTTTTTTTGAGATGGATTCTCACTCGGTCGCCCAGTCTGGAGTGCAGTGGTGCAATCTCAGCTCACTGCAACCTCCACCTCCTGGGTTCAAGTGATTCTCTTGCCTCAGCGGACTACAGGCGCCTGCCACCATGCCTGGATAATTTTTGTATTTTTAGTAGAGAAGAGGTTTCACCACGTTCGCCAGGCTGGTCTCTAACTCCTGACCTCAAGTGATCTGCCCGCCGTGGCCTCCCAAAGTGCTGAGATTACAGGCGTGAGCCACTGTGCCCAGCCTGCATTTTGTTTCTGGTTAGCTCAGGTCAGTGAGTCATTACTGCTGGGTACAGATGTGAAGTGTAGATGATTTCTCTAACACTGCTGTGGGAACAAGTGGGGCTAACTGTGGCTGCTCCAGAGAGGTACAGTTTTTAGGGCACTGAGATTGTTGAAAAAGAAAATGACCAGTGATACATGTGTAGGTAGCTGGAGTGGGTGGCCCTCATCACTTCCATGTCACTATATACCCTGTATTTCTATCTTTCCCTTGGTAATTTGCAGATTTATTGAGACAAATATTTTCAACTAAGTAATTCTTCACATCCTAACATGTATAGTGAAATTCCTACTTGTAGAGTTACTGTGTAAACTTAGTAACCATTGGAAGCATGGAAAAAATTGATTTGGAAACCCTGAAAGCCCTATGATAATAAAAATCATACAGCACTGAACTTGCCTAGGTGTATTATAATTACATTTGTCTGCCTCCCCCCACCCCCATACTGTGCTTTCATTAAGAGCAGGGACAAATTTTAAATTTCCAGATTTTAAATTTCACAGTTTGTTATGGCAGAAGCACACAATAAAGGATAGTTGAATGAAGAAAATGATGAATGAAGTTTAATGAAACATCAAGGTCTCTCTATTTTGTTATCTTTACCAAAATCATTATTTTTTTTGCTTAGGTAAGTGGCAGGAATTTATATTTATATTTCTCTTTTTTTGTATTTACTGATACTGTCAAGGAACTATGATGTTAGTAATGAAAAGAATGCTGGAATAATAATACCAATACCTGAGTTTAAATTTTGGCGTCACCTCCTCGAGCCTTCATTTCTTCATCTGTAAAATGGGCTAATAATATCTATACCATATAAGTGTTATTTCACAGTTATCTTTCTTTATTCAGGAAACTCTTGAAAATCTCCCATAATCCTAAACTGCCTAGCTAATATAGTAAGGATACAATTTTGAAACATTTCATGATGCTTTAAAAAAATAAATCCCTGTAAATCTTGCTCTGCAGGTGCCATGCTCATGGATGGGGAATTGAGAGCCACTGTTGCTTTAGGAGTAGGGCAGGGACAGCCTAGATTCTAGAACAAATGTGCCCTGGTAGCCATCAGAGAAGTTCTTATAAAAACCAGGATTTGTTGAAAATTCTAAAGCTTACATTTAAATATTAAGAAGAAACCCTGAGGATCTGAGACAGGATCTTATGTAAAGTGAGATGCAACCACATAGGAAAGCAAGATCCTTCTGGTGGATCAAAGTGATGCTTGAGGAGAGATTGAGGATGGGGATCAAGAACAAGGTGATTAAAAACAACACAAAACACTTCGGAAGGTTGAGGAGGGATAGGCAGAGGAGGCCGTGTCTTCCTGATCCTCTGGAACCCTGGGGGAGTGCCTTTTGAGGATCTCCAAACCATCTTGGCACAGGTAGTAGAGTTGAAAAGTGGCCTGTTGAAGAAAAAGCCATTCTACTCACGTCTTTTCCAGGTACCTCATATCTTAAAATTGAGCCAGATGTTCTGGAGAGACAGATGATGAAGTGACCTAATAAGTAGGCATCAGCACACCTTGCAGGGTCCTGGTAGCTCTAAGCAAGGAAATCGGTGGCAGAGATTACAGGGTGCCCCTCTCCAAGCTGGAGTCACAGCTGAGTCTGAGCATCAGATAGAGCTGAGATGAGGAGTCTAGTCAGTCGGGGGAGATGGCCACAAGCAGGCATTGTTTGGTGCCTATGACCAGAGGACCATCCCAGACACTTCAGAAACAGTTACAGTGAAGTTAGAAGCCAACATCCACCAGCGACCAGGCAAGATTAGCTGTGCCTTACTCAGACTTCAGCAGCCCACCCAAGAAGGGCAGTGATGAGAGCAGATGTTCTTTTGCCACCACAGCGTTACATACGCTTCCTCTGAGGAGGTGCTAGCATGCCAGAAGGAGGGGGAAGAGAGAAAACAACCCGAAAGACTGAAAATCTGCCCCAAATTGACCATTTTCCAGAGAACCCGAGTGATATTAAATGAACCAGCTTAAAATGTTTGTTTTGTTTTGCATTTTTATCACCAAGGGAGAATGGAGACTTGTGAGCAACATGAAGTTAGTTATGTGACGGGAAACACCATTTTTTAAAAAATTATTTTTTGCACATCTGTATTATAATGAATACATTTCCAATCAGCCACACCAGTGTGTCTTTCTCTCTTTTTAACTTGTGGATGTATAGTGTTCCCATTTGTAATGTATGTATTTGGAGCATTTTATGGTATACAGAACGCTTTCCCATACGCCCTCTCATCTGTTCCTTACCGTAACACAATGAGGTAATGTCAATATTATTATGCTTATGTTTCAGGAAGTTGAAGATTTGTCCAGGAGCAGATAGCTGAAGAGAGAGAGAGAGAAGAGAGAACGGCTTACAGCTCAGGTCCTCTCTCCATGCTTAGGAACCACTACAAATGCTACTGCCTTGAGTCTCATTTTGTTTCCCTCTGGAAACCACATGTGTACCTTGTTTGCAACAGTATGGGTATGGATGTTTTGGTAGTTCTTACACATTTATTTTAAAATTTAAAGAAGTAGTGCCATAAAGCTTTATCAGGATGTATTTAAAATGAAAATAGTCTCTTGTTA
This sequence comes from Homo sapiens, assembly GCF_000001405.40. NCBI lineage: Eukaryota > Metazoa > Chordata > Mammalia > Primates > Hominidae > Homo > Homo sapiens. The sequence goes on from NC_000006.12 coordinate 22,111,025, forward strand.
TCTAGCATGCAACTGATTCTTTCAATTTGGTTTGGTTAGTCAGAATCTTACCAGAAGTCTGTCCAGGTGATAGGTTAGTTGAGAGCATCAAGACCAACCAAAATAAAACAAAAACAATAGCCTATGGCAAACTCATTCTGATCATTTCACATCCTAGAGAAAAGTGCAGAGAAACAAAAATGAGTCAATATTTTATAAATTCAGGGTCAATATTGTATGCAATGTCAATAGTGTATGAGTTCCAAAGGTTTTGTGTCACTATTAAATTAGAAATGATCCATTTTTATTCGACGTATAGTAGATCGGGCCATATAATGGCCAATAAATAAATAAATAAATAAAACCCCCACACCAGAATACAAAGGATAGTGAGGAAACGTATTTTGTACGACAATTGCAAACCACTTATGGGCTTCAATACAAAGTAATAGAGACCATCTCTTCTCTTTGGCTTTCCATTCATTTTTAGCATTAGTGAATTTATGTCCTGTGCTCTTGACCTTGAGCCCTAAGAGGTGTATGTCTTTGCCATGCTTCTGTGGCTACATTTTAGGAGAGTGAGTGTGCATTACATGTCCGTAACCCAGATCTTAGATAGTAGAAGGGTGCTGTTATAATTTGTGGACAGAGGCTGTAATTTGGTGCTCAGGGATTACCTCCTTTGTATATGTTTGCCTACTGCATGCTACCATTTATTGTAAGCTTTTTATTCATGATCTTCATTCTAGTTGAATCTGTGGAGCTATTGGTCATGAGTAGAGAAATAGATCTATAGGGTTTTCTTGAATGGCATTTCTCATTGCTAATGTGTTCTGTGACCAGCCAGGTTTATGGATAAACCCAGTTTTTGTGTTTCTCTGAGAGGTATGCATCAAAGCAGTTTTTTCCTCTTCACTTAGGAATTTTAATTTTCCTTCAGGGTTCAGTGGGCCATTTAGTACCTCCATTATCTCATAAGTTATTCTTACTATTTAAATGACTTTTTTTTTTAGGATGTTAGCATGTTGGCCCTTTTACTTTTATTTTCAAAGTCAGACCAAACAAACCATCAGAGTGCTGTAAATTTACACCTTACATTTGTTTGGAATTCTTTTTATATTAATATTTTTAGAGTCTTCATATGCAAGCAGAAATTTTCCATCCCCTCTCCACTGATCACCATTGAGGACAGGGCATGAGATGGGCAAACCCATGCTTTTGTGTGCCTGTAATGGCTAGCCTCTTTGTTACACACTTTATATTGGTCGTTATCTGATAGAATTCCAACAAATGAAAACATGCCCAAGTTAAAGAAATTAAATCTCCTTATCCATCACCTTAGAAAAATGACAACACAGCATGTATGTAATTTAAAATGACTTGTTGGAATATTTATTGCTAGATTGGGAGAACATTTCTACTGATAAGAAGCTCCTTTGATTTATCAAAGTTTTCCATATTATTTGTTAATTAACTCCATGTCCTTAATATCCACAGCTCATTTTTCCTATGATAATGACTCCATTGTGAAACATATAAATATAATGAAAAATATCCCTACCTGTATTAAAAATTGAGAAACCTCAATTACTTCACACCCATTGTATTTTGTAGTCAGCTCAGGACTGTAGTTACATAACTTCAGTTATTATTGCTGGAGCAACAAGATAAGAGAGTCATTGAAACATTGCAAAAGAGAATGCAGTGGACCAGGGTGGTAATGTTGTCCTTGTAATAAGCCTACTCCTGCCATTGCTGTTAGATGAAGGTTTTCTTTTTCCAAGTGTTATATAATTATATGCAATTATTTTTGTCGTTTGGTTTTCCTATTATCTTTTTCCTCCTCTTTTTGACACGAAAATGATAGTAACTGGAAAATATAAACCAATAAGATTTGAGCTATTTACTATGTTAAAAGAGAATTTGCCAGGTTTCAAATTATTTCCTCATTTGGATCTAGCGTGCAGCACTTACTGATAAGAATTCTCTAACACATGTCTATTTAAAAGTATTAAAAGTATTGTGTACACATTTCAGCAAATTTTGGCAAAAGGGTGTCCTCTGATGGGGAAGTGACTGTTCCTTTCTTTTGCCATTTCCCAGTCTTAAACCCTTGTTTTTACATCAAGCTCCTTTGTTAAGGATTCAACATAAAAGTCTTTGATATTATTGAGTCCATCTCTGACTCATTATTAGCCAACACTTTGTGTCTGGCTGGCAGCTTTTCCGTAAGTGGTAAGGTCAGCCTCATACAGTATTGCACAGCCTTTCCCATTCCTTTTGCGTCAGTGAGAATCAAATGATTCAACAGTGAAAAGCAAACTCTTGGACTGGAATAGCAAGATGACCCATCTCTAAACAAAGCAAACTGACTAGGATTCTCTCATGCTTAACATGCATCTTACTGGTTCTTTATGAAGAGCTTTCTCTTGGTAAGAGTACTCTTTAATATTTGTCTTTACTACAGGTAATCAGGATCTGTAATTCATGATTTCTCTCCTCAGTTAACAAGGCTATGGAATATTTCAAAGCAACTCAGGGTCAGCATGGTATAGTGGAGAAGGCGTTGAGTCAATAGATACGTCTACCATCTGGGTGCTCATTGAGAGAGAGGCCTGTTACCTTCTCTTAGTCTATAACTTCATCTGTAAAATGGAAATAATCTTATCTGCTTCACAAGGTTGATGCAAAAGTGAATATGTATAAAATTACTTGGTAAAATGTAAAACCCTATTCATATATAAGGGACTGCTATCCTTTTAAGAAGCAGAAGTGTTTGCTATCATCATTTGAGAGAAGTTGAGAATACTGGAACCTTTTAAAAATTGCAGCATAATGTCTTGGAGTGATTTGTTAAATATTGGCTTAAACTAGTAGGATTTTCCTTTTTTCTTTTTCTTTTTTTGAGACAAGTTCTCGATCTACACATAGGCTGGAATGCAGTGGTGTTGGTGTGATAAGGGTCAGTGCAGTCTCAACCTCCTGGGCTCAAGTGATCCTCCTGCCTCAGCCTTTTGAGTAGCTGGGACCACAGGTGTGTGCCACTGTACCTGGCTAATTTTTGTAGTTTTTGTAGAGCTGTAGTCTCACCACGTTGCTCAGGCTGGTCTCAAACTCCTCGGTTCAAGTGATCCTCCTGCCTTGGCTTCTCAAGGTGTTAGGATTACAAGCGTGAGCCACCGTGCCCAGCCAACTAATAGGATTTTCAGTAGTCAAATTGTAGCATTTTCCTTAGTCTTTGGCTCTGTAAGATTATCATGTTACATTGGAAAATCTTTCTTTGACCACAAAATTTAAAATGAAACTGGATTTGAGTTAGCTAGTACTCCTTCAGTAAATTGTATGTATTTCCTCTTAAGTAATTTGCTTCTTCCAATTGTTTCATCTTTATCATTCATTCTCTTTCCTCAGTCCTTTATTCGCTGCTGAGGGGAAGCAATGAAGAATTTCCTTTGACTCTGCCCAGTTTTTTATGGACACAAACAAACCATTTTTTTTTTTAAAGAGGCAGGTATTAATTCAAAGGAAATGTAATATATTTTTTAAACCTAGTGGCGGGGGTGCCAGTTAAGGAACTTGTAAGTAAAAGTTGAACTTTGGAGCCAAAACGATTGTTGGGACTCATCATCTTCATAATGAAAGTCTTTGCAATTATAATTTCATTTGGCAAAGATGAAGTTGTACCCTTGGGAGATGCCTTGCCAAATCTTTATCCATAATTCTGAATTGATTCCAGCCAGACTTTGTTATCGGAAAACTACTTCATATCCTTTCCTTATGGTGTGTGCCCTTAACCTCAAGAATTCAGTTTGTGAACACTGAAACTGTTCACAGAAAGTGTTTGGAGAAGAGCGCCCTTTAAAAATTAGTCATTAAGGTATAATGCCATATGGGCTCAAGGGGTGGCAGAGATGCTGAGTGGCTTCTTGTTCGTTAAGACTGAAATATTTATATGAGCAGTAATAATAACAGCATATTTCAGAGTCTGTGTGGTATGAAATTGAGCAGCGATGCAATTAGATAATATTGACAGCCCCTATTGTAATTATGTAAATAGTAGTAAGTTCAGCTCTCCTTTTATCTTTCATTTCCATGTGCACATGTAAGGAGAAGGCTAGAAAATATATAAATGTTGGGCAGGAGTGCTTGGCTATTTATTTATAGGACAGAGTAGCCTGAAGCTTGTGTTCCCCTGAGTTATTTTTTTTTTCTTCGAAATTAAGCAAGTCCAGTGGGTTCCCAGAGGGGACATGCAAATGCTTAGTGTTAAAGCATCCACTTGAGGATCCTGACAACGTCATAGGTCCATTCTGAGTACTTTTCTTTTGGAGTTGTGTGTTGGGATCCTACTTGACTAATACCAATACTTTTTTTTTTTTTTTAACCTTTCAAACAGATAATTTAAAGTTGTTCTCCATAGAGATGTTTTCTATGTCTAGCTGCCTATCAATCTTTCCATCTCAATGCAGAAGTATTTGATTAGTGTATTTAAAGTAATAAAGATGCCAACAGTAGTGTCACCTTGATTGATGCTAATTATAAGTCTTTAATGGTTCCTCTGCTTCGGCCACTGTCTCTGCAGATTGTGATTTTTATGGTTAAAATAGTGCCCTGCTGTCCAAAGGCTTAATCATAAATTCTGGTCTCCCTTTCTTTAATGATTTTGCATGCAGTGGTATAATCCCAGTAACATACATTATCTTCGTTAAAAGCAAGCAGTGACTTTCATAGGGGCGATTAATGCATTTATAAGGAGCTTGAGGAATCCTCGTTGGGATCATAGCAGAGGTTACGATGATTGTGCTTCCTGGGCATTAGAATTAGCAGCAATGTTGCATAGACTGTCTGAAAATAATTGAAGATTTTGATGCAGTCCCTATTTAGCACACTAATGTTGTAAATGAGACTATAACTGCAATGGTAAAAAGGCAGGATTTGTAACCTGAAGATGCTATCAGTATGTGGCTGTCAGACCAGTGAAATGAAAAGCAAGTTAAATTATATGAGGGCTTTCCTTCTTTAGAACAGTCTTAAACAGATTTGGGGTCACTCAGTTTGAAATATCTGTTGATGAAAATATCTCTTATCCTGAAGTTTTTCAGGCTGAATTTTCACAGTGTTAATATATGTTTAGTCTTTAATCTCCTTACTCAAGTCCACAGATACAGTTTTAAATAAGAAGAAATGTGCCTAGTAATACACACATTTATGGGACTTTCAAGGTATGGATAATTTGCTTATGTAAATATATGCCCATATACACTACACATACTAATACTTCTCTGAAATGACATATCTTATTGCAGACAAGCTTGACATAAATTAAATCGATGCTTTGCTATCTTGTAAGAGCAGTTTACTTTCACATCAATTACAATGCATAGCTTCTTGCATGTAGCGGGTATTTTAAAATAGTGCTTTAATGCTCTTATTGAAAAAACCTTGATAATTAAAAAAATTGTTTTTTAAAAGCACATTAATACTGGCATACATTAATATTATTATGTACCTATTTTCTCCTATTTAATTTTACTATATTCTATGCTTACAAACTAAGCTAGATGGAACTATAATAAAATGTTAGGTGTTTATATCATATTGCTTTCCACTAGTTATTCAGTTCTAATGATAATATCATACTATAATATCCTCTGTTAGTGCTAACCACTGACATCTAGACAAAATTGTTAACTTCTAGTAAGGAGAAGATACTTTTAAAATTTTTGAACCATTTACATTTTCAAAGAAGGGAATGCTAAATTGCTTTATAGGAAGGTAGTTATTTCCCAAGTGGTTCCGGCTTATAGGGAGAAACCACAGACCTCAGAAGCCAAGCTTGAAAGAGTATTCCTCTTGAAATAGCATCTATTCCACATTTCTGGGGGTAGCTGTAGTTAATAATTCTGGATGATAAGCAAAAGTCTACCCAATATTTATTTTTTTGGTGGAAATTTGAGGAGATATGCCCAGCTGCATAGTGGTTATTAGAAAATGCCTCAATTTACAAGCCTTATATTGAGAAACTTGTGACATCTACTTTGGGTATTTACAATAATGACTTACTTGCAAAGTCTTTTATTTTGCCATAGTATAGTTTAAGGTGATTGTTTGAAATGTTAATGTTCAGATGTTCTGAGGTGCTCTTTTAGGTAATGGTTATCATCGGTGAGCCATTGGACATCTTTTCACCAGAGTGATAATACGGAAAACATGTACACAGAATGTAACCTCTCCCACAGGGAACGTTTATCTTCTAGAGCGTCACTCAGACATTCTAAACATGGGCAGACCAGAAGGCGGTGTTAGAAAGCTTGCGATGGATGAGGAGGGCTGGGATTAAATGAACTAGGATTGACTGCGGAAGAAGACTGGTATGGGAGCCTATGGGATTATTACTGGGGATCTGTATGGTAATTAATCCCATATGAAGACAATACCTACCCTCCAATCTGTTTGTCTACTCATTCCACCATTGTCGTGCTCTACTGATTATCAATAGTGTCATTAGAAAAACCAGAGAAAGACTCTTCTGTGGGTGTCAACAGTCAGCAGAGGTCTGACTAAGCATTCGAATGACATCTTGTGTGATTCTACAATGAGAGTTGCAAACTGCTTGATCAGAGGAGGTGTGAGCTGCATTGTTTAGTCTGTCTTGCTGTGTGATAATTTTCTTTTGTAGTTTTGATAAATTAACATTGGCTTATGTATTCAGCAATATTCAACAGGAATCTTTTTTTTCTAAGCCCCCGGGCTTGTGTTTAAAAATGCAGGTTAGTTCTCAGAGGCTTTCAAAGCATTTCTGCATCATGCTACTAATTAAGATAAGGTTATCATTTTAAGTTATACCAGGAATGCAATTAGAGCTTCTAGTGAGAACTGTAGCAATCAATTTTCTACAAATTATGCAGACCTGGTAAGGTAGAATACAGTTTTAATAGGACAAGTGAACATACAGTGATTTATTAGATATAATGTGAATTCAAAAGACACCTGGACACAGCATCTGTAACACATCGTGTAGCCCAAGTCACTGGGACTCTAGTTCAACAGCCCTTCAGTGGGAGAGATTTAATAATATGCCTTCCATTCTCCATTGTTCAGTGACTGTTATTTTGGATTTTGAGAGGGATTTTTGTTTTTCAGTTTGAATGGTTTTAGACATGAGAAAGGATACAAAGCGCAGATGAGTGAGGCCCCTCGTTTATCTAGACTGACCCACTGCGGAGCTGTGGGTCAGTCCTACCTGTCATTCCTTTTACTTTTGTGGGACCCACAGAGTCCAGGTGACTAGCTGACAGTGTAATTAACTAATTTTTCTACACTGTCCATCTCTGCTAAGAGTATTTGGTGTTGGATAAGAAACTTACATGCCTTATCTGCCAACTGTCGGTAATTACTTATTCATTGAATGGATACCTGTTTTCTAAGGATGTACGAGGACTGCAAGGTTGAATAGCTCCCGAGGAGGCTGTAGATCTTTTCTTCCTAGGATCACTGCAGGTCTTCTGGAGCTCTCCATTAGGTCATAAATTACAGTACTTCTGGGCTTCCTTTTCTTAAACCTCTTAAAAATATCTGGAACACCTTTTACTTCTCCCTGGTTGACTTTTATTCCATTTGACCTATCAGCTTGTTCTACATTTTTCCATGCACCTAAATTCCTCAAATTGCAGTTGTTCATTCAATGTATATCTAGAGATTTTCCGTTGTGTGCCATGCATTGTGCTAGGTATTGGACACATCGTGGTGAAAAAGGATACTTGTGCTAATATCTGTAACATATGCCTGCCTTTCCCACCTCCACCATTAAGCACGTAACATCCCTTCCCAGCACTTGTGACCTTGCCTTGTAATTTACAGAGAAGATAAATATCCTCTAGTACAATCTCCTCTATCTTCTCCTTTCTTCCATATCTGCCATTATCTGCAGCTGAAAGGTGTTTTCTTTCTGTTCCGTCTCATAGAAAGTGTCACATCTCCTCCATTAAATTGCCATGATTAAGATAAATTTTCTTTAATGTTTCTATGCATTAATTTTTCCAATAATTTCTCTTTTTGCGATAATTTTTCTTTTCTTTTCTTTTCTTTCCTGCATAATTTTTTTCTACTTTATCTCAATCTTTCTTACTCTTCTGCTATTTCCCTTTGGCCAACAAGCAGGCTCACATTTTAGCTCAACCCTATCCAGAAACAAAAAGTAAAAAATCTGTTATCTTACCTGTTACTCATTCAAACTTCCTAGTTGCTAGTTTCTTCAAAGTGTGCCTACACAAATTCTGATTTTTCTTCTTCATGTCTCTTATTACAACAGTCTGGCTTCTGGACCAGCAAATCTCTAGACCAAAACACACCAGTGGCCAAAGTTTACTTCTCACTTCACTTAGCCTCGTACTAACATTTGTTATTGCTGCGTCTTTCCTACTTCTGAAAATCGGCAGCTGTCTTCAATCTATGGTGTCATTTCTTCGTCCTCAATTTCTTAGGCTGAGTTGTCCTTTTTTTGCTAACCCTTTTGGTGACAATGTCCCTCAGGGTTTCAACTTTAGTATTCTTCTTTACTTACTCTGTGTGAGGAGGTTCTTAAAACAAGAGGCTTCAAAGGTGAACTGTGAATGCCCTAAAATCATATGCTAACATATATGGTGTGGGTACCTACATTTTTCTGAGAAAAGGGTTTGTAGCTTTCATGTGATTCTCAACAGGTGCCAAAGACCAAGCTACAGCTGAAACCTCATTCTTTGAATGGTGGCATCCTCTTCCATGGTGTCCTGCTCCAAACTCTCACCTGCGTTTGTGCTGTATTCTATCTCAGGCTGACACATTGCTGTTGACCTAAGTTCTTAAAGAATCTTCCAGTGTGTTCTGTTTCCACACTCAGTTTTATGCCAAATTCTTTCCATTATGATTCAGAAATATAATTAGTCTGTCATGGTTTTGTCTTAGTTAGATTCCCTGTCACCTATTTCTTACCATCCTGGTCCAATCTGCACAATATCTCCAGAAATATCTTTTGATGTATCCTAAAATTAAAAAGCCTGCTCCTAGGATTTTCCCTCACTTACTATTCTTCAGTACATTCTTTCCCTCCTCCTCTACAGGTCAGGTTCCAGGTGAGAAATCACTTGAATTATAAAAGTCTTCAATATAATTCTCCTTACTTATATCACTCTTCCTCAACTTATGAACACTTTGAACCCTTTGCAATTAGCCAAGAGAAAACTCCCCCTTCACCCTTTAAAGGTTTGCTTAAAAATCAACTGACAAAAGACAGATTAATAGGAGAAGAGGCATACACGTTTATTAACATGCACTGGAGTCTTAACAAAATATAAGAACTCAAAGAAATGGCCAGATGGTTGACCTTTTTTTTTTCTTTTTCTTTTTCTTTTTCTTTTTCTTTTTCTTTTTTTTTTTTTTAGATAGGGTCTCCCTCTGTTACCTCGGCTGGAGTGCAGTGGTGCTATCTTGGCTCCCTGCGGTCTTGACCTTCTGGACTCAGGTGAACCTCCTACCTCAGCCTCCTGAGTAGCTGGCACCACAGGCTCACATGACTACACCCAAATAGTTTTTAAAAAATTATTATTTGGGCCAGGAACGGTGGCTTACAGCTATAATCCCAGCACTTTGGGAGGCCGAGGTGGGCAGATCACTTGAGGTTGGGAGTTCGAGACCAGCCTGGCCAACATAGTGAAACCCCGTTACTACTAAAAATACAAAAAAGGTAGCTGGGCATGGCGGCATGTGCCTGTGGTCCCCAGGTATTTGGGAGGCTGAGGTGGGAGGATCACTTGAACCCAGAAGGCGAAGGTTCCAGTGAGCTGAGATTGCGCCACTGAACTCCAGTCTGGGCAACAGAGTGAGACTCTGACTAAATATATGTGTGTGTGTGTGTGTGTGTGTGTGTGTGTGTGTGTGTGTATATATATATATATATATATAAATAAATAATTTGTAGAGACAGGGCCTCACTAGGTTGCCCATGCTGGTCTCAAACTCCTGGGCTCAAGCAGTCTTCCTGCCTTGGTCTCCCAATGTGCTGGGATTACAGGCATGAACCACTGTGCCTGTACTGGTTGACACTGTCTTTTTTTTTTTTTTTTTTTTTTTTTTTTTTTGAGACGGAGTCTCGCTGTCACCCAGGCTGGAGTGCAGTGGCGCGATCTGGGCTCACTGCAAGCTCCACCTCCCGGGTTCACGCCATTCTCCTGCCTCAGCCTCCCCAGTAGCTGGGACTACAGGCGCCCGCCACCACGCCCAGCTAATTTTTTGTATTTTTAGTAGAGGTGGGGTTTCACCGTGTTAGCCAGGATGGTCTCGATCTCCTGTCCTCGTGATCCTCCCGCCTCGGCCTCCCAAAGTGCTGGGATTACAGGCGTGAGCCACCGCGCCCGGCCTACACTGTCTTTTCTTTTTTTTCTTTTATTTTTTTTTGAGATGGAGTCTCACACTGTTGCCCGGGCTGGAGTGCAATGGCACGATCTCGGCTCACTGCAGCCTCCACCTCCCAGGTTCAAGCAATTCTCCTGCCTCAGCCTCCTGAGTAGCTGGGATTACAGGCACCCATCACCACGTCCAGCTAATTTTTTGTATTTTTAGTAGAGACAGGGTTTTGCTATGTTGGCCAGGCTGGTCTGGAACTCCTGACCTCATGCTCCACCCGCCTCGGCCTCCCAAAGTGCTGGCATTACAGGAGTGAGCCACTGCGCCTAGCCTGGTTGACACTTTCATACCATCTTGAGGTTACAGAAAGAATGAAAACTTTGATTACAGCAAAACAGGTTATGAGAGGGCAAGAAGAGCAGGCCTGGCTAGCAAGGGTGGTCTTCTTATGTAGATGAAACCTCACAGGTAGCAGCCCTCAGAGAGAATAGATGGTAAATGTTTCTTTAGACTTATAAGGTGTCAGACTCTCAGGTCATGTTTCCTAACTCTGCACAAGGGAGAGGCTCAGAGAAAAAGCATGGATGCATCCCTGCCAATTTTCTCTGCAGATGTAAATCTCCCCTACAGAAGACAGCTTTTCGGCTGTTCTTATATTTCTAGCCCTTCTGAATAGCCATCTTGAAATATGTCAAAGAAGTATGTTTTGGGGTGAAATATTTTGGTTTCCTTCACATTTCGCCAGATGTGTTATGCTGCGGTTTTCTCTCCCTGAAAGGAACCCCTCTTGTCTTGAATCTACATAGATGTTTCCTATTTATCTCCCACAGTCCAGCAGAGCCATTACCCTGGTCCCAGCCAGCGTTCAGCATGGCTTCCCTCTTGTCCATAACTCTGTTGTTGCATTGACAACTATTCAATATCCTCACTTTGTTCCTATCTCTCTCTCCAACAATATGAGAGGCCAGGGAATTTGCAGCAAATTTTTGTTATCTGAGTCTCCTTAGCACTTCAAGAAGTGCATGTTGACAGATCACACACTCTGAACTTCAATTGGACATTTATTTAGATATAAATGGCATTTTAGATCATTTTTTGGATCAAACAAACACATCAACTTTTTCAGATTTGCTTTCTGAGTGAGACTCCAACAGCTGTGGTTAAAACAGCAGTTGCCATCCCTGAAATTCTCCGCATAGTGTAGTCTACATAAATGTGCATCATATGTAATGTATATTGTTATACATGTAATATATGTGTATATGTATGTATATATATGTGTGTATATGTGTATATATGTATATATGTGTGTATATATATGTGTATGTATATGCATATATGTGTATATATGTATATATGTGTATATATGTGTGTGTATATATGTATATGCGTGTGTATATATGTATATATATGTGTATATATGTATATATGTGTGTATATATGTGTGTGTATGTATGTATATATGTGTATATATATGTGTATATATATATGTGTGTGTGTGTGTGTGTGTGTGTGTGTGTATATATATATATCACTCCCAGGCTGGAGTGCAGTGGCATGATCTAGCAGAAAGTCCTGGATCTATTTTATGAAACAAAACAAACAGCATATATAAGCATATAATATATTTTCTGTGATACACTTTTTAAAGAGAAGGTAAATCTTGAGTATGTTGACAACAGCTCTGGGATAGTTGATGTGTGACTTCAGTGGTAATTTGGTATTTTGCGACTTTTGAGCAACTTTGTGCAAGGAGAGATCTCTCCCACTCCCCCCTTCCATGGTTCTTATTCTCCTTCTTGCCCATGGTTAAGGCAACATCAGACCAAAGCAACTGATATCTCTGTGCCTTAAATTTCACAGTGTCACATATTAATAAAAGTGATGGATATTTTTCTCTTTTCTGAGAGTTTGTTAGATTTGTTAAGGTAATTTATTAACAAGATGTATCCTAGGGAAATACATTTTTTCACCTATCACTATCTTAGTAACATTTTTTGCTAATGAGGAAACTAGGTCACAGAGAAGTTAAATTACTTTCCATGGAGTTTTTGTCAGAGAACCATTAAGTGTGATATCATTAAAAGTTACAGCAAATTTATTCTAGAAAAAAATGTAGTGCTTAATCATCTGTATTAGTACTTTATCCTTAAGTCAACCTGGTAAATAGTTTCTAGATACAGTACAAAGTTAGAGTACAATACCTTCTGATCCATTGAGCCCTCTTCCATCTTTCCTTCTGCTCTCTGTATCATTTTTTTTTTTTTTTCCTGAGGTGGAGTCTTGCTCTGTCGCCCAGGCTGGAGTGCAGTGGTGTGATCTCAGCTCACTGCAACCTCTGCCTCCTGGGTTCAAGCGCTTCTCCTGCCTCAGCCTCCCAAGTAGCTGGGACTACAGGCATCCACCACTGCGCCCGGCTAATTTTTTTTTTTTCTTTGTAATTTTAGTAGAGATGGGGTTTCACCATGTTGGCCAGGCTGGTCTTGAACTCCTGGCCTCAAGTGATCCACCTGCCTTGGCCTCCCAAAGTGCTGGGATTACAGGCATGAGCCACCGCACCCAGCGGCTCTCTTCATCTTATGTAGAGAAAAATAACACAGAGATTCTTATTCATATTTTTATGAAAAATTTAAAAAGGAAACAAAGATTTTTGTAAAAGGAGTAGGTATAGAAAGAGTTAATTTTCTTTCTGACACTTCTTAACATATGAAAGGAATTAATTATTTGGCTGTTAGGTAGATTAATTAGGTGATGGACATTCTGGTTTTTGTTGTTGCTGTTGGTATCTTTTCTGAATACCTAAACACTTCTTTGGCCAGGCGCGGTGGCTCACGCCTGTAATCCCAGCACTTTGGGAGGCCGAGGTGGGCGGATCACCTGAGGTCAGGAGTTCAAGACCAGCCTGGCCAACGTGGTGAAACCCCATCTCTACTAAAAATGCAAAAATTAGCTGGGTGTTGTGGCGGCCGCCTGTAATACCGGCTACCGGGGATGCTGAGGTAGGAGAATTGCTTGCAACCAGGAGACAGAGGTTGTAGTGAGCCGAGATCACACCACTGCACTCCAGCCTGGGCGACAGAGCGAGATTCCATATCAAAACAAACAAACAAACAAAAAGACTTCTTTTCCCTTTTAAATGCTTTAATATTTGGGTTTGAATAGACAGAATTTGAATCAAAGCCATTCTCTTTTACCTGGCACTTTTGTTTTGTTTTTGTTTTTGTTTTTGAGACAGGGTCCTGCTCTGTCACCCAGGCTGGAGTGCAATGGTGCAATCACATCTTACTGCAGCCTTGACCTCCTTGGCTCAGGTGATCCTCCCACCTCAGCCTCCTGGGTAGCTGGAACTATAGGCATGTGCCACCATGCCTGGTTAATTTTTTGTTGTTGTCGTTGAGACAGGGTTTCACTATGTTGCCCAGGCTGGTCTTGAACTCCTGGACTCAAGTGATTCACCTGCCTCAGCCTCAGGCTCCCAAAGTGCTGAGATTACAGGCATGAGCCACTGCACTGGCCTTACCTGGAACTTTTTCTTCAAACTTCCCTTCAGCCTACAAAGAGTCGTGTTACAAAACCTCTGAATCCAAATTCTGCCTCCTTACCTTGTCATGTCTTGGCATGAGTCTATGCATTAGTCTCAGACTGATTTGATTCATGTTAGTTGTGGCCACCTCATATGTATTTTCTTGTGTACAAGAATGGAGCCTAGTTTTATAAATGTGATAAAATGCACTGGATTTTTTTTTTCTTTTTTCTGGAAGGAATTTTGAAAGCTTGAACTGTTGTCTCCTGGAGTATGTTAGAGTATAGGAATGTCTCGAGATACCTGACTTTGTCCATGAACTTCTGCATATCCTTGATTATCAAATATCACACACCACAACTGAAAGTATGTTTTATGATCATTCATTAATCCTCTCCATTGCAAAGGCTGAGTGGCACATTTAAGAGGTTGGGGAACATGAACTGATGGGCACACTCCTTTTAACATTGCTTCATTATAAGGCAGATTGATTAGGGCCCCTGCTACTGTCCTGAAAATTGTACATGTCCTCTGGGTCCAAATTACTGTTACTCCTGTTTCACTCTGATTTTTTTGATGACTTTTAGTACCTCCTAGGTTTTTATTCAAGATCTCATGTGAACTTTCTGTATCTTATCCTTTCTGCCTTTGTGATGCTACCAATTAGATTATAGATAGAACATCACATCTGCTTGGTGCATCCCAGAATGGGCCCTATATACATTAATTATCCACTTTTCTGCCCCTGTTCAATCCTGATTTAGCAATAGCAATCTTATCAGATTGAAGCTTGCTGCTTTAAGCAATATCTTTGCAGGATATTTTCTTTTGGGTCTTGATTTCTATAGATGAGTCTAAAGGTTCTACCACCGGCATTAGCTCTCTGAAGGCATTTAAACAATGTTGTTAGTCTGTGGGCATGATGAGAACGTATACCTTACTACCATAGACATTAGATTGGCCTGTTAAGAGTCAACTTGCATAAATCTGCACAAAGTGATTTATCATGAGTAATTGTTAACTCAAAATTTTCTATAAATAGAGACTCAAGAGATTACAGAACCCATAGATGCTAATCAAGGTGGACTCTGGGAAAAATCTGAGAGGCAGGACTGGAAAGTGGTTATCATTTGCTAATCAGAAACATTATCGGAGTATTGTATCCTGTTTTGAAAAGGGCTATACAAATATAACCAGGTTAGCAACTAAGAAAATGTAGAAAAGGAAAGTCACAAAGGCAAATACTGTTGATGTTCATGTAAGCAAAGTCTGGTGGAGAGGAAGTCTTGAATAAAAGACTTGAACCTTACCAGCAAAACTACTGATAAATTTAGCATCTATTGTGCCAGGCATATGCTAAAAACTTTATCTGCACTATTCTCATAACTTCTTAAAAGGACTTTTGACCTACTGTTGCATTTTTTTCTTTCCAACTTTTGTTTTAGGTTCAGGGATCCATGTGCAGGTTTGTTACATGGGTGAATTACGGTCACTGGAGTTTGGTGTACAGATTATTTTGTCACCCAGTTAATAACCATAGTACCCAAAGGTGGTTTTTCGATCCTCACGCTCCACCCTCAAATAGGCCCTGGTGTCTATTGTTCCCCTCTTTGTGTCCATGTGTACTCACTATTTAGCTCCCACATCTAAGTGAGAACATGTGGTATTTAGTTTTCTTTTCCTGCATTAATTTGCCTAGGGTAATGGCCTCCAGCTGTATCCATGTTGCTGCAAAGGACATGATTTCATTATTTTTATGGTTGCATAGTATGCCATGGTGTATATGTACTGCATTTTCTTTATCCAGTCCACTGTTGATGGGCATTTAGGTTGATTCCGTGTCTTTGCTTTTGTGAACATTCCTGCAGTGAACGTATGTGTGCATGTGTCTTCATGGTAGAACATGTTATGTTCCTTTGGGTATATACCCAGTAATGGGATTGCTGGGTCAAATGGTAGTTCTGTTTTAAGTTCTTTGAGAAATCTTCAAACTGCTTTCCACAATGGCTGAACTAATTTACATTCCCACCAGCAGTGTATAAGTGCTCTTTTTCCTCTGCAACCTCACCAGCATCTGTTATTTTTTGCCTTTTTAAAAATAGCCATTCTGATTGGTGTGAGACAGTATCTTGTGGTTTTGATTTACTTTTCTATAATGTTTAGTGATGTTGAGCATTTTTCCATATGTTTGTTGGTTGCGTGTATGTCTTCTTTTGATAAGTGCCTGTTCATGTCCTTTGCCCATTTTTTAATGGTATTGTTTTTTGCTTGTTAATTTGTTTACATTCCTTATAGATCCAGGATGTTAGATCTTTGTTGGGTGCATGGCTTGCAAATATTTTCTCTCATTCTGTAGGTAGTCTGTTTACTCTCTTGATAATTTATTTTGTTGTGTAGAATTAGGTCCTGTTTGTCAATTTTTGTTTTTGTCACAATTGCTTTTGGAGTCTTTAAAATGAAATCTTTGTCATGGCCTATGTCCTGAATGTATTTCCTTTATCTTTTTCTAGGGTTTTTATAGTTTTAGGTTTTACATTTAAGTCTTTAATCCATCTTGAGTTGATTTTTGTACATAGTGTAAGGAAGGGGTCTAGTTTCAATCTTCTGCATATGGCTAGCCAATTATCCCAGCACCATTTTTTGAATAGAGTCCTTTCCCCATTGCTTGTTTTTGTCAGCTTTGTTAAAGATTAGATGGTTGTAAGTGTGCAGCTTTATTTTTGGGTTCTCTGACCTGTTCCATTGGTCTATGTGTCTGGTTTTTTTTGTTTGTTTGTTTTACAAATACCATGCTGTTTTGGTTATTGTAGTGTATAGTATAGTTTGAAGTTGGATAGTATAATGCCTCTGGCTTTGTTCTTTTTGCTTAGGATTGCTTTGGCTATTCAGCCTCTTTTTTGGTTCTGCATAACTTTTAGAATAGTTTTTTTTTCTATTTCTTTGAAAAATGTTGTTGATAGTTTGATAGGAATAGTGTAGAATCTGTAAATTGCTTTGGGCAATATGGCCATTTTAATAATATTGATTCTATTCTTGATCATGGAATGTTTTCCATTTGCTTCTATCATCTCTGATTTCTTTCAGCAGCATTTTATAATTCTTGCTGTAGAGATTTTTCACCTCCTTGGTTAGCTGTATTCCTAGGTTTTTTTTTTTCTTTTTTTCTTAATGGATATTGTGAATGACATTGCATTCTCGATTTGACTTGGACATTGTTGATGTTGATGTATTGAAATGCTTCTGATTTTGTACATTGATTTTGTACCCTGAAACTTTGCTGATTTATTAGATCAAGGAATCAATGAGCTTTTTGGCAGGGACTGTGGCGTTTCCTAGGTATAAAATCATATCATCTGTGAAGAGAGATAGTTTGATTGCCTCTCTTCCTATTTGGATGCCTTCTGTTTCTTTCTCTTGCCTGATTGCTCTGGCTACGACTTCCAGTACCATGTTGAAGAGGAGTGGTGAGAGTGGGCATCCTTGTCTTGTTCTGATTCTTAAGAGGAATGCTTCCAGCCTTTGCCCATTCAGTATGATGTTGGCTGTGGTTTGTCATATATGGCTCTTATTATTTTGAGGTATGTTCCTTCAATGCCTAGTTTGCTGAGGGTTTTTAACATGAAGAGATATTGTATTTTACCAAAAGACTTCCCTGCATCTATTGAGATGATCATGTGGTTTTAAATTCTATTTATGTGATAAATCACATTGATTGGTTTGCATATGTTGAAGCAACCATGCCTCCCAGGAATACCTACTTGATTGTGGTGGATTAGCATTTTGATGTGGTGCTGGATTTAGTATGCGAGCATTTTGTTGAGAATTTCTGCATCCATGTTAATCAGGGATATTGACCTGAAGTTTCTTTTTTTTGTTGTGTTTCTACCAGGTTTTAGTATCAGAATGACACTGGCCTCATTGAATGTGTTAGGGAGGAGGATTCCCTCCTCCTCAATTTTTTAGAATCTACTGTTGTGTTTTGAACTGTCAGGGATTCGTTCTAATAAATTTCTTATTACCAAGTAATTCAGTTATAAAGCTGGGATTTGAACCAAGGTTTTAGGGTTCCAAAGACTACAGTCTCACTAACTGTGCTATATAATTTTCTTGTACCAAGACTATTTGCTATAAGTAAAATAAACTTCTTATACTCCTTGAAGTACCCACTTAACACATAGAGTCATACAGCCATCAAGATAATCAAATCTCTCCTGCCACTTTGAAAACAATCCCTATATTCCTACTCTAAGTACCTGGAAGCCATTGCTCTGTCTTCCGTTCCCACCTACATTTTAAAAATGTATTTTTATTTTAAAATTATATTTACTTGTGTAAACTTAAGGGGTACAAGTGGAATTTTGTTATGTGCATTTATTGCATGGTGAAGTCTTGGCTTTTAGGGTAGCCATCATCTGAATAATTTACATTCTACCCACTAAGTTATTTTTCATCACCCACTCTCCTTCTGCACCCCGCTTTCTAGTCTCTAATGTCTATCTTTTTTTTTTTTTTTCATCTTCCCCTTACAAGCGGGAACATGCGGTATCTGACTTTCTGTTTTGGAGTTGTTTCACTTAAGATAATGGCCTCTCCGTCCATCCATGTTGCTCCAATACATGATTTTATTCTTGTTTTATGGCTGAATAGTATTCAATTATGTATATATACCATATTTTCTTTGTCCAGTGTTGATGAACACATAGGTTGATCCCATATCGTTGCTATTGGGAATAGTGCTGTGATAAATATAAGAGTGCAGGTATCTTTTTGACACAATTTCTTTTCCTCTGGGCAGACACATGGTAGTGGGATTGCTGACCTGAGTGGTAGTTCTATCTTTAGTTCTTTGAGAAATCTCCATACTGTTTTCCACAGAGGTTTTACTAGTGTATAAGAGTTCCCTTTTCTTCCCATCTTCGCCAACATCTGTTGTTTTTTGACTTTTTACTAATAGCCATTCTGACTAATGTAAGATAATATCATTGTGGTTTTAATTTGCATTTCTCTGATGATTAGTGATTTGGGGCATTTTTTTTCATATGCGGGTTTACCATTTGTATGTCTTCTTTTAAAAAATATCTATTCATGTCCTTTGCCCACTTGTTAATGGGGTTGTTTTTGTTGTTGTTGAGTTGTTTGCATTCCTTGTAAATTCCGGATATTAGTTTTCTGTCAGATGCATAGTTTGTGAATATTTTCTCTCATTCTGCAGGTTGTCTGTTTGCTCTGTTGATTATTTCCTTTGCTGTGCAGAAACCTTTTTATTTCATTACGTCTCAGTTTTTTATTTTTGTTTTTTGTGGCTTGTGTTTTTGAGGTCTTAGTCATGAATTATTTTCTTAGACCAGTGTCCAGAAGAGTTTTCTCTAGGTTTTCTTCTGGTATTTTTACAGTTTCAAGTATTACATTTAAGTTTTTAATTCATCCTGAGTTTATTGTTGTATATGGTGAGAGATATGGGCCTACCTACATTTTTTAATGTAAGGTTTACCAATCTGTGGCTGGCTTGGCCAGGGTAAAAATATGCATTGGTCAGATTAACAAAAATATCTGGTTGAATTGACAGTTGTACATCTCATTGTAAATTAATAGATTGACATTCTGATTAGAATTTCTTTCCGTGTTGTTTGCTTAGTAGGAGAGAATTAATTGACAGGTGTGTGTCTGCTTAAAAATACTCTTTTGTATAAAATAATAAAATGGCATATGCATATGTTTTTATATTTGTAGGAGGGATGAATATGATCATGGATATAAAAGTATAACTAAATATTAGACTACAATGCCTTCTTTAATTATGATTCAAATTTATATTGATAAAAATACTTATTGGTGACCAAAATCAGAAGCAAATATCCAAAATCGGATTGAGTTTCAGATTGGGTTTTGATATGGTTAGGCTTCGTGTCCCTATCCAAATCTCATCTTGAATTGTAATCCCCATAATCCCCGCGTATCAAGGGACAGACCAAGTGGAAGTAATTGAAGCATACTGATAGTGAGTGAGTTCTCACGAGATCTGATGGTTTTATAAGGGGCTCTTCCACCTTCACTTGGCACTTCTCCTTCCTGCCACCTTGTGAAGAAGATACCTGCTTCCCCTTTGCCTTCCATCATGATTGTAAATTTCCTGAGACCTCCCCAGCCATGCTGAACTGTGAGTCAATTAAACCTCTTTCCTTTATAAATTACTTAGGCTTGGGTAGCTCTTTATAGCAGTGTAAAAACGGACTAATACAGGTTTGTTTCAGTAAATGTTTTGAACACAAGTTGTTCAACCAATGACTGTTTATTGAACATCTTCATCAGGCTAGAAACTGGTTGAAGAGGTGGGGCATTGGATGGAGTGAAAAACATTCTTAGCTGAGAAAAACAGCAAGTGCGATGTGTCCGAAGTGAGAGGAACGTGGCATATGGAGTCATGAAGGAAGGCAGGGATAGCCAAAGAGAAATAAGGAAACCAATGGGTATGAGAGCAGAGTGGAGCATAGGCAGGGCTTGGATCTATTACTGGTTTCTGTGACATGTGTTATGAAGAGTATCATTTCACTGACTGGCTCTGCCCAAATATGTTTGACCATATTTACATCCCATCTCTCTCACTCTGGACTGCTGAAGAAGCTTACACTATCAACGTACTCCTTTTTTTTTTTTTTTTTTTTTTTGAGACGGAGTTTTGTTCTTGTCGCCCAGGCTGGAATGCAATGGTGCGATCTCAGCTCACTGCAATCGATGTACTTCTCTCATGTGTACTCAACTATTCCCTCTCAAATGAATCCTTTCCATTGACTTTCAGACTTGAATACAGCTCTCCCATCTCACCTGTAAACAAACAGCTCCTCCCTGACTCCTTTAGCTCCCTGCAGGTATTGCTTTCTTTCCTACTCTTTATAGCGAGATGTGCTGAAAGCACTTCCCTGTCTTCACTTTCTTGCCTTCCATGCACCCTTCTCTAATTTAGCTTCCAGCTTCATCAAAACAACTTTTACTTGCAATGACTGACTGTTGTCCATCCCATAGTCCTCTTCTTAGTAAACTTAACAGCATTAAATAAAAACTGTCTTCTTCTGGAGCACCAACTTCCCTTGGCTTCCAGGATAGCCCAGCCTCCTCCTCCTTCAGGTCTGGTGATATACTCTCAGTCTTGTCTGCCAGGAATCAGTTACTAATACTGGCAACGTCAAAATCCCTCTTCTTTTTTACCCCCTACCGTCTCCAAAGTTGGTTTCAACGCCCTTCCTTGGCTTGCTATGAGAATGACATAGGCTAGTTATAGGATCTGCTCATTTAATAATTGTGAGGATATAATGAGTTCATATATGGAAAGTACTTAAAGTAATGCCAGGCAAATGATAGTTGCCCCTTGAGTCGATAGCTGTAGTTACAATTTGTGGATGAAACCTGAATGACATCAGTCCATACCTATGTATTCAGTGGCCTATAACTATCTCCATATTCAACTCTAAAGGCACATCAAACTCAGTGTATCCAAGACCAAATGTATGTCATTCTTGTGCTTCATCCTGACAAAAATAAACCTGGTCTCTCCTAGTGTGTCCTGCTTCAATGAGTGGTCCAACCATTCTGTCATTTGCACAAGCCAGCAAAGTAATTTGGCCCACTAAATTTCTATGAAAAGCTTCCATTTCTCAACATTCCCTCTGCCAGCACAATAGCCAGAGATACCATCATCTCTCTTCTGAGTTCTATAAAAAGAGATTGCCTTGTTTTCATTCTGTCGACTCATCACCCCCTATAAGTTCTCCCCCCAACCCCCATTGCCAGAATGCTTATTTCAGAAGACCACCCTGAGCCCCCCTTTGCTTCCAGCCTTTCCATGGCTTCCCGTGACTCTCAGGATAATGACCAAAATCCTTCACATGGTTTGCCAAGCCCAGCCTCTGAGGACTGTCCCACACATCTCCCATCCCACCTCCTGCTGTTCTCTCCACTCCAGCTGTGCATGTCACTTTCAGCTGCTCACACACACTTTACTCTCCCTGACCAGAGGATTTGTACATGCAATTCATCATGCTGGAAAGCTCTCTCCACCTTTATAAGCAATGTCTTATGCATCCATTATCACAGCTCAAACCTCTCTTTTTCGGGGAAGACTTTCTTGACCTCCTAGTCTACTTCAGGTTACTATGTTATAAACTCCCACAAACTATATTCTTCTTCTTTAGAATATGTACCTCATTTTTTAATTGTAGTATTGTGTTGGGGATCCCCAAGATAATTCTCAGGCTCAGTGATTTGCTGGAAAGACTCACAGGACCCAAAAAAGCTGTTATACTCATGGTTAAAGTTTATTACATTGAAAGGATACAGAAAAAACTCAGCGAAGTGAAAAGGTGGATAGCGTGGAGTAGAGGAGAAATTAAGCACCAGCTTCCAGTTGTCCTCTCCCAGTGCCATTACATGGAGTACACTTAATTTTCTCAGCAACAACGTGTGACAACATATGTAAAGTGTTGCCAACCAACGAAACTCACTTGAGGCATGTGTCCAGGGTTTTTACTGGAGGTCAGTCATGTAGGCATGCAGCACCTTAGCTACCAGTCTTCAGGCCTCAGATCAAATTGGTACAGCATGATCCAAAGCCTCAGGCATACAAAAACAGGTGTTTGCCATAAATCACACTGTTGGCATAAACTCCTATCTCAGCCAAGGGCTCAGAAGTAATCTTCCCAGGAGCCAGGCCAAGACCAGTCTTGAGACTCTGGGAATACGCAAGGTTTGAGCAGCCCAGGCCTGTTGACGTAACCCTTTCCTGCACAAGTGTCAATAGTGCCATTCTTTGATTAATGTCTCTCTTCCTGCAGACTACATGAAAGCAAAATTTGTAACTGTGTAGGTAATATACCTAATCTTCAGCACAGCTGCTGATAATTGGAGGTACTCTGTAAATTTTTGTTGAATAAATGAATGAATAAAATCTTCTGATTGTCTTTATCTCCTTCTAGTCTATACTGTGTTCTATACCTTTCTGCCCTATAGCTTTCAGACACTTCTTTATAATGGAGTCTTGTCATGCATTTTATACGTAAAGTTACTTTTGTGTTAATGAGTAATATGTAGTAAGTACTTAAAATATTTATTTTATTACTCTAATTCCCAATTATATCCCTATACCTCCAGGCATTATTCTGTCTACATATTAAACTTTAAACTGGCAAATGTTTTTCACAATTATACTTGAAATATATGTATAATTATGAAAAACATTTATATATCAGATTATATGATACCACATAATCTGATTATATATCACATATATCAGATTATGTGATATCATATAATCTGATATGTTTTTCACGATTATATATATAATATCAGTGTATCAGATTATGTGATGCCTACTTATAAGCACCAAAGTTATTTCTAAGAGAATGAGTTAATGATCCAACATCTGCCTTAAGAATTCTAGTAAACAAATTATGCTTAACTTTGAAGCTACTGACTATATATATTGAATTTTATCCTGGATATATTAGAAATATAGGAAGAAAGTTTCCTGGAATGAGGAGGTATATCCCCATTTTCTCTGTGAGATGGAAGAGCAAATATGTCCTGATGATCCGTAGTTTCTTAACCTTCAAAGTCCACATGACGTCACAGTGCTTTGCTCCATCCAGAATCTCTGTTTAGCCAAGGTCAAGAGGTGTCAGGCCCATTTTAGCAACGAATTTGAATGCATCTCCATTAAAAATTTCTTTATTGTGTTAGTATTGGATTATAACCCAAAGTATAAAAGAAATACCCATGAGTCCATACTGATATAAAAAAAGATCAAATAAATAAATAACTGGGAGAGTGAGATGATTTTCCTATGCAGAAGAATGCCAAACAAATTATGTAGATTTTCTGCTTACAAATGGGTGGAGCATAACTTCCCACTCCTTAAATTTGGGATGCATATAGTGACTTTCTTCCAAAGAGTACAGTACAGAAAAGTGGGTGATGAGAAGAGTAACTTTACAGTGAAGAAACATGACAAACACTACCACAGCCAGGCAATCAAAGTTCACATCAATAGTATAAGGCATGCTGATGGTATGTACCTTTAATATAATTTGGTGAGAATGGTACTTCACCTCTGTGGTCTTCCTCCCCAAAACCCATAACCCCAGTCAAACCCTAAGAAAAACATCAGCCAAACTCAAATTTAGGGCATTCTGCAAAAATAACTGACTGACTAGTACTCCCTCAAACTGTCAGGGTCACCAAAAACAAGGAAAGTCTAAGAAACTCACAGCCAAGAGGTACCTAAAATGACAAATAAATTCAATGTGGTGGCCCGGATGGGATCCTGGAACAAAGAAAAAGAATGTTAGCTAAAAACTAAGGAAATCTAAATAAATGTATAGGCTTTAGTTAATAATACTCTATTGAATATTCATTAGTTGTGACAAATATGAGAGGTTAGTAATAGGAAAAAAATGGGAACTCTGTGTATCTTTGAAATTTTTCTGTATATCTGAACTATTCTAAAATTTTAGTACCACTAAAGGTTTTTATTACATAATAGTGTTTTAATTTAATCTCCATGCTATTTAATGAAATTTACCAGTTGTATTTGTGTTTGATTAGACATTATCTCAAGTTGATTGGAATTACTCATATTTCTTAATGCCATTGTTGCAGCTGTAATAAGGTTGACTTTTCTACAATAGACACAGAAATCATTACATCACCATTTAATTTTTGAAAAATAATCCGATCCCCTGTGATTATAAACTTGAGATTCTTTAAGAAAGTAGAAAGGTTGTAAGATATTATGAGTCATAGGATATTTCCAGTTTTGAAGTAATAAGACAAAAATCATTAACTAAACAAATTGGCATTAAAAAAAAACAGTATTTTTGAGAGGACCAGTCCAGACAATGTGTCTGTAAGATAGACTTTACAAACTTAGTTTGATTAATTTTTGTTTTTCCGAGGATATGATTCTTTTCTATAATTACTGTTCTGTTTTTTTCTGACAGGCTATCAAATATTGGCTGCCTTAAGCTCTCTGTGAACTGAGTTATTCTCAATAATACTCTGTATTATGAAGGCATTATTTGAGTGGCTGTCCACTGTGATCTGGTTATTTGGAGCTTTACATAAAACAGGTGGTTCTTGCATCTCATTGACATTTCTTATTATCCAGAATTCACCATCCTTTTTCTATGGCTCATCATATGCAGGCCATCACAGACAGGGCCCTATCCTATGGTTTGCCCGAGTTTATTTGGTTTTTCATTTACATTGTGGTCTTTTCTCTTAGATACTCCAAGTTTGCATGTTTTTGGACTTTATCAAGGCTCTTGCTATATGGTTATGTGTTTATTTACACTGGGAATAATTCCCAAAAGGCTTTGCAATAGCTAATTGTATTTGTTTGGCTCTGTGAGATGACCCAGGCACCTCCGATTCCAATCAGAGGGGCCACTTACTTTGAGTGGACATGAGGCTGATGCCCAGAACCAAAGAGGAAGCAGCCTCTGATCCATGATCCTATAGTCACAGTGCTGCTCAATCGTGCCGTTTCTGCTGACCCAAATGCCTGGAGTTGACCCTGTTTGTCTCTCCAAACCTCTTTACTGGTTTTCCTTGACTTAGATGATGCTTTGAACTTGATCTGTTGTACTATGACTGTAATTCCAAGAGCACAGGCTTTCCCGTCATGTAGAGCAATATCCAAATCCTGCCTCAATCGTTTGTTACCTTTTGATCTTGAGGATGTTACTTCATCTCTGTGGGTTTCAGTTTCTTCATCTGTCAAAGGAGAATAACAGCACACTGGCAGAGTTGTTATAACAATTAGATAAAATGTTTCTAAAACTCCTTTAGAAAGCCTGGTTCTGTATCATGGACACTAACTATGAGGCCTGAGCAGATTCAAGAGAGGGATCTGCCTTTGATATGGTTTTGGGTGTTAGGGGTCAGGTGGGAGAAGAGAAAAAGAAGGAAGAGATACAAGGCAGAGTAATGGACTCTGGGGCAAGAATTGTGGAGCCTCACTACCTGAATATGCAGCCTGGCTCTCCCATGTGTTAGCTGTGTGGCCTTCGTGGTTATTGAACTTCTCTGTTGCTGCACTTTTCTCATCTATAAAATGGAGATTGAAATAGTGCCTAACTCAGTAAATGCGAAGTGCTCAGAGCAGTACCTAACATGTAGTACTAATTGTCCAGTATTAGTAGATTTACTCTTTTCCCAGGGTTTTACACTTTACATTTAACTACACCTGATAATCCGCTTACTGATCAATACGTCTTTTTGCAGCCTCAGTAACCTAAAAGTATTAAGATCATTTTGGCCTTTTTAGTATACTCGTATAAACAAAAGTTTCTCCTTTCAAAGAAGTCATATGAAGAGGTGCTACATTTATGTCACTACATCAACATATTTGAATAATTATTTTTAAATTTTCCTTAGATTCTGAAAAAAGAGATTCTTTTCAGTATCCTCAGTAATAACAAATCTTTGTCCTTGAATACAGAGTATCAAAAATTAAGCCAACTCTATTAAGATAAGTTATCTATGCAGATACTATCTTCTATATGTATAATTTTGCATACTTGTACAGTTAGATATACTTTATAACTTTATAATCTCAATAAAACATACACATATCTATTTATATATAAACTGTGAGTGAGTGAGTGTGTGTGTGTTTGTGTGTTTTGGGAAAGGGAGTATCAGGAACCAGTGTTTAATGTAAGCTGAACTATTTTCATGAACATAAATTCAATCATTGAGTCACAGCTCATATGAAAAAAATCACATGTGATTTATTGCATGTTTCAGAGCTTTTAAAATAAAGCCTAATTAGATTTTTGACCTTATGGGATGAATTCTACATAAAGCATGCATTGAGTCTAATGGAGTAAAAAATGAACATCTTTTCTTTCCAGTTCTGCCGTCCTTTTCCTCCCTTCCATATACCTACATCCTATAGACACCATAATACTATAGCACTGATCTTGGAGGAACCTGCAGAAAAGGCCATCAAATGCAGTGGGGGCGGAGGGGGTGCTGTACTTCAATAAGACACTCAATCTAACCTTGGGCATAAGCGTGCCTCCTCTTTGCCTGAGAAAGCTTTACTGCTTTAGCAGCCAGTGATATATCTGTATGCATTTGGCATCCTGAACGTGGCCACTTTAATTATTTTAAGGTTTCCTCTAAAAGTCTGCCTTGCTACTTGAATGGAGATGTGGTCATTTGTGCTAATTGCATTTTAGAATCTCTATTTTATTGGTTACAATAAGCTAATGTTTACAACTTTTGTTCATATCAAATGCCATTGGGCACTTAATTATGTAACAATTTGCTACCTAGGTATATTTTGCAAACATCAAAAGGCACCAGTCCATCTCCACATCACTATGTCTGTACTATGTGTGCATCATATAGCTGTGGCTTTTTTTTTCAGGCTCATTGAAGTGCTGCATTCCCACTGCTACTGAAGCCCAGGGTCTTGGCTTGAGAGCCCTCTGCCTGATGCCCAGAAAGGGATTTGAGACTGAGACAATATTGTTGCACTAGGGTCTTTGCCATGAAGCTTTTAAGAATGAGAGAAACTAAGATACAATATGACTTGTGGATCTCCAGGATCATACGCTGCTTGGATAGCTTACTTGTTGAAAGCAGGGGATCTTCAAAAGCCAAAAAACATGCCTCCTTTCTGACATATGGGCAGAGAGCCTAGACACTCAGAGACCTCTTCTATTTTACAGAAGATGGCGCTGAGGTCAGGATGGTGAAGGAACATGCACAGAGAAAGGCTGGGCCAAAACTGGGCCCAGATTTTGAGAAAATGAAGCCCACTGTTCCAATTTTTATTTTATTTCTTTTGATCTAAGAGAAAAACTGCATAGTCTAGTAATATACTTAGTAAAAAGACCAACTATTGTACTCTGTGAAGTTAATGTTATGAGGGTTGGATGTGTCTTAGAATCTGATCATGGAGTTAATTTTACTGTATTGCAAGATTTTAAGATGAGCTGGTGTTCTCTTGTTATGCCCATATGCCATCATTCCCTCCCCCCTCACCCAGAATGTGAATAGTATTCCCATTGTGGGAACTGCTGATTGACATCAAGGCACTCTGTTGTCATGGCTCTAGTTTAAAAATGTGAAAGAAACTAGATCTTTTCAACCTAAAGGTTCTCTCTGTATAGTTAATTAAAGACATTTTAAGAAGACATTTGGATTATAGGAAAGTGATGATATCACGTTATGACATTTATTCCTTACCCCAAGAATCTCAGTAATTGGTTCACCTATTCAAAACTGTTATTTTATCAGAGGGTAAAGATTCCAGGACCCCCAGTCAGACTTATCTAATTTCCCTAATTGGCATATTAAAAAAAAAACTCTGGACACAAGAACTTTCTGATTTGTGAATATGCCATTCACTCACTTAAGACAAAATTTAATGTAAAACTTATCTAATGTTAATGAAAGTCTATAGAAAATTTTAGCCGGGGCTTAACCACTGGCTAATATACAATTTATTTCATTGTATTAAAGAATAGATTTACAAATTTCATTAGAATTCCACAGAAATATAAACTATTAGAATGCGGTACAGCGCAGGGTGTGTATTGAGATTCTCACTTTACAATGAAGGAAACTATAGCTTGGAAAAAGATAAAATGACCTTTCTATAATTATATAACAGATAAACATATAGTCCATAGCAATATAGATACCAGATCCCACAGCTTTTGACTTCTAGTCCAGTATTTTTCCTACTAGGCCAGGGTATTTTATGTAATCAGAGTTATTTTATTCTATGCAGTGCTGTTGTGATAGATGAAAAACAGAAGGTGTACTCAATGCCTTCTAAGAACTTCTGCTCTCATAAGTCTCATATCTTACCATGGATAGATATGTGTATTTACAGGTTTATCTATGACTCCTTCAAGAATAACTTACTACTACTTCTTTCCTTTAAAACAATTTTTTTTTTTCTTTGAGACAGGGTCTCACTCTGTCACCTAGCCTGGAGTGCAGTGGTGCAATCATGGCTCTCTGCAACCTCCGCCTCCCAGGCTCAAGTGATCCTCCCACACTCAGGTGATCCTCCCACCTCAGCCTCCTGAATAGCTGGGACCACAGGCACACACCACCATGCCTGGCTAATTTTTGTGTTTTTGTAGAGACGGGGTTTCAGCATGTTGCTAAGGCTAGTGTCAAACTCCTGAGCTCAAGTTATCTGCCCCCGGCCTCCCAAAGTGCTGGGCTTACAGACATGAGCCACTATGCCTGGCTTAAAAATGTTTTAAAATATACCTAAAATCTGATCAGATGTGGTAACCAAAACCAATAACAAAACAAAACCAGTCAAATTAATGCACAAAGACATTGTCTGAAGATGGTAGAAATGTGATTTAGGTGAAACTGTATGAATAAAGGCACAGGTGAGCCCAGTAAGAGTCACCAACATGAGGTACCCACTAGGAAAGCAAGTGCAGGTTAGTCTGCACTAAATGAAATGTGATCAGTTTGAATGATGGAAGTAATAGGACTATTTTGCTTTGTGTAGCCACATGATGGGACCTTGTGTTATGTTTTGTGTGACACATCATTCAAAGCACTACCGATCAACTGGAATGTATTCCTAGGCTCAGAAATTGAATGTTGAATAGACTTGAAGTCACAGAGTAATGTCTAAAGAAGTTGCAGATATTTTGTGTAGAGAAGGAAAATCTGGATGGGGGATGATAGATGCCCTCCAGTAACTGAGGAACCATCATGGGGAAGTCACACTAGATTGAGCTCCCAAATCAAGGGCTAATAAACAGAAGCTCCAGTGAGGCTCCTACTGTCATAGAATAGGACATTTTGGCTCAGAGGTTTTTCTTTTCTTTTCTTTTCTTTTTTTTTTTTTGAGACAGAGTCCCACTCTGTCACCCAGGCTGGAGTGCAGTAGCGTGATCTTGGCTCACTGCAACCTCCGCCTCCTGGGTTCAAGTGATTCTCATGCCTCGGCCTCTTGAATAGCTGGAATTACAGGCGCATGCCAGCACGCCTGGCTAATTTTTGTATTTTTAGTAGCGACAGGGTTTTACCATGTTGGCCAGGCTGGTCTCAAACTCCTGACCTCAGGTGATCTGCTCGTCTTGGCCTCCCAAAGTGCTGGGATTTCAGGCATGAGCCACCGCGCCCGGCCTTAGCTCAGGGTTTTAAATACTGAGGCTGTTGCATTCAAAAGATGGAATGGCTTGTCTGTCTCCCAGGGCACTGCGTTTATAGTCACCAGAGGTGTTCCCCTTGAGCCTGGATGATTACATGGAGGAGGTTTTAAAGGGCAGCATTCACAATTTAGATTTGCAGTTGGACCAGATGACCTTTAAGGTGCTTTCCAGCACCTGGGGTTTTATGATTCTATTTCTATTATGCATCTACGCTGGGTATGTGTCACATTGTTTGAAGCAAACACTGAGAATGAACAGGAGCACAGTGTGGAATGTTGATGGCGCTCACATCTATTTTGTGTTTCAATTTCTGGAAGCAGTCTTTGTCTTTGAGGCAGTTTGGTCCCTGACCTTCTGTAACATTTGGAGCCCAGCCACACTGTCTTTGTTTACTGTAAAGAGCATGGAAAAACCGACTTCCTGACAGTGCTCTGCAAAGTCTAAGGTCAAACCACTCACAGGTGAACAAACACAGTTCTTCCACCTTAAACTTGCCATTTGGTCCCTGTAAAATGGACGAGGGTAATAACGCTGGACAGCAGAGAGAGGGGAAATCAGTCCTCTGCCAGCAGCCAGCAATTAGTCACTTTGTCAGTCTGCTTTGGGAAGGGCTCATCTTAATTCAGCATCCATTTTGAAGAGGTTAGAAACCATGACATGCAGTTTTAAGTCCTCTAGCAACTCTGCTAAATAAACCTATAGACCCTGCCTTTCTTGACACTATCAGCACATCATTAATATTTCCCAGGATTGCACAGATAAAGCATAGCATTCTTATTCACTTAAAGGATTGAAGAGTCACATTCACTGAATATTCACATCATGCAAGCCATTTCTGCTATGGTAAGATCTCTAAGGTGGGTTGGCTCCCTGTCAAGAGAGCATACCCTTCTTTTTTTTTTTTTTTTTTTTTGAGACAGTGTCTTGCTCTGTTGCCCAGGCTGGATGGCAGTGGCATGATCATGGCTCACTGCAACCTCTACCTCCTAGGCGTAAGTGGTTCTCCCACCTCAGCCTCCTGAGTAGCTAGTACTACAGGTGCACACCAAAACACCCAGCTAATTTTTGTACTTTCTTTGGTAGAGATGGGGTTTTGCCATGTTGCCCAGGCTGGTCTCGAACTCCTGGGCTCAAGCAATCCACCCACCTTGGCCTTCCACAGTGCTGGGATTACAGGAGTGAGCCACTGCACCTACCCTGCCTCCCCTGCTATTTTTTGCTCTCATCAAATGCAATAGCTTCCCTCTGTAAAAGGAAGGGAAGTGTCTTCCTGGGTAAGTGTATTGTAAGCTCTTTAAGGGCCCTAGACAATGCCTACCACACTGTCTTAGATTAGCAGGTCCACA
Organism: Homo sapiens; assembly: GCF_000001405.40. Lineage (NCBI taxonomy): Eukaryota > Metazoa > Chordata > Mammalia > Primates > Hominidae > Homo > Homo sapiens. The sequence continues at coordinate 22,142,449 of NC_000006.12, forward strand.
TAATGCATTTGTGTGAACATCATTGAATCAAACAATGACCTTGCTCACACATTTACCCCCTTTACTCAAAATCACTTATTTGTGAGATCCAAGTTTTCTTCTTACTATTTAAAGATTATTAGAGTTGATCTAAAGTGATATAAATGAAAATATTGCCAACATAAATTCACATTTTTCTTTTCTCTTGGAATAAATTCAGCTTTGGCTGTATTTTTTTTTTCTCTTGTTCTTTTTTTTTTTTTTTTTTTTGGTCTGTGGTGTAAGCAGGCTCTTGAAATGCCCTAGTTATCTAACACTGCTCTTGAACTCCACTTACAGATGATATACTAGCCTTTTACTAAAATATATCTGGGTATTAAAAGCTCAATTCTTTACTGCTGATGAGAAAGATTATTAACACTTTTTTTTCCCCAGCTATAATATGAGGCAGTAACACCCCTTTTTACTTCCAGAGCCAGAGGCAGTATGTCACATTAACCTTCATTAACTGCCCAAGAAATGAGGTACGTTCGTTAATTTAGTATTCTGGTTAGCTAAAATTGTGTGAGAAGGCTGATAAACGTCTGTGGTTTCTCCCTGTGCTATTAAAAAAAAAAATAAAAGAATGTTAAAGTATGTTAGCCCGCTTATCTTATCATCTTGGTAAGTTCAACATTCTGATTAGGGGGCAGATCTGGACAGGATGAGTCTACAGCTGGTGGGCAAGGATGGGGGTCGCTGGGGCAGGGTAGAGGAAACGCAGCCTGACTGAGATCAGCCTGAGGAAGAGCATCTGAGGCGTGTGGTGGGGGAAATCAGGTAGCATCTGAAAAGCAAGCCAAAGGTGGAAAGAGAAAACAAATTCTGTTTATATATAAGTAATGGCATGATGGAAGCCAACCCACCTAAGCCACTCAGATACCCTGTGAATTACTAAATTCACTGTAGAGATTTTTGTTATATGTGGCGTCATCACTTCTGATGTTCCCATTTCTACCTTCATCACCTTCATTTATTCATTACTTTAAAAAGGCATATCAAGCATTTTGCTAGCTACTGGGGAAAAAAAGATGAACGACACAACTCCTAAGCTCAGGAACCTGCGTTCTTTCTTCAGCTGAGCTTTAAAAAATGTAGAGTCAGCTTTACCATCACCTCTTCTCTGTTTTCCAAGAATACCGCAATAATGTCATTTCTTCATAACACCTCCAGAATCCATCTCAATTTTCCTTTCACCGCTACCAAGATTTGGGCACCATTCCCTTTTAGCCAGGCAATTGCAGAAGCCTCTTGATTAGTCTCCTTATACCCAATCCCTTCCTCCCCCATCAATCTTAGATTTGGCTACCGGACTTATTATCCTACAATTTGGTTGTTGGTCCCAATGTTTATGAAGAGGGTAATAGCTTTATATTGTGGCTCTCCTCAACCTAGTCCCGCTTCTACAGAACTAACACCCTACTTGATTCCTTCATCCACCTTCAGACATATGCATGTATTTTCACCTACCTGGTCTCCCTCCCACAATTTTTTTCATTTCCAAAGCAGGACAGCACGGTGGTTAAGACCACGCACTCGGGGGCCAGATATGCTTTACTACTTACTTGCTGTGTAGTTTGGGCAACTTATTTAACCTCCCTCTTGTGCTTCTGTCTGTGTATCACTGAAAATAACTTATTAAAAATATTTTCTCATAAAATTAAGTAGGTTAATGTACCTAAAATGCTTAGAATAGATGCTGGCACATAGTAAGTGCTAATTTTTAGCGACTGCCATTGCTATTGTTGTTAATACCTAAATCCTGCCCTACTCCCTGGCCCGATATTTTATAGCTCACTGCAAATCCCAGAGAACTCGGGGAACCTCCGCAGACATTTAGGTAGAAGTGTTTGTTCCCTTTTCAGCCCATCTGTGGTACCACTTATCTGACCCACACTTAGCAAGTGGATTGAGACTTACTAATTATTTTCATGGGAAATAAAACCTGAAGAAATGACTAGCAATAAAAGATAATAAATGGTTAGTAATGATTGATAGAAAAAAGTAGCACAGGCTCTATAGAGTATGTTCTCTGAGGGCAGGGACAATGCTTCGTGTGTCTTTGTTTCTTACACAATGCTTTATGCGTTGTTATTAACAAAATTGAGCCCCCATTTTTTTTTCTGATTCAATGGAGGATGTGATCAGAAGATCATTAATAGACCAATCTGTTTAAATAGACAATGAATAATCAGATAATAGATTGTCTTGACTGGTAGTGTATGAACGTGAAGAAATAAGGAGCCACCTTGGTTTTGGACAAAGGGTTGTCTAACCCATCTGGACAGTAGTTCTGGACATCATGAATGTGGTGGTTTGGTACGATTAGTTTGGTGGCAGGCTGCCAAATGGAATGAAACAAAAAGAGGGTGACCAGATTGGAGATCATTGGGTGGGAGGGTATGAGAACCTGAGCTTGGACTCTAGGAATGAATGGAGAAGAAATCTTAAATCCAAGGGCAGATGGTAAAGAAACAATATATAGGATTTGGGAGATCATAGAGGATGTTGAAAAGGCAAGGGTAAAAAGTGACTGCTGGATCTCTTCCTTGGTTAACTTTGGAGAATTCAAATTGGGAAAAGGTTGTCTTGAAGGACAAAAGATGTGTGCAGTTACTGGACCTTGAGCTCCAAGATGGCAGAGACCATGCATCTCTTGCTCATCATTGGAACCCCAGGGTCTGGGACCATCCTTGACACACTTATACAGTGAGAGGCTGAAAGGGCATCTCAAATGAATTAAAGGCCACTTACCTTGATATCTACACAGTCCAATAAGACATGTTGTAGACAATTACCTCCCACCTGTTTAATGATTCTCCGGTTCTAGTTAGCCGGCATAATCAATTTTGCTAAAAAGGTATACCTCTCACGTCTTGGGAAGGACGTCCCAAATAGGCAACTTACTTAATTCCAGGATGAGTGACAGAATCTACAGACCCTGAGGCCATCTCACTTGTACTTGCCTTAATGTAACTAGTAAAGCATACCTGGCAGTGCAGCACCTCCACAGGAAGGTGCTCCAGAAAGCAATTGTTTGCTCTCACCCTGCTGAGAAGTAGCAATATCCATGTGGCTTAAGGGCTGTAGCTGCAGCCATGAGCAGTGTTAGAAAAATATCACCACCATTTGCCAGCATGAGATGCCAAACTGCAAATAAGAGACATGTCGATTCAATGAAGCAGAAACATTTCACTTGTTTTTAAGATTACTTGCGAGAACTTTATTGCTATGTGTTTGTCTGCCTTTAAATAAGAAATTGCATTTTTAAAAAACCATCTCTTCTCTTCTCCCTACAAAGGGACGAGGCTTTCCTACTCGGGTGAATATTGCCTGTGCTGCTTACCGAAGAAAGGGAGCAGTCTTGGCAAGCATCTTATTAGTCTAAAAATAAATTATTCAGAATGCAGGTTCAGATACAGATTGCAGGGAGAGATAATAGAATAGGTTTTCCAAGCCTGATCATGCTATGAAGACGTGGTGTGTGCTTTTCAGGAATCCACTTAAGTGGAATCAGCTTTGACTAATACATACTAGAAATAATATTGCTGCCATCCAGCTAGTGTCTGTGGTACAGCATCCTCAGAATGTCTTCAAGTATCCACGGCCTCTTTAGTCTCTGTAAGTGCGCATATGTAAAAGTGTATATGTATTCCCAAGCAAGCTTCAGAGGCATGCTTCTCATTGTTCTTTTAAGGAAATGTCTTCCTGGCCGCCTGAGAGGGGCATGTCTCACTTGAGGTTTGTCTCCCTCCTGCTCCCCCTGCCTGGGTGAAATAGTTGACCACATCAGCAGCCGACTGCAGTTTGTCATGTGGTTTCTCATGTGATGCTGGGTCTGCAGCACTTGGGAGCAAGAGTCTTTGTGACTGGCACTCATGGACAGACAGTGGTGTTCAGGGACAGAACAGATTTTGGAGGGGGTGGGGAGGCCAATAAACCAAGAAACGTCAGAAATAAAAGTCGCATGAAGTACTCTGATCTCTGTATTTCCTTTTTTTTTTTTTTTTTTTTGAAATTTGATTTTAACTCTTGCTTTTTTTTATGGTTTGTGTCTGTTTTTTCCACCCCCGCTGGCGCCGAGCTGCGCTGTTTTGTGTTTCTTTTTTTTTTTTTTTTTCTATTTTTTTTTTTTAAATTCTGAAGCCAGACCGTCTTTCCTCACAGCTCCACGGCTGCATCTCCGTGGGCACGCAAGCTTCCCCTGGTTACCTGAGCTGCTCCTGCCGTCTCCCGCCTGGGCTTCGCCGTGGTGCACCCGATCCCGGAATCGTGCGTCTGCGCCCTGCGAAAGAAGGACCTGCTGGCGGAGCTCCGGCCGGGGTCTCCTGCCTCGCAGCTGGGCGAGGGGACTTGGAGGACAGGGTGAAGCTGCAGAAGACCTGGGGTGGGATGGCTAGAGAGGACGCCAAGGACTGGGGAAGGGGAAGTTAGGAATACCTTACATCCAATGCCCACCCGTGCTCCGCAGGGCAAGGGCAGCCGTCGCCTCGGCCGCGTGCACCCAGCTCAGGCTGTTCCCAGGGATTTAGTCTGGGGGGACAACCCATGGCGAGATGTGGTGGCATTTTACCTCAGAGTGGAGCTGAAGATGGATAAACAAGGTATCTGATGTATCTGCCTGAGAAGGCAGAGCTGGAGAAAGGCGGAGCGAGGGAGCGCGTGAAAAGAAAGAGATGCCGAATGCCGGGTGATTGTCTGCCGCTTGCTGTGCATTCTCATTCTAGGGAGGATGGCATAATTTATAACCCAGCACATGGATAGAGGAACTGTAAATTGTAGTCTGGATGTCCCCGGCGCTGTCGACGAAGGAACTGATGGGCTAGGTGACTGTACCAGTGTCCCCAGAGAAAATCGCAGCCTCGCAGCATGGATTTAAATGCATGTGCATGCATGTAGAGACATGAAAAAAGGTTTCTGACCATTTTACACAGGAAGTCTGTCACTTTGCTGGATCGGGCTTGATTGCAGCTTGTGTTTTCAGCTCCAGTTCAACACCCATTTCCTGACTAGTGAGACAGCATGGCCAAAGCAGCTGCATGCAGAATTTTCTTTTTACTGTGAAAGCAAGCCCCCTCTGTTTTAACTCCTTCCAGTTCTGAATGCTCTGTGCTTTGCTAGGACCGATTGTGGGGTTTTGTTTTCTTCTTCTACAAATCCCTGTAAACACAGCTGTATTCAGTAATGGCAAAAAAATTCTATCCTGTAAATAGAAATCTGATCAATTTAATCAAAATAAATGTATCCCAGATGACTTTGAGACCAGCTGGCTACCACAGGCTTCAGATGCTAAATGCTCAGTGGAGATGAATACAGTGTTATATTTACATGTTTCAGAGTGCCGGGATCAGCCTATAATTTGCAAAAAGAAATTATTTTCTAAAGACGAGAGGTGGTCCTACCAGCTCACAGCTGATGGTTAGGTACAGGTGTAAATGCTGTTCATGTGATTTGGAGATTTGCAGTGTTGCATTTCAAAAGGCATGTGCCATGAGGCAGAGTATGGCTGTTGTTAGTATGGAGAATGCTTGCTTCTAACTTGCTGTTATGGAGAGCCGAATGCCCTCTGAATAGCTTCTAGTGAGGTTGAGGGCAGGCACTTGAGGCTTGTTGTAGATTCAGATGTGAGAGCTGGGGTTCTCCAACCCCAGCTCAGTGGAGTCAGCTCAACCCTGGGGGTGAGGAGGTTTCCCAGTTGTCATGGGGAGCTCTTCTGGGACGCCTGTCTGGCCCTTCCACTGTTTGTTACTAATTCTACAAAGGCAGCTCTGTGTGTTGGATTATGTTTGGCCAGCTGTTGATGCATTCCTGCGGATGGGGCTGGGTGAGGATCTTATTACTGTACTTTCAAACTGTAGATCTGTGTGCAGGGATAGTACAGAAGGAAAGGAAAAGCAATAAGTTACAGAATCTGATCATTCTTACCTCTTTCTCCAGATAGTCCTAGAGTGAATCCAGAAAGGCTTTAAAGTGAAAAGAGGAAAGAGAGAGTAAGTGATTGGGGGTGGGTGGCATGAGGAGAAGAGAATGAAACAGAGCAAGCGCACAAGAGAAAAACAGCCTTAGAACTTCAAAGCTGCATAGACAAGCAGAATGTCACCAGCTTGTAATTAGCGGTTCATGGTTGCGTCAGTGACTGTATCTATCCAAGAATAACTATGTGATATGTGCCACAAAGTGAAGAAGATAGTCATAACTAAGTTATCAAACCCAGTTCAAACAAGGGCAAATGGATTAAGAAATTTTCTGTTTGTAAATCAAATACTGATGGATTACACAGATAAGACTTAACTGAATTCTGCGTAATTGAAGGCTGAATTATCAATTTGTCAGGGGGGATATGTTCATTAAATGAAACTGTGAACGCTTAAACATGCAAATTAATCATGCGAGAAAATATCAGTGCAAGCTCTATCAATACAAGATGTTTTACTAAATAGCCAAAAATGGCACTGCCAGTCTCCTATCTCTGTATCCACACATAAATTTTTTTGTTTGTTTTTGTGCATTTCAATAGAGAGAAGTCAAAAGTTACATTCGAGTAAATAGGGTAAATTAAATTCTAAAATTCCCACTTTAGAATTTAAAAAACAACTAAGGAGTTTTGATTTTTGGTGATCTCCCGAGTTTAAACCTTGAAGGAGCTTTTGCTGTCTTGAAGCCAAACAGCAGCTAGTCAGTAATCGTTATGGGAAGTCAGGGTACCACAGTTGTTGAGATTTCAAGGCCACGTTCACTTCCCTCCCTTGTCTCTTGTGCTTGGAGATTTGGGTGCTACTACAGCCTCCACAAAGAGACAGTGGGAGGAGCTGATTGGTCCGTAGGCTTAGAATGTTTACTCTTATTTGTTTTCAGTGCTCCTCCATGGCATTCATTTTCTGTTTGTATTTGTGTTCATGCTGCACAATTACTCCTGACCTGCTTTGTTTCTCTGCCCAAAGAGAAGTCAATTTTAGTTCAGCTCTGTGTGTTTAGCTTGCTGGGTAATATGTGCATATGTATTGCATTACCCATGTATGCATTTTTCTTTTTTTAAAATGTGGATTAGGGAAAATTGTAGCATGGAAAGCTGCATATATTAAATCAATAGCTTTTTGAATCACATGTAATATAATTTAAATATACTCACTTTGAGGTTGCCAAAACTGACATTGTCTGAGCCCGTTTAATTTACATCTTCGATTTAGTCAAGAAGCGGAACCTGCCAGATCAGAATAGTGTATTCTGTGCACCCAACAGGGTGGAAGACATTATTTTGTTTGTGTTAGTTCAAACAGCTGGTCATTAATGCAGTCCCCATTTCTAGAGCGAAGTGCTGCTGGACATGAATGCCCGCCTGATTAATGCTGCCCCTCCGAGGGTCCTTCACCCAGCAGTCATGCTCGCAGCAGAATAATGTAGCATGATGTGATTGCACTCTAACAGGATAGTATGTCATTGTGTCACCAAGCAATTGAGGTTATTATGGGGCAGGGCAGACAGACGGGACAGTGGGGTTACTAGACCGTAGCATTTTTAGAAATACAGGCCTGACCTACTTAGAGTTATTCTCTCTGGCTGGCAGCTGCATGGTACATAAAGTCTCCTGATAGGCTGAGTCTGTTGCTAGGGGGAATTAGCATGAATTTTTCCACACACAGACTCAGTGGCTGAATGATAAAAGCTGACTGGAATTAAAGAGATTTGGTTTAGTATTATACAGATTTATGTGCCTCCTTTTCTTTCTCAAGTGCAGAGAAAGAGTGCAAAACACAGATTTTGTTTCCATTTGTTCTTTGACCTTCTTGTTCTCTCCCCCTCCCCTCAAGATGCATGAGGGGAGGAGGGCAGGGCAGTTATGAAATTTTGGTTAATCTCTCACTGTTGGGGTCACTGAAACGATGTCGCAAATTGCAAGATATTTAAGCTTAAAAACTGTTGGGAATGACTAACAGAAGGTTAGATTATTTTTCCTCTTCTGTGCACTAAGCTGTTTTGAAGTTGGGCATGCATCTTTCATGCACTGTATATTTAAACTCTCTTTCCCTTTTGGGCTTGAACAAAACATTTATATAAATTCTTTTCTATCCAAACAGATTGAAGCTTGCAATCTCTGTCTTGTTTAAAACAAGGTGGTCAGGATTCCAGATTTAGATAGGAAAAAAATATATATACCATTTTTGTTATTACAAAATATTATTTTCTGGGGTATTGTGGGTTTGGCTCCCTTTTCAAAAACCAGCCTGATGTGGATGCTTATGGATGAAACTGAACTGCTCCTACCCTACCCTGTTGGCTTCACAATGTATAGGAAAACATAGGTTTTTCTCCAGAAGAAAATCTGCCTGCAGAATGTATCTGGAGGTTGTTTTCCTTGTTGCTGACATATGCACTGCATGTAGACAACTCACATAATCAACTGTATAAGATGACCCATTTTTTTCCTTCTCATGGATCTCCAAGTGTCTGTGGCTTTTAATAGATCTTTTCTAGAGGAGGAGTCTTGATAGATCTTTTTAAGGTAATCTGAAAAGCCATCAGGAGAAAAATTAAAGCAACACATATTTAAGAATACTTTAATTTTTCTTGTTCTTAATTATATGCTAACTGTGCTTAAACTGCAATTTCTTTCTGTTACCTTTTACTGCTGAAAGTAGTGATTATCCTTGCCTTTTAGATTTGAAATTAATTTTCGTGAGAACACCCTGGGATATCACAAGTAAAAAAGAAACTGGGCTACATAAAGGAAAAGAATAATAGAGATTCTTGTAAACTTGTCACATTAGTTTTTTTTGCCCACGTGAAAAAGGCAAGAGAAAATTTAGGTGTAGATTTTTCTTTTCATTTACATTTTAAAAAATATTTGGAACTATTTAGATACATAATGCTTTAAAACAGTGATTCCTACTTATAGCGGAGACTACAGTCAAAACAAAATAAAACAAATCCTCTAATGCTATCAGAGCCAAGAAATCTATCAATCATATATACATTTTTTAAATCCAGGAGTGTTTACATTTCAGCATATAAATCTTATCAAGCTAAAATAGAGTATATATTCTGATGTTGTAATTGATCGATCATACCCTCACTGGCTTTGAGAGTCCCCAAACATTTATTGTAAAGGTTTCCAACTACACTAGCAATCTTTTGTAATTGAATAAAATGCCAATTTATATTTGTTGAATAAAAGATTATCTGGGGTACTGCTCCTTCCGAAATGAAGCAATTTCTTTGTTGTTTTAATAAGTGAACATTTTTTGGTTTTCTTTTGCAGTATTTATTTTGCTTAGGTCAATGGACAATTATTTAAATATTTAAATGCAAATATATAGAAATAAAATGTCACTTTAAAATCACTTAAGAAAGGAAAAACGTCAACATACTTTTATTAACATTCTTTAATAAACATATGGCTAATTTGTATGTAAAGCACAGCCTGTTTCCAGGTACCCAGTCCAATCAAATGTTTATAGTTTGATTAAAAATAAATTGATCACATTATAATAGTTCAATATAAGTCTTATTTGGCTGTTTAGGTTGCTAAGAATTTCCCATTGTTTTTATCCATTACCAGGGAGGTAAGTATTCAATAAGTCAAAAACAAAAACAAAGCAAGCATATTTTAAAATGTCATTTATGCTGACTTGGCTAAGCTTAAGCTTATACTTAAGCTTGAATCCTAGATATTCACTTAGACAATGTATGTCATAGTATTCATTTCATCCTTTGCCATTCATTAAAACACCAAAGGAGCGATCATCCTCACTCATTGCATCAATCATTTATTTATTAGGTATTTATTTTCTGCTCACACAGGAGGCTAACTTCTCCAGTTATAAGGTTCAACATAGACCAATGAGGTTTTGGTGGGATTGGTGGGTAAACAAAAAAGGGAATATAAGCAGTTGATTGTGGTGGGCCACGAAGCGCAGGTGAATCTTGTGTTGAATAGTTTCCCTGACTGTATTCTGTCTGACACCTAATGTTACTTAGTCCTTACAACTTTGGGGAAGAACTGGTGCCCTTACTATCAGATGCTTGGAGATGATCAGCTCTCCTGATGTCACAGAGAAGCTACATCTCTTCCAAACTGTCTCAACACTTTTATAATATGAAAGATCTATCAGTAAGTCAGAATGTGCCTTTTGTGAAGTCATAAAAGCATAATGTAAACCAGTGATTTTTGACATCACTGTTAAAATGGGTAATAGTATCTCAACCATAATACCTGAAGCGCCCAAACTGTACACTGCCGGAGACCTTATCTGATTCCCTCAGCCTGATGCCTCCTGGGCTTCCTTTTTACCAGGCTCCTGTCTTATTAGACCAGCCATCACCTGGTGGTATTCTTTAGTCTGTTTCCCCACTAGTCTCTAACCCATTCTTCATCTGTGTGCCAGGGGCACAGAAGATGTTTCACAGACATTAGTTGATTAACAAATGAATGAATGAGTGAATTGATGAGTATCCAGAAGACAGATGTTAAGAGGAATAATGAAGTCTTCTATCTGTGGATGTATCAATGGCATAGGGCAGGGATCAACAAAGTTTTTCTATAAAGGGCCAGATAGTAAATACTTTAGGCTTTGTGGACTGTATGGTTTCTATAGCAACTACTGAACTTGGCTGGTGTAGCTAAAAAGCAGCCATAGACAATAGTAAATGAGTGAGTATGGCTGTGTTCCAATCAAACTTTGTTTACAAAAAGAGGCAAGGGGTTGGATTTGCCTGTGGGTTATAGACCCCAAGTTATAATCATTACCTTTGATATTTTAAGGATGTGATTTACACCTATAGGTTTACTGAAGATCAGTGTATTAAAAAAGGAGGAAGATTTCAAACAATTCAATAAAAATTAAGAAGAAGTGTTGGATAAATATTAATTATTTGCGATGAGAACTCAGTGCTAATCAACCAAATTTTCTTTTCTCACTGATGACACGGAACAATTTATTTTAAAACTCAAAGAGGAAAGCAAGGATTGTTACTCTTTCTTAAAATATAATGGTATTTTATTGCTCAATATGTAAAAAGGAAGAATGGAAAATTTTTACCTTCAAAATTATTTTTTTAGTGTTGGTTGCCCAGGGGCAAAGAGGAAGTCCAGCCTCTTTGTTTGAAGAGCTGGAAAAAATTTAAAACGTGTGAAATGGTAACTCTGGAAGCACGGCCACTGTGCATCATGTTATCTTTTGCATATTCTTTTAATCAACGTAAATACTGTGCTATTTCAACAAACTAGGTCAGATCTTTCCTTTGTCCTATCTCTCCAGTCCCTTCTCTGTTAGTAATTAATCTGCAACTGTAGAGGTTCTGGATGAACCCTTTTCCTCCTTTCTCTTGCTCTACTTGAGGCCTTTCCTTGCCTTTCTCCTTTGTTGTAGGGCAGCTGGTGTTGGCCTTATATGTTGGTGGATGGTTTTGGAGGCAGTAAACCAGGACGGATCATGCTCTAAAAACCACAGGCCTGGGAATTAGGCAACCTTGTGTGTACATCTCACTCCTGTATCCACCAGCTGTGGGGCTGGAGATGCTTCAGTGAACTTCCCTAAGCTTGAACTTCCTCATTCATAAACTAAGGGTGATGATAATACTTACCATGCAGAGGCTTTGGGAGGGTGAGATGAGATTATGAACATAAAGCCCTCCTAGAACTTTCTAAATGTGCAGCAGAATTTCACTGCTGGTGCTGTGACTCCTACTACCGCTCTTGTTTTTATAACTGGGAGTTGTCCTGCTATCAAGGAAGTGTGCATTAGGCTTTGACATCCTGATGGCATCCTTAAGGGTAATTCTCCTTAATGAGAGCCTTCATCAAGAGCATTTATTTTGGGGAGTCGGATATCAGAAGTCTTGAAGCCAAGAGCAGAGCAGACACAGGAACTTAGAATAAGTCTGGAGGTATCCAGTATATTTCAAGGAATTTGTGTTCTTGCTGTTTCACCTCTAATTTTGTTGTTGTTGTTGTTGGCTTGGTGTGTTTTAGCATATTCTCTTTTAGGATTGTCCTAGAGACACCGTTTGTTTCTTGTCTGTTTTTAGAGTAAGACCAAAGACAGATAGAGCAAAAAGGACTGCCCCTCTACCCTAAGGCTGTGATTTCCTTATTTTGAAACTGTGCTCAAGGCTGATCTTCTCCAGAAAATTTGTCCTGATTAGGTGGCTTGGGAGCAACACATGCTCACAAACATTCGTCAGTCTTCAGCTGACTTTGTGTGCAATGATTTTTTAAAGCACATTTATTCATCATCACCTGACTAACTTTTCTATCACTTCCAGGCCTCTTACGTTCCCCTTGAAGTTTTTATGGCCCCAAAATGTGGCCGAGGTTGTCCTCTTATGTAAGCGCCCATGAGCTCACAAAGCAAAGTACTTATTTTTGTTTTTTACCTCCCTGATCACCTCCATTAGACTGCAGATACCAAAGGGCTTACCTTAATATGATATTCCCAGCAACTAGAAGAGCCATAGGCACATTCTAAGTGCTCAGTAGATATTTGTATAGAAAATAACTGTCAGAGCCTTGTTCATTCTGCATATTCTAATAATTTATATTAAATAAGTCACTTGGAATATTGCTGAACTATTAGTAGTAACTACTACTACTAAATTGATGGTGAAATTCATGAGTTAATCTATCCCAGTAATTGTAGAATATTACTTAAAAATAAAGGGTTCTATCCACACAGTTTTGGAATTAGTAGATGAGAAAATGCATATACTATTGTGACTCCTTCTGAGATTGGACCCAACTAATTATACATTTTTGTTTAGACAGCATGCAGCATAGAGATGAAGAAGAGAAACCAATTTTTTTTTAAAAGCAGGAAGAATAAGAATTATTCCAAAGCAAGAATAATCATTCTTCTTTTGTAGGGATTTCATAAAACATGTATCTTATTCTGTGAGTGAGACATGTTCTCAGTTCTAACAAACCATTGAGAGGCTTATTAAATGAAAAGTGTTCAGGAATCATCAATTGAACGTGATATTTGATATTTTAGCTTGCCTTTATATTTTTCTTAATAAAAAAATCCTTTAGTTCTCTAACAGAAATGTTAGAAAAATGTTACTTTGATGCTTTTAAGGACCCTTTCCTAACCCACAAGGCTAAAGTATATTAATAACAGAGAGGTGTAAGGCAGGAGGGGTGGGGGTGTAATTGAACGTGTCTGGTCTTCCTGTGGTTTTTTCCTTGTGGCTGCTGGTGGCTACAAATGGCCATGTACCCCAGGGGAAGTGAATGCAACAGCATGGGAGTGAGAGCGTTTTTGTGTTCTCTGCCAATTATTAGGTGTGATTGAATATTTTGAAAGAAGCCAGTACATAAAAATGGACATTTGGCTAGTGCCTGATAGAAGTGATTCTTTTTCCGCCTGTTTTCTTTTCAAATGTGTTTGATATTCTGACTTTAGACTCTGCCTACCCCTCTTGTTATCAGAGGTAGACATCAGTCTTACAAAGGACACTCGATAGATATGGGGAGGATGACACTGGGTTTAGAATGTTTTTTCCTTCTCTAGCTCCCATAGGTCTGTGTTTTCCCTTGTTCTGTTATAGGGAAGCCTTTGCTTCATCTTGTTTTGTTCCAAGACTGTAGTAATCAAAGTCTATACCAAAAAGGCCTTTGGATTTAGGCTTTTAGTTGTAAGAATGAGGAATGCCAATATTGTTTCCCAAGCATGACCACTGATACTTTTAATTTTATGGTATTTTCAGAATAAAAGGCATAACAGAATTTGTAATTTTTATAATTTTAAGGAAATTTCTTTATACTCCTTTATTGGAAAACATCTTCTATAGAATGTTGCATTTCATACTTTTAACAGAAAACACAATAGTAGCAGGAGCAGTGTTTGGTGATCATTAATCTTCACTAGGATTTGAGAACTCTTAATTAAAGAATTATGGAAGGCCTGGGAATTTTTTGGCAACACATATAAATATAAAAAGAGAGAGTCTTCTAGCAAAATATTAATCACTTACAGCCAATTCAAATGATGGCCAGCAAACAGAATTTGAACATTGCATCCCTCCTTTTGATCAATTCTCCATGTTGCTAATTGTTAGAAATCAGGAGTAGAGGGCTTGTCTTCATTCTGGAGTCCTGTTTAGAGTTTTGAGGAATCACTTTAGCATAAAGGATGGTACTGTATTGTCAGGAATTTGTATTTCCAGCATTCTCTTTAGAACCAATGTGCCAGTTTTTGCCATCTTAGTCACATGTACAGGTAGCAAGGTAAACATGGATTATGGTCTATATGTTTGTACGGCTGCTTTGTGGGGGATCAGTTTTTGATAACTAGAAGGATGACATGACGTATGATGTACTCAGTCCTTAAAGGAGCATTTAGTTTAATTTTCTTTAGACCTATCCACCAAACTATAAGATCCATGGGGACAAGTTTGTCAATTTAGCTCATCATCATGCGATGCCTGGCCCAGCAAAAATGCCATATACACATCTATTGAATGAAATGGAAGTAAGTGGGAGTAGTGTTAAGATATTTGAAACTGAAATTTTCCATATAAACCAGTAGCTTTCTGTTCAAAATGTAAAAATAAAAATGTCTATCCATACAATATAATTTTATGAATTTCTCACTTTTATTTGTGTGAAATAAAATTTTCTGAAGAGAAGTGTAATTTTAACCATGCTATTGCTTTTTATAATGCTTAGTGTTGTAGGATGGTTGCTTATAGATAAACACTATTATGGTAGTTATTACTTGAGATTTAACATTTTTCTTCTTTATAAAATCATTCAGTATTATTTGATTAATTTTTAGAAGTATCCATAAAGAGAACAGGTGGCACCGTTTTTTTCCCTCTGAGTAGAAGACTAACTTAGAAAGGTTATTATGATATAATCATTTGTTTAGCAGGAATTAGAATAAGTATCTTAGAATGGAAGGGACCTTAGAAATAATCTAATCCTCCCACTGCCAGTCATTTTGCAGATAAGGAGATTGGGTCATGGAGCGGTTAAGAGATTTGCCCAAGGTCACACAGCTAGTTTTCATCAGAGCTAGAACTATAGCTCACTTTTTTTTCTTGATTCCAGTGTTCTGCCCCGCTATATCTTAGGCCTCATTTCTGTAGTTCAGAAGTGGTCTACATTTCTTATATTTTAGAAGTTATTTGAGCTTGTTCATCACCTAAGAAATGTATCACTGAGAGCTCGCATAGGGAAAATACGAGGAAATACTAATGCCATGCCATAGAAATATATATACAGTAGCCTCCAGTACCATAGTTTAGTATGGTAAAATTCAACATACTGCATCAGAAAGTTCATGGACTGCAAACTAGAATTGTGGATTACCAACCTGGCTCTGCTGCTAACTAGCTGTTTGAGCTTAGCTGGGTCATTTGTCTCTCTAGACAGTGAGAGAATAGCACTTTGATAGTTGCTTGAGGTTGCCTCTAGTTCTGTTCCTCCAACAGTCTATCATTGCCCAGAAAAAGTGATCCTGTATTTTTGAAGCTGTGCCCAAAATATCTCTTTATTCAATCATGGTCTGTGAACTAGCGTGAATGAACAGAAGTCTGTTTCCAGGTGGACTAAAGACATGACAGTTGAAATTATATTGTAAGAAACTGTTGCCCTGCTATTGTTTCCCATATTCAAGGAAAAAGGAAAAAAAAAGTACTAGATGGTACGCTGTCCAGTATAGTAGCCACTAGCCTCATATGGCTATGGAGTACTTGAAATGTGGCTAGTACAAATTAAGATGTGCTGTAAGAAAATACGGTCTGGATTTTGAAAATGTAAAATGAAAAGAGAATGGTAAAATATGTATTTCATTTAATGCTTGTGACAAGGTAAATGATAATATTTTGGATGTGTTGGGTTAAAATGATAATATTTTGGTTGTGTTGGGTTAAAATGAAAATATTTTGGATGTGTTGGGTTAAAATATGTTATTAATTTTTCATTTTACTTTTTAACAAAGTAGCTCCTAGACAATTTAAAATTAAATATGTAGCTCACATGATATTTCTATCGGACAGCTTACATCCATACTACAGCTTGACTCCTTTTTAATTTGGAGAATAACTCTTTGTGTCTTAGAAGCCTTGTGAATACCATGGTGTGTTGAGAACACTGAGAATGTGCTGGAGAATATGGGAATGACAGGTGACTATGAAGTCATTGAGAGGAGTAAGATTCTCATGGTTGAGGTAGGGGTTTCCTTCTGGAAGCTGCTAGCTATGCTCCCACATTTATATTTTAATGTTAATGAGCTTACTTGGAATGCTTACAAGTAACCCGGAGATGGGTACAGTCAGCTACCAATTCACAATCAATCAACAGATTGAAATCAATTTCCAGGGTCCCTCTAATCTCTACAGTGCCAAATGTCTTGCCTTTTAAAGGATTTTTCCTTTTCTAATGCAGTTCACTGGCTTAAAGTAGATTTAGTCTGAAGTTCTTACAATGCCAAAAGACACAATTACCCACAGGATTCATGATGTTTGGAAAATTACAGAATTTGGGGTAGAATAGATGGAATAGACACCCTAAAGGTTCATAAAGGAGTTATTATAACTTTGCCAGTAACACAAAACATTTGAGCAATAATGATTGTAAACTTGTGGGATAACCACCATCATCATAACAAGCTATAGGGCTCTTTGAAAATAGCATTGAATTTAAGTCTTGAAAGAATGAATAGAGCACTGAACTGATTATGTTGTTTAGTGTGTGTCAATATTGCCTTAAACTAAGAAAGTGTAACTGTTTATTGAACATAGTAATATTTAGACTTACATATCTTAGAGGTTTTCTCTATATGGCTGAAAGCTAGCTCCAGCCTTAGAGTTGAAACGGACATTTTTAGCGAATGGAAAAATAGAGATTCAAACATAGTAAGTGATTCAGTGGTGCCATACCTGGGGCCCACATCTGTTGATTTCAAGTCAAATACTGTTTCCATGTTACTGTGGAAATACACTTCCATAAATCTACTGTTATTTTTTAAACGTTAACTTTAAAAAGCACTAAATCCCAAGATTACAAGATCACATCACTAAAGCACAAGTCTTCCAGCTTTATAAATTTTCTTGATGACTTGTTTCTTAAATTACAGAATAAAATGCAGCAGGACCTATTCAGAACCCCCAACCCTCTATGAAAGCTACTTATTTATAAACAAATTAAGTAGGAAAATAAATAAATTTTAAAAACAGAGTATTGAGAAACAAATACTCTTTAAACACTAATGGAACATCTTGTTTGCTGGCTAGAAGAAAGGAACACTTGTGTTGAACAACTAATAGTGACTCTTGAGGTCAGGACCTCCTGAAACTAAAACAAGTATCAAAGGAAAAGGAAAGAAGGATTTGCTTTACCTAATGACTAAGTAGGCTCCTAGGGACTGACACCTCTGCAAGAAAACAACTATGAAATCTGGGTATAATGCAAAAAGCAGCCACTTGACAACACTATAGCAGAAACACAAGTAGGCAGAGTCTATTAGAGGAGTATCTTCTTGGAGGAGGGGAATCAGATAGAGTTATTGCTTTTTGTCAGGACTTTTCCTCTTTAGACATGGCATGCAGGATAACAGAGTGCTGCTGAAGGAATCTACAGTCCTTCAAGAAAGGGGACCAGAAAACTGAATCCGGGGAAACCTCAGCCACCAGAGAGGAAAAGAGTTACACGTGGGATTCCCATATTCTGTCTCCAACATAGGTGGCTTACCCATGATTCACATATACATGAAACAGATTCAAAGCCTCCAGTTAAAGATAAAATATCTGAATTGGGACCAGAGTTGTCATCCAGAAATCAGAATTTGCAGTTCTGAGGTGAAACAAGATAATTTTGTGGTAAATTTAAAGGGAAGAACACTCATAGGAGAAAACTAACAATCCAGAGTCTCTACATCTCAATATTAATAACGTCTAGGATGCAATCCACAATTACATGACACACAAATCATTAGGACAATGGTGTATATCCTCATGAGGAAAGAACATTAACTGATGTCAACACCAAGATGGCTCAGGTATTGGAAGTAACAGACAAGATTTAAGACAGCTATCACGACCATACTCTATGCAGTAAATACACCGTGCTTATAGTGAATGAAGAGATAGAAATCTCTGCCAAAAAATAAAAAAGATAAAGAACCAATGGGCTGGGCACTGTGGCTCACCCCTGTAATCCCAGCACTTTGGGAGGCCAAGGCGGGTGGATCATGAGGTCAGGAGATTGAGACCATCCTGGCCAATATGGTGAAACCCTGCCTCTACTAAAATAGCAAAACTTAGTTGGGCATGGTGGTGCTTGCCTGTAGTCCCAGCTACTTTGGGAGGCTGAGGCAGGGGAATCACTCAAACCTGGGAGGTGGAGATTGCAGTGAGCTGAGATTGCACCACTGCATTCCAGCCTGGCAATAGAGTGAGACTCTATCAAAATAATAATAATAATAATAATAATAATAATGACAATTCTAGACCTAAAAAATGCAATATATGAAAAAGATTTAACTTGATGGACTAACAGCCAATAGAGTTTACAAAAGCAAGAGTAAATGAACTTTAATCAATAGTAATTATTCGATATAGAGAATAGAGAGAAAAAACAGATTGAAATAAAAATGAACTGCGCTTCAGAGATCTGTTACAGCAGGGGTCCCCAACCCCTGGGCAATGGTTTAGTACCAGTCTGTGGCTATTAGGAACTGGGTCACACAGCAGGAGGTGAGCAGCAGATGAGCAAGCATTACCACCTGAGCTCCACCTCCTGTCAGATCAGCAGTGGCATTAGATTCTCACAGGAGCACGAACTGTATTGTGAACTGTACATGCGAAGGATCTAGTTTGCACATTCCTTATGAGAATCTAATGCCTGATGATCTGAGGTGGAAAAGTTTCATCCTGAAACCATCCCCGACAACCCTTCTGTTCTGTGGAAAAATTGTTTTCCATGAAACCAGTTCCTTGTGCCAAAAAGTTGGGGACTGCTGTGTTAGAGAATATTAACTGGTTTAATTTATTACATGTACTTGTAGTCTGAGAAATAGAAGAGTGAAACGATGAAACAGAAAAAAGTATTTAAAGAAATAATAGCCAATATTTTCCCAAATTTGATAAAAAACATAAATATACAGGTTCAAGTTGACACCGGATACCAAGCCGAATAAACAGAAAGGCCACACAAAAACACAGCATAGTCAAAGCAGTAAAAGTCAAAGATAAAGCAAAAATCTTATAAGCATTGAAAGAATAATAATGTGATTAGCACCTGGCTTTTCCTCAGAGACACTGGAGACAGAAAAGTATGGAACATTTTTATAGTGCTAAAAAAAACCCTGTCAACCAAAGTGTCTATATCCCAGCAACAATATCCTTAAAAGTAAGTATTTTCTAGACTATCACTGTGCAATACAATTGGACAATAACGGAAATATCTGTGTCTGTGGCTATCTAGTAGAGTAGCCGCCAGCCACATCTAGCTATTGAACACTTGAAATGTGGCTAGTGGTTTTGAGAAACTAAATTTTTATTTAACATAATTCAACTTAAATAGCCACATGTGGCTAGTGGCTACCATATTAGAACTCTAGAATACATAAACTTGAAACACTAAGATAATAATTAAATGATTCTCAGTAGCCAAAGAACATAAAGTTATTGCCATTAGGACTGTCACAATTAACAACTAATATTTAACATGGTAAGTTTCATATGATTTATCCATAATCGTTATTCAGCTATTCTCATTACTGGAATGGTAAACTAGGTAAATTAGTATTGACTAAAGATAGTGTTATAAAATTAAGATAGCTTTTGAATAAGAATATTTAAGAAATATATTGATTGAACAGCTAATATAAATAGTTCAAAAGAATATCATTAAATCTTTATATATTTTTATATTTAAATATATATGTTTACTGTAACACTTACAAAGAAATACATTTAAGCAATGTGATGTCTCTCAAGTAGAAAGGGGAAGGCCTCCTTTGCCCTATCTCTGCTCCCTACTCCAGAGGTGATCCCCGTGAACAGTTTGGTGTGTATCTTTCCAGACTTGTTTCCATGCACATCTGTATACATGCACATCTGTGTGCTTCTACTTATTTGGAAGCTTTACTTTTTTTTTTTTATTTCCATAGGTTATTAGGGAACAGGTGGTATTTGGTTACATGAGTAAGTTTTTCAGTGGTGACTTGTGAGATTTTGGTGCACCCATCACCCTAGCAGTACACGCTGCACCCAATTTGTAGTCTTTTATCCCTCACCCCCTTCCCACCCTTTCCCCCTGAGTCCCAAAAGTCCACTGTGTCATTCTTATGCCTTTGCATCCTCATAGCTTAGCTCCCACTTATGAGTGAGAACATAACGACTTTGGTATTTTATTCCTGAGTTACTTCACTTAAAATAATAGCCTCCAGTCTCATCCAGGTTGCTACAAATACCATTAATTCATTTCTTTTTATGGCTTAGTATTCCATCATACATATATATATATATATATATATATATATATATATATATAGTTATATAGTTATATAGATAGTTATATATATATAGTTATATAGATAGTTATATATAGTTATATAGATAGTTTTATATATAGTTATAGTTATATATAGTTATATATAGTCATACATATATACACACATCATATATATAGTCATATATATACACACACATATGTGTATATATAGATGCCGCAGTTTCTTTATCCACTCATTGATTAATGAGCATTTGGGTTGGTTCCACATTTTTGCAATTGTGAATTCTGCTGCTATAAACGTGCAAGTATCTTTTTTGTATAATGACTTATTTTCCTCTGGGTAGACACCCAGTAGTGGGATTGCTGGATCAAATGGTAGTTCTACTTTTAGTTCTTTAAGGAATCTCCACACTGTTTTCCATAGTGGTTGTATTAGTTTACATTCTCACCAGCAGTGTAGAAGTGTTCCCTGTTCACCGCACCCACAGCCACTTCTATTGTTTTTTGGTTTTTTGATTATGGCCATTCTTGAAGGAGTAGGGTGGTATCGCATTGTGGTTTTGATTTGCATTTCCCTGATTATTAGTGATGTTGAGAATTTTTTCATATGCTTGTTGGTCATTTGTATATCTTCTTTTGATAACTGTCTATTCATGTCCTTAGCCCATATTTTGTTGGAATTGTTTGTTTTTTTCTTGCTAATTGTTTGAGTTCATTGTAGATTCTGGATATTAGGACTTTGTCAGATGTATAGATTAAAAAACATTTTTAATTGACACAATTTTATATATTTGTGGGGTACTGTGTGACATTTCAATACATGTATATAATGTGTAATGATCAAATCACAGTGATTAGCATATCTGTCACCTCAAACCTTTATTGTTTATGTTAGTAACTTTCCAAATCTTTTAGCTGTTTGAAAAAATACAATAAATTATTGTTTACTATAGTTACCTAAAGTTCTGTAGAACACTAGGACTTATTCTTTCTATCTAGCTGCAATTTTATAGACATTAACCAATCTCTTCCTGCTCCTGTCTCTCTATCTCTTCCCAGCCTCTAGTAAACACTGTTCTGCTGTCTACATCTATGAGATCAACTTTTTTAACTTCAACATATGAACAAGAACATGCAGTATTTATCTTTCTCTGACTTATTTCACTTAACACAATGTCCCAGGCTCATCCACGTTGCCATGAATGACAGGATTTCACTTTTCTTTTATAGCTAAATAGTATTCCATTTTGTATAAATTCCACATATTCTTTATCCATTCTTCTGTTGATGGACACTTAGTTTGATCTCATATCTTGGCTATTGTGAATAGTGCTGCAATAAACATGAGAGTGCTGATATCTCTTCAACATACTGATTTCTTTTCCTTTGGATATATACACAGTAGCAAGATTCTTGAATCATATAGTAATTCTATTTTTAGCTTTTTGAGGAAAATCCCCATAATGTTTTCCTTAATGGCTGTAGTAATTTATATTCTCTCCAACACAGCATGAGAGTTTCCTTTTTCCCACATCCTTGCCAGCCTTTGTTATTTTTTGTCTTTTTAATAATAACCCTTTTAACTGAGGTGAGATATCTCATTGTGGTTTTGATTTGCATTTTCCTGATGTTATTTTTTTAATATACTTGTGGCCATTTGGAAATCTTCTCTGGAGAAATGTCTGTACAGATCCTCTGCCCATTTTAAAATTGGATTATTTGTTTTTTTAGCTCTTGTGTTGTTTCAGTACCGTGTATATTCTGGATATTAACCTATTGTCAGATGTATAGTTTGCAAATATTTTCTCCCATTCTGTAGGTTGTCTCTTTACTCTGTTATTTGTTTCCTTTGCTGTGAAGGAACTTTTTACTTTGGTGTAATCCCACTTGCCTATTTTTGCTTTTATTGTCATTACTTTTGAGGCCTTAACTATAAAATATTTGCTCAGACCAATGTCTTGAAGCATTTCCCCCGTTTTCTTCTAACAGTTTCATAGTTTTAGGTCTTATATTGAAGTCTTTTATTTTGTGTTGATTTCTGTACATAGGGAGAGATAGGGGTCTAGTTTTATTGTTTATGGATATCCAGTTTTCCTAGAACCATTTATTGGAGAGGGTGTTCTTTCCTCAATTTATATTCTTGGCCCCTTTATTGAAAATCAGTTGTCTGTAAATACATGGATTTCTGGCCCCCTTATTCTGTTCCACTGTTCCATGTGTCTGTTTTTATGTAAGTACATGCTGTTTTGGTTACTAAAGCTTTGTAGTATATTTTGAAGTCAGGTAGTATGAGGCCTCCAGTTTTGTTCTTTTTGCTCAAGATTGCTTTGGCTATTTAGGGTCTTCTGTGGTTCCATATGAATTTTAGGATTTTTTTTTTTCTATTTCTGTGAAGAATGTCATTGGTATTTTAATAGGGATTTCATTGAATCTATAGATCACTTTAGGTAGTATATTCGATTTAATAATATTCTTCCAATCCATGAATCTGGGATATCTTTCCATTTATTTGTGATAAGTTTCTTTCATCAGCATTTTATGGTTTTCATTGTAGAGGTCTCTCATATTGTTGGTTATATTTATTCCTATTTTATTTTAAATTTTTTAATAGCTATTGTAACTGGAATTGCTTTATTGATTTATTTCAGCTAGTTAGCTGTTGATGTGTAGGAACACTACTGATTTTTATATGTTGATTTCGTATCCTGCAACTTCACTGAATTCACTTATCACTTCTAAAAATTTCAATGGAGTCTTTAGGTTTTCTCTATATAAAATTAGGTCATCTGTAAACAGGGACAATTTGACCTCCTCTTTTCCAATTTGGATGCCTTTTATTTTTTTCTCTTGCCTAACTGCTTTGGCTAGAAATTCCAGTACTACATTGAATAAAAGTGGCAAAAGTGGGCATTCCTGTTTTGTTTCAGTTCTTAGAAAGCTTTCAGCATTTTCTTGAATAGTATGAGGTTGGCTGTGACTTTATTATATATTGCTTTTGTGTTTAGGTTTGTTCCTTCTTTACCTAATTTGTTGATGGCTTTTATCATGAAGGAATGTTGAAATGTATCCATGCTTTTTCTGCATCTATTGAAATGATCATATGGTTTTTGTTCTTCACTCTGTTGATGTGATGTTTTGTATTTATTTGGTTTGTGATATAATTTGGCTCTGTGTCCCCACCTAAATTTCATCTGGAATTGTAATACCTAGGTGTCAAGGGGGGGGCCTGGTAGGAGGTTATTGGATAATGAAGGCAGTTTTGCCCATGCTGTTCTCATAATAGTGAGGGAGTTCTCAGGAGATCGCATGCTATAAAAGTGTTTGGCAGTTCTCCCCCTTTCTCTTTCTCTTTCTCTCTCTCTCTCTCTCTCTCTTCTCTCTCTCCTGCTGTCACATAAGATGTGCCTTGCTTTCCTTTTTTTTATTTTTTTATTTTTATTATTATTATACTTTAAGTTTTAGGGTATGTGTGCACAACGTGCAGGTTTGTTACATATGTATACATATGCCATGTTGGTGTGCTGCACCCATTAACTCGTCATTTAGCATTAGGTATATCTCCTAATGCTATCCCTCCCCCCTCCCCCAACCCCACAACAGTCCCCGGTGTGTGATGTTCCCCTTCCTGTGTCCATGTGTTCTCATTGTTCAATTCCCACCTATGAGTGAGAACATGTGGTGTTTGGTTTTTTGTCCTTGTGATAGTTTGCTGAGAATGATGGTTTCCAGCTTCATCCATGTCCCTACAAAGGACATGAACTCATCATTTTTTATGGCTGCACAGTATTCCATGGTGTATATGTGCCACATTTTCTTAATCCAGTCTATCGTTGTTGGACATTTGGGTTGGTTCCAAGTCTTTGCTATTGTGAATAGTGTCGCAATAAACATACATGTGCATGTGTCTTTATAGCAGCATGTTTTATAATCCTTTGGGTATATACCCAGTAATGGGATGGCTGGGTCAAATGGCATTTCTAGTTCTAGATGCCTGAGGAATCGCCACACTGACTTCCACAATGGTTGAACTAGTTTGCGGTTGAACTAGTTTACAGTCCCATCAACAGTGTAAAAGTGTTCCTATTTCTCCACATCCTCTCCAGCACCTGTTGTTTCCTGACATTTTAATGATCGCCATTCTAACTGGTGTGAGATGGTATCTCATTGTGGTTTTGATTTGCATTTCTCTGATGGCCAGTGATGATGAGCATTTTTTCATGTGTCTTTTGGCTGCATAAATGTCTTCTTTTGAGAAGTGTCTGTTCATATCCTTCGCCCACTTTTTGATGGGGTTGTTTGTTTTCTTGTAAATTTGTTTGAGTTCATTGTAGATTCTGGATATTAGCCCTTTGTCAGATGAGTAGGTTGTGAAAACTTTCTCCCATTTTGTGGGTTGCCTGTTCACTCTGATGGTAGTTTCTTTTGCTGTGCAGAAGCTCTTTAGTTTAATTAGATCCCATTTGTCAATTTTGGCTTTTGTTGCCATTGCTTTTGGTCTTTTAGACATGAAGTCCTTGCCCATGCCTATATCCTGAATGGTATTGCCTAGGTTTTCTTCTAGGGTTTTTATGGTTTTAGGTCTAACATGTAAGTCTTTAATCGATCTTGAATTAATTTTTGTATAAGGTGTAAGGAAGGGATCCAGTTTCAGCTTTCTACATATGGCTAGCCAGTTTTCCCAGCACCATTTATTAAATAGTGAATCCTTTCCCCATTTTTTGTTTTTGTCAGGTTTGTCAAAGATCAGATAGTTGTAGATATGCGGCATTATTTCTGAGGGTTCTGTTCTGTTCCATTGGTCTATGTCTCTGTTTTGGTACCAGCACCATGCTGTTTTGGTTACTGTAGCCTTGTAGTATAGTTTGAAGTCAGGTAGCATGATGCCTCCAGCTTTGTTCTTTTGGCTTAGGATTGACTTGGCAATGTGGGCTCTATTTTGGTTCCATATGAACTTTAAAGTAGTTTTTTCCAATTCTGTGAAGAAAGTCATTGGTAGCTTGATGGGGATGGCATTGAATGTATAAATTACCTTGGGCAGTATGGCCATTTTCACGGTATTGATTCTTCCTACCCATGAGCATGGAATGTTCTTCCATTTGTTTGTATCCTCTTTTATTTCCTTGAGCAGTGGTTTGTAGTTCTCCTTGAAGAGGTCCTTCACATCCCTTGTAAGTTGGATTCCTAGGTATTTTATTCTCTGTGAAGCAATTGTGAATGGGAGTTCACTCATGATTTGGCTCTCTGTTTGTCTGTTATTGGTGTATGAGAATGCTTGTGATTTTTGCACATTGATTTTGTATCCTGAGACTTTGCTGAAGTTACTTATCATCTTAAGGAGGTTTTGGGCTGAAACAATGGGGTTTTCTAGATATACAATCATGTCGTCTGCAAACAGGGACAATTTGACTTCCTCCTTTCCTAATTGAATACCCTTTATTCTCTTCTCCTGCCTGATTGCCCTGGCCAGAACTGCCAACACTATGTTGAATAGGAGTGGTGAGAGAGGGCATCCCTGTCTTGTGCCAGTTTTCAAAGGGAATGCTTCCAGTTTTTGTCCATTCAGTGTGACATTGGCTGTGGGTTTTGTCATAGATAGCTCTTATTATTTTGAGATACGTCCCATCAATACCTAATTTATTGAGCGTTTTTAGCATGAAGCGTCGTTGAATTTTGTCAAAGGCCTTTTCTGCATCTATTGAGATAATCATGTGGTTTTTGTCTTTGGTTCTGTTTATATGCTGGATTACATTTATTGATTTTCATATGTTGAACCAGCCTTGCATCCCAGGGATGAAGCCCACTTGATCATGGTGGATAAGCTTTTTGATGTGTTGCTGGATTCGGTTTGCCAGTATTTTATTGAGGATTTTTGCATCAATGTTCATCAAGGATATTGGTCTAAAATTCTCTGTTTTTGTTGTGTCTCTGCCAGGCTTTGGTATCAGGATGATGCTGGCCTCATAAAATGAGATAGGGAGGATTCCCTCTTTTTCTGTTGATTGGAATAGTTTCAGAAGGAATGGTACCAGTTCCTCCTTGTACCTCTGGTAGAATTCGGCTGTGAATCCATCTGGTCCTGGACTTTTTTTGGTTGGTAAGCTATTAATTATTGCCTCAACTTCAGAGCCTGTTATTGGTCTATTCAGAGATTCAACTTCTTCCTGGTTTAGTCTTGGGAGACTGTATGTGTCAAGGAATTTATCCATTTCTTCTAGATTTGCTAGTTTATTTGCATAGAGGTGTTTATAGTATTCTCTGATGGTAGTTTGTATTTCTGTGGGATCGGTGGTGATATCACCTTTGTCATTTTTTATTGCGTCTATTTGATTCTTCTCTCTTTTCTTCTTTATTAGTCTTGCTAGCAGTCTATCAATTTTGTTGATCTTTTCAAAAAACCAGCTCCTGGATTCATTGATTTTTTTTGAAGGGTTTTTTGTGTCTCTATTTCCTTGAGTTCTGCTCTGATCTTAGTTATTTCTTGCCTTTTGTTAGCTTCTGAATGTGTTTGCTCTTGCTTCTCTAGTTCTTTTAATTGTGATGTTAAGGTGTCAATTTTAGATCTTTCTGCTTTCTTTTGTGGGCATTTAGTGCTATAAATTTCCCTCTACACACTGCTTTTAATGTGTCCCAGAGATTCTGGTATGTTGTGTCTTTGTTCTTGTTGGTTTCAAAGAACATCTTTATTTCCGCCTTTATTTCGTTATGTACCCAGTAGTCATTCAGGAGCAGGTTGTTCAGTTTCCACGTAGTTGAGCGGTTTTGAGTGAGTTTCTTAATCCTGAGTTCTCGTTTGATTGCACTGTGGTCTGAGAGACAGTTTGTTATAATTTCTGTTCTTTTACATTTGCTGAGGAGTATTTTACTTCCAACTATGTGGTCAGTTTTGGAATAGGTGTGGTGTGGTGCTGAAAAGAATGTATATTCTGTTGATTTGGGGTGGAGAGTTCTGTAGATGTCTATTAGGTCCGCTTGGTGCAGAGCTGAGTTCAATTCCTGGATATCCTTGTTAACTTTCTGTCTTGTTGATCTGTCTAATGTTGACAGTGGGGTGTTAAAGTCTCCCATTATTATTTTGTGGGAGTCTAAGTCTCATTGTAGGTCACTCAGGACTTGCTTTATGAATCTGGGTGCTCCTGTATTGGGTGCATATATATTTAGGATAGTTAGTTCTTATTGATGAATTGATCCCTTTACCATTATGTAATGGCCTTGTCTTTTTTGATCTTCGTTGGTTTACAGTCTGTTTTTTCAGAGACTAGGATTGCAACCCCTGCCTTTTTTTGTTTTCCATTTGCTTGGTAGATCTTCCTCCATCCTTTTGTTTTGAGCCTAGGTGTCTCTGCATGTGAGATGGGTTTCCTGAATACAACACACTGATGGGACTTGGCTCTTTATCCAATTTGCCAGTCTGTGCCTTTTAATTGGAGCATGTAGCCCATTTACATTTAAGGTTAGTATTGTTATGTGTGAATTTGATCCTGTCATTATGATGTTAGCTGGTTATTTTGCTCGTTAGTTGATGCAGTTTCTTCCTGGCCTTGATGGTCTTTACAATTTGGCATGTTTTTGCAGTGGCTGGTACCAGTTGTTCCTTTCCATGTTTAGTGCTTCCTTCAGGAGCTCTTTTAGGGCAGGCCTGGTGGTGACACAATCTCTCAGCATTTGCTTGTCTGTGAAGGGTTTTATTTCTCCTTCACTTATGAAGCTTAGTTTGGCTGGATATGAAATTCTGGGTTGAAAATTCTTTTCTTTAAGAATGTTGAATATTGGCCCCCACTCTCTTCTAGCTTGGAGAGTTTCTGCTGAGAGATCCGCTGTTAGTCTGATGGGCTTCCCCTTGTGGGTAACCCGACCTTTCTCTCTGTCTGCCTTAACATTTTTCTCTTCATTTCAACTTTGGTGAATCTAACAATTATGTGTCTTGGAGTTGCTCTTCTCGAGGAGTATCTTTGTGGCTTTCTCTGTATTTCCTGAATTTGAATGCTGGCCTGCCTTGTTAGATTGGGGAAGTTCTCCTGGATAATATCCTGCAGAGTGTTTTCCAACTTGGTTCCATTCTCCCCATCACTTTCAGATACACCAATTAGACGTAGATTTGGTCTTTTCACATAGTCCCATATTTCTTGGAGGCTTTGTTCTTTTCTTTTTATTCTTTTTTCTCTGAACTTCTCTTCACGCTTCATTTCATTCATTTCGTCTTCCATCACTGATACCCTTTCTTCCAGGTGATCGCATTGGTTACTGAGGCTTGTGCATTTGTGACATAGTTCTCATGCTGTGGTTTTCAGCTCCATCAAGTCCTTTAAGGACTTCTCTGCTTTGGTTATTCTAGTTATCCATTCATCTAATTTTTTATCAAAGTTTTTAACTTCTTTGCCATTGGTTCAGACTTCCTCCTTTAGCTCAGAGTAGTTTGATCTTCTGAAGCCTTCCTCTCGTCAAAGTCATTTTCCATCCAGCTTTGTTCCATTGCTGGTGAGGAGCTGCGTTCCTTTGGAGGAGGAGAGGTGCTCTGATTTTTAGAGTTTCTGGTTATTCTGCTGTGTTTTTTCCCCATCTTTGTGGTTTTATGTACCTTTGGTCTTCGATGATGACCACATACAGATGGGTTTTTGGTGTGGATGTCCTTTCTGTTTGTTAGTTTTCCTTCTTACAGTCAGGACCCTCAGCTGCAGATCCGTTGGATTTTACTGGAGGTCCACTCCAGACCCTGTTTGCCTGGGTATCAGCAGCAGTGGCTGCAGAACAGCAGATATTGGTGAACCGCAAATGCTGCTGCCTGATTGTTCCTCTGGAAGTTTTGTCTCAGAGGAGTACCCGGCCATGTGAGGTGTCAGTCCACCCCTAGTGGGGGGTGCCTCCCAGTTAGGCTCCTCAGGGGTCAGGGACCCACTTGAGAAGGTAGTCTGCCTGTTCTCAGATCTGAAGCTGCATGCTGGGAAAACCACTACTCTCTTCAAAGCTGTCAGACAGGGACATTTAAGTCTACGGAGGTTATTGCTGTCTTTTGTTTGTCTTTGCCCTGCCCACAGAGGTGGAGCCTACAGAGGCAGGCAGGCCTCCTTGAGCTGTGGCGGGCTCCTCCTAGTTCGAGCTTCCCAGCTGCTTTGTTTACCTACTCGGGCCTAAGCAATGGCGGGCGCCCCTCCCCCAGCCTCGCTTTCACCTTGCAGTTTGATCTCAGACTGCTGTGCTAGCAATGAGCGAGGCTCCGTGGGCATAGGACCCTCTAAGCCAGGTGCGGGATATAATCTCCTGGTGTGCCGTTTGTGAAGCCCGTTGGAAAAGCACATTATTCGGGTGGGAGTGACCCGATTTTCCAGGTGCCGTCTGCCACCCCTTTCTTTGACTAGGAAAGGGAATTCCCTGACCCCTTGCGCTTCCCGAGTGAGGCGATGCCTCGCCCTGCTTTGGCTCACGCACGGTGCACTGCACCCACTATCCTGCACCCACTGTCCGGCACTTCTCAGTGAGATGAACCCGGTACCTCAGTTGGAAATGCAGGAATCACATGTCTTCTGCGTCGCTCACGCTGGGAGCTGTAGACTGGAGCCGTTCCTGTTTGGCCATCTTGGCTCCACACCGCCTTGCTTTCCTTTCACCTTCGGCTGTGATTGTAAGTTTCCTGAGGCCTCCCCAGCCATGCAGAACAGAGCCAATTAAACTTTTTTCTTCATAAATTATCCAGTCTCAGGTAATACCTTTATAGCAGTGTGAGAACAGACTAATACAGAGAATTGGTACTGGGATAGTGGGGTACTGCTATAAAGATAACCTGAAAATGTGGAGACAACTTTGGAACTGTGTAACAGGTAGAAGTTGGAACAGTTTGGAAGGCTCAGAAGACAGGAAGATGTGGGAAAGTCTGGAACTTCCTACAGTCTTGTTGAATGGTTTTGACCAAAATGCTGATAGTGATATGGACAATGAAGTCCAGGATGAGGTAGTCTCAGATGAAGATGAAAAACTTGTTGGGAACTGGAGTAAAGGTAACTGTTGCTATGCATTAGCAAAGAGACTGGCAGCATTTTGCCCCTGCCCTAGAGATTTGTGGAATTTTTAACTTGAGAGAGATGGTCTGAAATTGGAACTTATGTTTGAAAGAGAAGGAGAGCATAAAAGTTTGGAAAATTTGCAGCCTAAACATGTGGCAGAAAAGAAAAACCAATTTCCTGGGAAGAAATTCAATCTGGCTGCAGAAATTTGCATACACAACAAGGAGCCGAATGTTAATCATCAAGACAATGTGGAATATGTCTCCAGGGCATGTCAGAGGTCTTCACAGCAGCCCCTATCATCGCAGGCCTAGAGGCATAAGAAGAAAACTTGGTTCCACAGGCTGGACTCAGGGCCTTGCTGCTTTGTGCAGTCTTGGAACGTTGTGCCCTGCATCCCAGCTATGGCTAAAAGGGACCAACATACAACTCAGGTCTTTGCTTCAGAGGGTGCAAGGCCCAAGCCTTGGTGGCTTCCAAGTAATATTGGGCCTTTGAGTGCACAGAAGTCAAGAATTGGGGTTGGGAACCTCAGCCTAGATTGCAGATCATATATGGAAATATCTGGATGTCCAGGCAGAAATTTGCTGTTGGGGTGGAGCCCTCATGGAGACCCTCTGCTAAGGCAGTGTGGAAGGGAAATTTGGAGTCAGAGCTCCCACACAGAGTCCCCACTGGGGCATTGCCTAGGGGAGATGTGAGAAGAGGGCCACCATCCTCCACTAGAATGGTAGATCCACCAGCAGCTTGCACCATGCTCCTGGAAAAGCCACAGGCACTCAGTGCTAACCTGTGAAAGCAGCCTTGGGGGCGGTACCCTGCAGAGCCACAGGGACAGAGCTGCCCAAGGCCTTTGGAGCCCATCCCTTTTGTCAAAGTACCCTGGATGTTAGAGATGGAGTCAAAGGAGATCATATTGGAGTTTTAAGATTTAATAACTGTCATGTTGGCTTCCAGACTTGCATGCGGCCTGCAGACCCTTTGTTTTGGCCAATTTCTCTTGTTTGGAATGGAGTCATTTACCCAATGCCTATACCCTCATTGTATCTTAGAAGTAACTAACTTGCTTTTGATTTTACAGGCTCACAGGCAGAAGGAATTTTCCTTGTCTTGGATGAGACTTTTGACTTGGACTTTTGGGTTAAGGTTAGTATAAGCTAAGATTTTGGGGGACTGTTGCGAAGGCATGATTGATTTTGCAATGTGAGAAGAACGTGAGATTTTGGAGGGGCGAGTTGCAGAATGATATGGTTTGGCTCAGTTCCCCACTCAAATCTCATCTGGAGTTGTAATCTCTAGACATTGAGGGAGGGGCCTGGTGAGAGGTGATTGGATCATGTGGGTGGTTTCTGCCATTCTGTTCTCACAATAGTGAGGGAGTTCTCAGAAGATCTGATGCTGTAAACGTGTTTGGCAGTTCCCCACTTCTATCTCTCTCTCTCTCCCTCTCCCTTTCTCCTGCTGCCATGTAAGACATGCCTTGTTTCCCCTTTGCCTTCCACCATGATTGTAAGTTTCCTGAGGCTTCCCCTGCCATGCAGACCCGTGAGTCAATTAAATCTGTTATTTCATAGATTACCAAGTCTCAACTAGTATCTGTATAGCGCAGTGTGAGAATGGACCAATACAGTGTGTGTATGTTGAACTGTCCTTGCATTTGTGGGATAAAGCTCACTTGATCATGGTGTATGATGTTTTTGATGTGCTGTTGAATTCGGTTTGCTAATATTTTGTTGAGAATTTTGCATCTATGTTTATCAGGGATATTGGCCTGTAGTTCACTGTTGTTGTTGTATCCTTATCTGGTTTTGATATTAGAGTAATGCTGGTCTTATAGAATGAATTTGGAACAATTCCCTCCCCTTAGATTTTTCTGGAGTAGTTTGATAAAAGTTGGTATTAGTTCTTTGTCCCCCCCCCCCACTTTTTTTTTTATTATACTTTAAGTTTTAGGGTACATGTGCACATTGTGCAGGTTAGTTACATATGTATACATGTGCCATGCTGGTGTGCTGCACCCACTAACTCGTCATCTAGCATTAGGTATATCTCCCAATGCTATCCCTCCCCACTCCCCCAACCCCACCACAGTCCCCAGAGTGTGATATTCCCCTTCCTGTGTCCATGTGATCTCATTGTTCAATTCCCACCTATGAGTGAGAATATGCGGTGTTTGGTTTTTTGTTCTTGCAATAGTTTACTGAGAATGATGATTTCCAATTTCATCCATGTCCCTACAAAGGACATGAACTCATCATTTTTTATGGCTGCATAGTATTCCATGGTGTATATGTGCCACATTTTCTTAATCCAGTCTATCGTTGTTGGACATTTGGGTTGGTTCCAAGTCTTTGCTATTGTGAATAATGCCGCAATAAACATACGTGTGCATGTGTCTTTATAGCGGCATGATTTATAATCCTTTGGGTATATACCCAGTAATGGGATGGCTGGGTCAAATGGCATTTCTAGTTCTAGATGCCTGAGGAATCGCCACACTGACTTCCACAATGGTTGAACTAGTTTACGGTTGAACTAGTTTACAGTCCCACCAACAGTGTAAAAGTGTTCCTGTTTCTCCACATCCTCTCCAGCACCTGTTGTTTCCTGACTTTTTAATGATCGCCATTCTAACTGGTGTGAGATGGTATCTCATTGTGGTTTTGATTTGCATTTCTCTGATGGCCAGTGATGATGAGCATTTTTTCATGTGTTTTTTGGCTGCATAAATGTCTTCTTTTGAGAAGTGTCTGTTCATGTCCTTCGCCCACTTTCTGATGGGGTTGTTTGTTTTTTTCTTGTAAATTTGTTTGAGTTCATTGTAGATTCTGGATATTAGCCCTTTGTCAGATGAGTAAGTTGCAAAAATTTTCTCCCATTTTGTAGGTTGCCTGTTCACTCTGATGGTAGTTTCTTTTGCTGTGCAGAAGCTCTTTAGTTTAATTAGATCCTATTTGTCAATTTTGGCTTTTGTTGCCATTGCTTTTGGTGTTTTGGACATGAAGTCTTTGCCCATGCCTATGTCCTGAATGGTAATGCCTAGGTTTTCTTCTAGGGTTTTTATGGTTTTAGGTCTAACGTTTAAGTCTTCAATCCATCTTGAATTGATTTTTGTATAAGGTGTAAGGAAGGGATCCAGTTCAGCTTTCTACATATGGCTAGCCAGTTTTCCCAGCACCATTTATTAAATAGGGAATCCTTTCCCCATTGCTTGTTTTTCTCAGGTTTGTCAAAGATCAGATAGTTGTAGACATGCGGCGTTATTTCTGAGGGCTCTGTTCTGTTCCGTTGATCTATATCTCTGTTTTGGTACCAGTACCATGCTGTTTTGGTTACTGTAGCCTTGTAGTATAGTTTGAAGTCAGGTAGTGTGATGCCTCCAGCTTTGTTCTTTTGGCTTAGGATTGCCTTGGCGATGCGGGCTCTTTTTTGGTTCCATATGAACTTTAAAGTAGTTTTTTCCAATTCTGTGAAGAAAGTCATTGGTAGCTTGATGGGGATGGCATTGAATCTGTAAATTACCTTGGGCAGTATGGCCATTTTCATGATATTGATTCTTCCTACCCATGAGCATGGAATGTTCTTCCATTTGTTTGTATCCTCTTTTATTTCCTTGAGCAGTGGTTTGTAGTTCTCCTTGAAGAGGTCCTTCACATCCCTTGTAAGTTGGATTCCTAGGTATTTTATTCTCTTTGAAGCAATTGTGAATGGGAGTTCACTCATGATTTGGCTCTCTGTTTGTCTGTTATTGGTGTATGAGAATGCTTGTGATTTTTGTACATTGATTTTGTATCCTGAGACTTTGCTGAAGTTGCTTATCAGCTTAAGGAGATTTTGGGCTGAGACAATGGGGTTTTCTAGATATACAATCATGTCGTCTGCAAACAGGGACAATTTGACTTCCTCTTTTCCTAATTGAATACCCTTTATTTCCTTCTCCTGCCTGATTGCCCTGGCCAGAACTTCCAACACTATGTTGAATAGGAGTGGTGAGACAGGGCATCCCTGTCTTGTGCCAGTTTTCAAAGGGAATGCTTCCAGTTTTTGCCCATTCAGTATGATATTGGCTGTGGGTTTGTCATAGATAGCTCTTATTATTTTGAGATACGTCCCATCAATACCTAATTTATTGAGAGTTTTTAGCATGAAGGGTTGTTGAATTTTGTCAAAGGCTTTTTCTGCATCTATTGAGATAATCATGTGGTTTTTGTCTTTGGCTCTGTTTATATGCTGGATTACATTTATTGATTTGCGTATATTGAACCAGCCTTGCATCCCAGGGATGAAGCCCACTTGATCATGGTGGATAAGCTTTTTGATGTGCTGCTGGATTCGTTTTGCCAGTATTTTATTGAGGATTTTTGCATCAATGTTCATCAAGGATATTGGTCTAAAATTCTCTTTTTTTGTTGTGTCTCTGCTCAGCTTTGGTATCAGGATGATGCTGGCCTCATAAAATGAGATAGGGAGGATTCCCTCTTTTTCTGTTGATTGGAATAGTTTCAGAAGGAATGGTACCAGTTCCTCCTTGTACCTCTGGTAGAATTCGGCTGTGAATCCATGTGGTTCTGGACTCTTTTTGGTTGGTAAACTATTGATTATTGCCACAATTTCAACTCCTGTTATTGGTCTATTCCGAGATTCAACTTCTTCCTGGTTTAGTCTTGGGAGAGTGTATGTGTCCAGGAATTTATCCATTTCTTCTAGATTTTCTAGTTTATTTGCGTAAAGGTGTTTGTAGTATTCTCTGATGGTAGTTTGTATTTCTGTTGGATCGGTGGTGATATCCCCTTTATCATTTTTATTGTGTCTGTTTGATTCTTCTCTCTTTTTTTCTTTATTAGTCTTGCTAGCTGTCTATCAATTTTGTTGATCCTTTCAAAAAACCAACTCCTGGATTCATTGATATTTTTGAAGGGTTTTTTGTGTCTCTATTTCCTTCAGTTCTGCTCTGATGTTAGTTATTTCTTGCCTTCTGCTAGCTTTTGAATGTGTTTGCTCTTGCTTTTCTAGTTCTTTTAATTGTGATGTTAGGGTGTCAATTTTGGATCTTTCCTGCTTTCTCTTGTGGGCATTTAGTGCTATAAATTTCCCTCTACACACTGCTTTGAATGCGTCCCAGAGATTCTGATATGTTGTGTCTTTGTTCTCGTTGGTTTCAAAGAACATCTTTATTTCTGCCTTCATTTCATTATGTATCCAGTAGTCATTCAGGAGCAGGTTGTTCAGTTTCCATGTAGTTGAGCGGTTTTGAGTGAGATTCTTAATCCTGAGTTCTAGTTTGATTGCACTGTGGTCTGAGAGATAGTTTGCTATAATCTCTGTTCTTTTACATTTGCTGAGGAGAGCTTTACTTCCAAGTATGTGGTCAATTTTGGAATAGGTGTGGTGTGGTGCTGAAAAAAATGTATATTCTGTTGATTTGGGGTGGAGAGTTCTGTAGATGTCTATTAGGTCTGCTTGGTGCAGAGCTGAGTTCAATTCCTGGATATCCTTGTTGACTTTCTGTCTCGTTGATCTGCCTAATGTTGACAGTGGGGTGTTAAAGTCTCCCATTATTAAAGTGTGGGAGTCTATGTCTCTTTGTAGGTCACTCAGGACTTGCTTTATGAATCTGGGTGCTCCTGTATTGGGTGCATATATATTTAGGATAGTTAGCTCTTCTTGTTGAATTGATCCCTTTACCATTATGTAATGGCCTTCTTTGTCTCTTTTGATCTTTGCTGGTTTAAAGTCTGTTTTATCAGAGACTAGGATTGCAACCCCTGCCTTTTTTTGTTTTCCATTTGCTTGGTAGATCTTCCTCCATCCTTTTATTTTGAGCCTATGTGTGTCTCTGCATGTGAGATGGGTTTCCTGAATACAACACACTGATGGGTCTTGACTCTTCATCCAATTTGCCAGTCTGTGTCTTTTAATTGGAGCATTTAGTCCATTTACATTTAAAGTTAATATTGTTATGTGTGAATTTGATCCTGTCATTATGATATTAGCTGGTTATTTTGCTCGTTAGTTGATGCAGTTTCTTCCTAGCCTCGATGGTGTTTACAGTTTGGCATGATTTTGCAGCGGCTGGTACCAGTTGTTCCTTTCCATGTTTAGTACTTCCTTCAGGAGCTCTTTTAGGGCAGGCCTGGTGGTGACAAAATCTCTCAGCATTTGCTTGTCTGTAAAGTATTTTATTTCTCCTTCACTTATGAAGCTTAGTTTGGCTGGATATGAAATTCTGGGTTGAAAATTCTTTTCTTTAAGAATGTTGAATATTGGCCCCCACTCTCTTCTGGTTTGTAGGGTTTCTGCTGAGAGATCCGCTGTTAGTCTGATGGGCTTCCCTTTGAGGGTAACCCGACCTTTCTCTCTGGCTGCCCTTAACATTTTTTCCTTCATTTCAACTTTGGTGAATCTGACAATTATGTGTCTTGGAGTTGCTCTTCTCGAGGAGTATCTTTGTGGCGTTCTCTGTATTTCCTGAATCTGAACGTTGGCCTGCCTTGCTAGATTGGGGAAGTTCTCCTGGATAATATCCTGCAGAGTGTTTTCCAACTTGGTTCCATTCTCCCCATCACTTTCAGGTACACCAATCAGACGTAGATTTGGTCTTTTCACATAGTCCCATATTTCTTGGAAGCTTTGCTCATTTCTTTGTATTCTTTTTTCTCTAAACTTCCCTTCTTGCTTCAGTTCATTCATTTCATCTTCCATCACTGATACCCTTTCTTCCAGTTGATCGCATCGGCTCCTGAGGCTTCTGCATTCTTCACGTAGTTCTCGAGCCTTGGTTTTCAGCTCCATCAGCTCCTTTAAGCACTTCTCTGTATTGGTTTTTCTAGTTATACATTCTTCTAAATTTTTTTCAAAGTTTTCAACTTCTTTGCCTTTGGTTTGAATGTCCTCCCGTAGCTCAGAGTAATTTGATCGTCTGAAGCCTTCTTCTCTCAGCTCGTCAAAGTCATTCTCCATCCAGCTTTGTTCCATTGCTGGTGAGGAACTGCGTTCCTTTGGAGGAGGATAGGCGCTCTGCGTTTTAGAGTTTCCAGTTTTTCTGTTCTGTTTTTTCCCCATCTTTGTGGTTTTATCTACTTTTGGTCTTTGATGATGGTGATGTACAGATGGGTTTTTGGTGTGGATGTCCTTTCTGTTTGTTAGTTTTCCTTCTAACAGACAGGACCCTCAGCTGCAGGTCTGTTGGAATACCCTGCCGTGTGAGATGTCAGTGTGCCCCTGCTGGGGGGTGCCTCCCAGTTAGGCTGCTCGGGGGTCAGGGGTCAGGGACCCACTTGAGGAGGCAGTCTGCCCGTTCTCAGATCTCCAGCTGCGTGCTGGGAGAACCACTGCTCTCTTCAAAGCTGTCAGACAGGGACATTTAAGTCTGCAGAGGTTACTGCTGTCTTTTTGTTTGTCTGTGTCCTGCCCCCAGAGGTGGAGCCTACAGAGGCAGGCAGGCCTCCTTGAGCTGTAGTGGGCTCCACCCAGTTCGAGCTTCCTGGCTGCTTTGTTTACCTAAGCAAGCCTGGGCAATGGCGGGCGCCCCTCCCCCCGCCTCGCTGCCGCCTTGCAGTTTGATCTCAGGCTGCTGTGCTAGCAATCAGCGAGATTCCGTGGGCGTAGGACCCTCCGAGCCAGGTGCGGGATATAATCTCGTGGTGCGCTGCAGTCCGAAAAGCGCAATATTCGGGTGGGAGTGACCCGATTTTCCAGGTGCGTCCGTCACCCCTTTCTTTGACTCGGAAAGGGAACTCCCTGACCCCTTGCGCTTCCCAAGTGAGGCAATGCCTCGCCCTGCTTCGGCTCGCTCACGGTGCGCGCACCCACTGACCTGCGCCCACTGTCTGGCACTCTCTAGTGAGATGAACCCGGTACCTCAGATGGAAATGCAGAAATCACCCGTCTTCTGCGTCGCTCACGCTGGGAGCTGTAGACTGGAGCTGTTCCTATTCGGCCATCTTGGCTCCTCCCCCTCTGTATTAGTTCTTTGAAAGTTTGGTAGAATTCAGCAGTGAAGCCCTCTCTCCCTAGGCTTTTCTTTGTTGGGAGTGAGTTTTTTTTGTTTTTTTTTTTAAATTACTGACTCAATCTCATTTCTCATTATTGGTCTATTCAGGATTTCTGTTACTTTCCGATTCAGTCTTGGTAGGTTGTATGTGTCCAGGACTTTATCCATTTCCTCTGGGTTTTTCCATTTGTTTGGTGTACAATTGTTCATAATAGTCCCTAACAGCCCTTTGAATTTCTGTGGTATTAGTTATAATGTCTTCTTGTTTTGTTTCTGTTTTATTTTTGTCTTTTTTTTTCTTAG